>NC_000014.9:58096561-58399591 GCF_000001405.40 Homo sapiens
AGTTTATACTTATATTCTTAACCACCCATAAATGTAGAAACCACCCATAAACAAAGAAAATCCATTTTTCTTTACAATAGATGGCAATGAAAGAAGGCTGTCATCTGAGAAATATAAAAGGAGGGGAGAAGGGAGGAAAAGGGAAATACACATGACTCTTACCCAGGCCTTGATTCTGCTGTTCCCACTCGAGGGCATCTGGCACCTGGTAGGTAGCTCCCTCCAACAGGTCCATGTTTCCCTCCTCTAAGCCTGGTTCCTGGGATGTGATACCAGGGAGGGTAAAACCTGGCAGCTCAGTGTCACCATCCAAGCCCTCATCCAGCGAGTCTGCATCTTTATCTTCCTCATCTTCTTCCTCATCTTCCTCTTCTTCATCTTCATCTTCTTCATCCTCTTCATCCTCATCTTCTTGTCCCTCTAGGCAAAAAGAAATCAAAGGGAAGCATAAACATATAATGAGTTTATGCTGAAACAAATGAATCCTTGGAAATGATCCAAACACTACAAAATAATTGTTTGGCCTTTTGAAACACATCTTTATAGCCAAAGTCAGACAATGTGAACTTTGCAGGATTATACACCCACCATATGTCCTAGAGTTTAAACTTTCAAAACCATAGTTATGTCAGATAAGTATCAGGTATTATGTTTACTGGGAGTCAAAGTTCAAGTAATATGATTTGTTATTAAAGTTATTTATATTTACAAGGGTAGTAAACATCCCCTTGCTGTTTTCTGGAGATCATTAAAAGTTTATCAGTTAGCACACTGTGAAATACTAACAGAACTTAAAAGAAGCTGTTCCCATCCCTTTATAGCTCATAATGTTAAAGGAGACAATTCATTATTTTGGCACAGCTTTTTCTATTCATCCACATCAGTGAGTAGAACTCACAAAAATGGTAAGTGAGGAGCACATAAATTCACTCTTGGATCTTGTTCTCTCTAAGGAAGAGTAATCCAAGAAACTGGAAATAATTGCATCAACATTCTCAATCCAACTCTAAAGGAATTGGGAAGTGGGATATTCACCAGGAGTGGTCAGAAAGGCAGCACATTAAAAATTACCATTATCTTCATTGTAAGAGTTAACATTCACAATTCGTCGTTTTCTTGATTTTTTTTTTTTTATTTTTTATTTATTTATTTATTTATTTTTGAGACGGAGTCTTGCTCTGTCACCCAGGCTGGAGTGCAGTGGCGTGATCATGGTTCACCACAGTCTCAGACTCCTGGACTCAAGCCATCCTCCTCCCTCGGCCTCCCACAATGCTAGTATTATAGGCGTGAGCCATGGCACTTCACCACAAGCTGTCATTTTCAATGCTCCAAGTGGAGTGGGTTTAAGGAACATATGATTCCCAATTTCATTTTGTTTCACCAATGTTAATTTCCTAGTAATACTTCAAGGCCCCATCCTCACCATGGATGCACCTCTGAAGCCCCTGGTAAGTGCCCACAAAGTTCACAGAAGGCCTTCCCTTTGCTCTCTCCCCTTGACTCTCGGCACAGCAGTTACTGCAACAGGTAATTCTCCTCCTATGGTGGAGAAAAGAAGGGAAGAAGAAGAACTGGAGCCACCCAAGAATTGTGAGACTCTCCTTTTCTGCTTCTACACAACTTTCTCCACCCATACTACCTTTCCTCTATCATTCAGAGGCTTTTTAACTTTTAAAAAAAATCACCTTTAATCTTTTTTTATTCTTATATGTCCTTTAACTTTGTAGGATTAATGTCTGTCACTATTCTAAAAATTCAACAAATATGTATCAACCCCCTAACGGGTGCCGTTGCAGACACTAGGGATAAAAGCAATAACGTCTCTGCCTTCGTGGAGCCCATGTGCCACCCAGGGAGACTCACAGCAAACAAACAGATACACCAATAGGCAGGTGACTCTACACTCTCATTAAAACTGGCAAGAAGATAGAAAACGCCAGGCACTGCTATTTTAGAAAGGGTGATTAAAGAAAGCTTTTCTGACAAGGTAAAGTTTGAACAGAGGCCACACCAAAATAATGCATTCTTTTGTTTAATTTAAGTCAACATCTACAGGAAGAGCATTCCCAGTGGAGGAAATGGCAAGGACCTAATCCTTGAGGCAGGTGTGGCCTCGCTGTGTTCAAACAATGGCAAAGAAGCCTGGGCTGGGAGGCACAGGGCAAATACAGGAAATGAGGTAGGAAGAAGTAGGCAGGGGCCAGATCTGACTTTTTTTTTTTTTAAGTCTTTTATTTATTTCAATAGGTTTTTGGGGAACAGGTAGTACTGACTTATATTTTTAAAGAATGACTCTAGCAGCAGGGTGGAGAACAGGCTATATCAAAGCAAGAGATGAAAAAAGAAGGCTGACAAGGAGTCCACTTAAAAACCAGGAATAGATTATGGTGCTTTGGACTAGGGTACAATCTGGAAAGAGGAGAGAGGTAGTCATATCGGGGATGTAATTTCAAGGTAGAACCCTGCTGATAAGTACAATGTGAGATGCAGGAGGAAGATCCCACATGACTGAAAACGGGATCTAAAAGATAAGGAGTCAAAACAAGAATTTGCATTTGAGATACAGTAACTGTGTGATGGCCTATGGCATCCAAGGGAATGTTGGAAGTCTAGGGAAGTTTCAAAGCTAGAGATAAATTTTGGGAATTGTCAATTTATTAATAATATTCAAAGCCTTGAGACTGGCTGAGATTATCAAGAAGGTGAATATAGACAGAAAGGGAAATGGTCCAGACCACATTCCCGGGCAAAGCCACCACTTAGAGGGTGACCAGCAGAGGAAGATCCACACAGGAAACAGGAGTAACCACCAGGGTGGGAGAAAATCCAAGAAGTGTGTGGTGTCAGGGAAGGCAAATGAAGAAAGCGTCTCCAAGGGCCCGAGTAAGAGACTGAGGGTGTCCCTCTGGCTTGGACATTGGGAGGGCACGGGGGACCTTGACAAAAGTTGTTTTGGAGGAATGATATAGACAAAGGCCAGGTTGGAGTGGTTCAAAAAAAGATTAGAAAAGAAGACACAACAAACAAACAAAAAATTCTTACCAGAAATTTGGCTAAAAGGAGAACAGAGAAAATAGGGGGCAGGTGGAGAGAGACACAGGGTCAAGGGTAGGGTCTTAAAATAGAATATAGAAAATAGAACCTGCTTGTAAGTTAATGGGTCAGATCTCATCGAAAGGGGCAATCAATGAGGCAGGAAAGACAGAAGCAGCTGCGGGAGAATATCCTGGGAGACATGGTATTATACAGTGGCTGCATGCATAGACTCTGAAGCCACACAAATTTATTACGGCTGTGTGATTTTTGCACACGTTGCTGAATTTTGCTGTGCCTCAACCTCCTCGTCTGTAAAACTGATATTATTCCTACCTCACAAGGCTGTTGTAAGGATTTCATTAGTTAATTTATAAGGTACTTAAAACTAAGCCTGGTGCATACTGGACAGGTTGGCTTCTTCATAATGACTAAAAGAAGACAAGGTCCAGTGCACAGGCTGGTTTGGATACATCCTCCCCTGAAACGGTAGGAAAAAGGGAAGGCAGAGAAACAGGCATGGTGCAGGAAGGTGGGCAGATTTGGTGGGTAGGGGATCTTTATATTTCTTTTATTCTCGGTCAAATAAAAAAACTGGAAAGGAAAAGAGAAATGTTGGTGGTTTGAGGTGAGAGGAAAAAGCGTGAAATAGTCGTCTTGGAGAGTAGGCGAGTACATTCTCAGAGAAATGGGGCAGGACTGCCAGGCAGCCCTCTAGGCCCACTTCAGATGTGACATCATATATCTAAAGTGAGACCTGTTAAGATGGTTGTGAGTTTTTCTCAAGCCACATTCAGCTGCTTGGGCGCAGGCATGGGTGGAGAGGTGAGTAGGCACAGAGATTTAACCAGCAGCAAGTTTTACCAGAAGAGCTCAATTGAGAGTGTGAGGGATAGAGAGAGGGTAAGAAAGGGTACTGATTGTGTGTGAAGGAGTAATTATAAAGATGGACCAGGGACTCTAATTAAAGAGAAGTTGAAAAAGAGGCTGGATAGAGGAAACATGATGGAAATTTAGGTTATTAGGAAAACTATCAGGAACCATTAAAACTACCTGAGGACTTCCATGTCTTTATTTTAGATTCTTGACAGGTGTTTTCTCCTCCTCTTGGGGGTGGATCCGAAAGGAGTGGCACCCCTTCCTTCTCCTGGAGTGCCCCTGCCTGTACCCCCAAGACCAAGATCACAGCTTCACAATGTAGCAGGGACTCCTGGCCATCCCTCAAAAGTAACTGTTTCTGTGCTAGAAAACTGAAAAACAGCAAGGGCCAGAAGTGAACCAGAGTGCAGAGTGAGGCAGAATCAGTGAGTCAGAGTGATGACGTGGGGCCTCCATGCTAAGGCAGAAAGAAAAACAAGCAGACAGACATCCAAAGGAAAAGCCAAAGATGTTGACCAGAAGGATTAAGCTGTGGGACACTAAGGCCCACATCACCTGCCGCCTGTGTAGTGGGCACCTCATTGATGCAACCAGGGTGACCAAGTGTCTGCACACATTCTGTAGGGGTTGCCTGGTAAAGTATTTGTAAGAGAACAACACCTGCCCTGCATGTAGGACTGTGATGCGTCACACTCACTCACTGCAGTACATCGGTCATGAGAGCACCATACATGAGACTGTTTACAAATTGGTATCAGGTCTCCAAGAAGCAGAAATGAAAACAGAGAATTCTGTCACAAATTGGGCATGGAAGTGCCTAGAGACATCAAAGGGGATACTTGTTCCACAAAACAACACTTAGATTTCCATCAGAATGGTGAAATGAAAGCAGAAGACAGTTCAAACAAAGACCAAAAAAGAGAAAAAGGAAAAGGACAATGATTTTCACAGAAGTGATGAGCAGGAAAGCAACAGCAGCAAGTTGTGGGGACTGAAAAGGAAATGAATCTGCTGCATAGCCCAAGCAATGGTCTGACATCTAAAGAAGTTCACTGCCAAAAATCTTAACCTTTTGTCCTTCAATGAGGTAATAGTCAATCCATAAAGAGAAACTCAAGCAAGTCAATTCTTAGGTAAAAATGACATTTCTAAAATTACTTGGGTTTTTTTTTTTCACAACTTTGTTTGGAGATTTTAACCAGAAAAAAATCTCAATTTGTTTTGCCTGCCCTGCCCGGTAGCATGATAGAAAACAGCAGTGAGGATTGTGAAAAGCCCAGACACCATGGACATGAAGAACCCACCATTGATAGAAGAGAAAACGGGGGAGAGGGTGTGGAGAGGAGGGCAGGTGATGAAACTGTTTTAAAATACGTTAAAGATATTCCTCACAAAGAAGAAGTCTGTTCTTTAATTTCACAAATGGATGGGTAGGTAGGTGGGTTGAAGGAGGGATGGGTGAATGAAGGAGAGAGAGAGAGAGAGAATGCTTTCAAGTTGTGATAAATGCTGAGAATAAAATGAAACTTGGTGGCCTGCTGGGCTGGGTAGTGGAAGAGTGGCATGAGCACATGAGCTGAAAATCACTGGGAGCTCACCTCAAGGTGATAACGTTTTGTGTGAAGATGTAAATTCTCAGCAGGAGACCAGCTCTGCACAGGTAAGAGAAGGCACTGGAAGGCCTCAGGCAGGGATACATGGTTTGGGGCAGGGTTTTAAAATATCCCTCAGGCTGTGTGGAAATGAGTTATGGGGTAGAGAAAGGAAAGCAAGAGAGGCTGATGGCAGGAGTCCCAGGAGAGAAGAACCATGGTGGTGCAGTGATAGTGGAAAAGCGGACAGACTTGACATGTGTTTTGGAGACAGCAGAGGGTGGAACGGTGGTCCCAAAGAGATAAACCCACATCTGGGCCCCTAGAACCTGCAAATGGGACCTCGTTTGGTAAAAGAATCTTTGCAGGTACAAGTAAGTTAAAGATCTTGAGATGAAATAGTCTTGGATTATCTTGGTGGACCTTAAGTACAACGACAAAAATCCTTATAAGAGTAAGGCGGCCGGGCGCGGTGGCTCACGCCTGTAATCCCAGCACTTTGGGAGGCCGAGGCGGGTGGATCATGAGGTCAGGAGATCGAGACCATCCTGGCTAACAAGGTGAAACCCCGTCTCTACTAAAAATACAAAAAATTAGCCGGGCGCGGTGGCGGGCGCCTGTAGTCCCAGCTACTCGGGAGGCTGAGGCAGGAGAATGGCGTGAACCCGGGAAGCGGAGCTTGCAGTGAGCCGAGATTGCGCCACTGCAGTCCGCAGTCCGGCCTGGGCGACAGAGCGAGACTCCGTCTCAAAAAAAAAAAAAAAAAAAAAAGAGTAAGGCAGAGGTCAGGCACGGTGGCTCACACCTGTAATCCCAGCACTTTGGGAGGCCAAGGCAGGCAGATCACCTGAGGTCAGGAGCTCAAGACCAGCCTGACCAATGTGGAGAAACCTACTCTGTACTAAAAATACAAAATTAGCTGGACGTGGTGATGCATGCCTGTAATCCCAGCTACACGGGAGGCTGACGCATGAGAATTGCTTGAACCCGGGAGGTGGAGGTTGCAGTGAGCCGAGATCGCACCATTGCACTCCAGCCTGGGCAACAAGACCAAAACTCCATCTCGAAAAAAAAAAAAATAGAATAAGGCAGAGAAAGACTTGAGATACAGACACAGAGACAAAGAGAAAGTCATGTGGAGAGGGAGGCAGACACTGGAATGATAAAGCCACAAGCTGAAGAATACTTGAGCCACTAGAAGCTGGAAGAGGCAGGAAGGATCCTCCCTGCTATGGTCTGCATGCATCCTCCAAAATTCATGTTTGGAAATTAATAGATTGGTGCCCTTATAAAAATGGCTATGGGAGTGGGCTCATGCTCTTCTGCTCTTCCACCACATGAGGACGCAGCAAGAAGACCCTTGCCAGATGCTGGTACCTTGGTCTTGGACCCCTCAGCCTCCAGAACGATGAGGAAATAAATTTCTATTATTCATAAAACCAACTCCCGCCCCCCCCAAAAAAAAACCCTACTTAAAAACTTTGTGGACCTTCCTCCTATAAACAGGAACTGTCCAAAAAGAGCACTATATTTTTTTTTGGATGTAGTCTTGCTGTGTCACCCAGGCTGGAGTGCAGTAATGTGCACATGGCTCACTACAGCCTCAACCTCCTGGGTTCAATTGACCCTCCCACCTCAGCCTCCCAAAGTACTGGATTACAGCTGTGAGCCACTGTGTCTGACCCCATTTATTTATTTTTGAAGCATTATAAAATTAATTTTAGTGTCCTTTGCTCCCCACAAACCTAAGAGGTTTGCACTGATAAAACAATTGTGACTATATAATCCTGATCTCCTAGGATCACTGTTCTCTGACCACTAGCATCCACCAAAGACAACTTGGTCCTCAACATCTTCAGCCAATCTCTTCTCTTTAAAGTATAGAATTATAAAAAAATGAAAGGAACCTCAAAAGTCACTTTACTCCATCCTATTATCTATCCCAAAGAGAGGGTTGCAGGTAAGCAAGCCTAGCCCAACAAGAAGGCTGCTACCTTTATAATGTGACTTGGAGGACACTGCTAGGGTCAACATGTCTCATAAACTCTCCCACACACACTCACTTTGGTAGAGATTTCCTTCTCCTTCTCTCTGCCCTGAAATGTCCAACATGAGATGCCTTCTTCTGAGTCAGAAAATAAAACCGAGGAGTACTCTCTCTAGAAGCTTCTTATTGAATAGTATACAATTTATATTATGGGAAAGTAAGAAAGGTCCCTGATTTACATGTGGGATACAAGAGGAAAGCTTTCTCCTTGTACTACTAGCTTCACCCTTCAGCACTAAGCAACTTATAAGATTTACTATTTGTCCTTTTAATATTTACCAAATCATAGAGCTAGCCTGAGAAGACAGTCATAGAAAAAGAAAGTTTTGGTAACTGTGTGGAAAAGATAGAAGGAAGTCAGCCTTATTAGAATGAGGTTTCTCTTTTAGCCTACCTTATTCTCTCATAATCTTTTTCTTCCAGAAAATGTTCTTTTTATGGGCCTACAATTATTTTACAGCCATTAAACATTTTTAGTTGTATGTCACCTATACCCTGCTTCAATTACCAATAGAACCTACTATTACAGATCAGTAACAAAAAAAGATATTATCACCTTTCTTCAAATTAGCAAAATAATGTATGTTATAGCAACTTGAACCAGAAATGTAGAAAACTATCGAATAAAGGAAAGACGGTCTTGTCCCCTGGTATATCACCAATGACTAATGAGTACTTGGCAATCAACAGCGCTCAATAAGTGTATTTTGAATGAATGAATACATGAGTAAATGTATAAACAATGAGATAGATGCGGTTTTTTAAACCCATATCTAAAGAATCACATAGTAACACTTAATAAACAATCAGTAACACATTCCTCTGAATACTCTTGCAACCACAAAGTCAACATATAAGACCAACAGCTGTAAAACAAACCAGAGTTCATCTTCTATTCATAAAAACTGAAGAGAAAGTCATCTGTATTTCGGCCAATCTTTCAATTAGTTACACCCAAAATAAATAATGATGTCATGAACATCTCTGAACACAAAGAACAATGACATGCTGTAAACATTCAGCAAATAAAACTATGCCAAAAATAACAGGATCCCTGGCCCAAGAACTAAAATTAAAGAACTCAATCAAATAACACTACCAAGTTATATTTAAAGGTTTGAGAGTAATGCCTGAGTTTTGCAATTTGTTTAAATAAACCCCAAATTTTATTTTCATTCATCTGAACCCCAAATAAGAATGGGGTCAAGGTAAAAGACACGTACACACAATTATTCCAAATAAAGATAGCATAGACAAAGAAAACTGAACCTCTAAAAGGAAACAATTGGGCCGGGCATGGTGGCTCACGCCTGTAATCCCAACACTTTGGGAGGCCGAGGCAGGTGGATCACGACGAGGTCAGGAGATTGAGACCATCCTGGCCAACATGGTAAAACCCTGTCTCTACTAAAAATACAAAAATCAGCCAGGCATGGTGGCACATGCCTGTAGTCCCAGCTACTCAAGAAGCTGAGGCAGGAGAATCGCTTGAACCCAGGGGGCAGAGGTTGCAGTCAGCCGAGATTACGCCACTGCACTCCAGCCTGGGCAACAGAGTAAGACTCCATCTCAAGAAAAAAAAAAAAAAAGAAAGAAAGAAGGAAATAATTGATCTTGGTTTACTATGCATAGTAGAAACATGTCCTATGTCAATAACCAGTGATAATGCTCAAAGATGTAAAGTTATATTTGTTCTGACAATCTCTAAAAACATTGCAATCCAGGAAAGGAAGATTCAGAGAGCTCAGCCTGAAAAGTTCCTTCTAGTCATGTTACCTAGAATTGGAAAGTTCATCCTCATAACCAACACTTCTTTTTCACAAGTTGACATGGCACTGATTACATCACAACCCCAAACACTAACAGCAACCCTAGCAGCAAATGGGCAGGAAGAATGGTTTCTAAGTAACCATCTCTCTTGACAGTCAAAATCCTCCCAACAAACTGCACTGTTCCCACTCCCAAACACATAATCCACATTATGAAAAATTCCTTTTCACTCTTGTTGAACCAGCATCTCTTTAGAAGACGTGTCCCACTGAGTCCAGCATGCACAGACAGGAACGACGGGCTCCTTGCCATGGAGCTAATGGATTTTTCCATAGCATCCTTACCGAGATCAAGTCACTCGGGATTAATCTGATGCTCCTGCTAGCATGTCCACTGTCAAGAATTCCAACACCTAACAATAGTGAAAAACCTGGATGAGATGTCAGCCAAAACCCTAACTTAGGTGTTCAGACAGTTAGATGGTTCAGCATGCAAGAGGGACTGGGACATGGTTCAATTTCTGACTGCTGTGCTTGAGGTGAACTGAAACAGTTGAGAATAAAACTAAGAAACATTAAACAGAAATGTCAGAGAACAGTGCCACATGGCCAAGAGATGCTTAGTGATATTAAATAGTGTGTCCATAGCTCAAATAGAGAAATGTCCTGTTGCAAGTGGCAGGCAGACAAAATGTGTCTACACGGTACCCTCTCTTAGCCAACTTTATCTGTCTGGCAGATCTCTGACAATCTCTTAACAGCTGTTCAAAGCCCACGACGATACTTTGTACTTACATGGGGCTTTCCTTCCAAGAGACTCAAACGGCTTTTCAGGCTTTATTCTCCAAACTTACATTGTTAGCTAACAGGGAACAAGTTTTATAAGTTTTGTTTTACTTACAGGTTACTTGGTAGGTGAAAAAAAAAAAACTACCTTGGATGCTCAAATATCACAGCAGAGGCTTAAATGAGCTTGTGCAAACCCAGAATTTTTGCCTCTCTGGATCAGACCTGTTTTCTTTATTCATTGCAAATATTTCTGTCTAGGGTTACCAAAATCGAGAGTCTTCATTTTGTTCAGGACCAGAGCCATGGGTTAACTCTCAACAAAATCAATAAAATATATGGGAGAAATTTTGCCCTATGACCCTGAGTAATTTTAGTAATCTGACTCTGCTACAAACATGTGTCATTTAATAGGCAGTTCCCACCAAAGGTGCTCAGTTTCTCTAACTGCATTTTTATCACAGCTTTGACTTTTTTAGATCTCCAGAAGATACAGAAGTAGCTAGCACTTCCAGGCTGTTACTAATGCATCAAAGATAGAAAAAACCTTGGTTGAGAATGTGTCATCCCAACAATGACGGCAGGAAGATCCAGAGTAGGAACACCTGTTCCCCAACATCTGCTGTCTAATCTTGACTTTCAAGGAGAATAGAGTCTCACCTGTATTTTCTGCCTTTTTGGAATAGCAATGATTAGTTTGAATCATCATCTTTTGCCTATTTATTCATGAGTTTTACATGTCAAATTTCTCTTTTAGTGGCTTTTTCTTCCCTTTACTAAGTTTAAAATTAAATCTAAGGTAAACAAATTAGAGGCCGGATGCAGTGGCTCACGGCTGTAATCCCAGCACTTTGGGAGGCCAAGGCAAGTGAATCATGAGGTCAGGAGATCGAGACCATCCTGGCTAACATGGTGAAAAACAGCCTCTATTAAAAATACAAAATTTAGCCGGGCGTAGTGGTGCACGCCCTTAGTCCCAGCTACCTGGGAGGCTGATGCAGGAGAATCGCTTGAACCCAGTAGGCGGAGGTTGCAGTGAGCTGAGATTACGCCATTGCACTCCAGCTTGGGCGACAGAGCAAGACTCCATCTCAAAAAAAAAAAAAAAAAAAAAATTAGCCCATGTGGAAAAGAAGAAGGATGCCATGAAAAGAAACAAGGTAGCTTCACCAGGCATGGACTGAGCGCATATTAGCCTTTCTCCCACTTCTCCCATGAAGGGAATGGCTCTGACACATCCCGGTGGCATCTTTCTCAAAGAAGAAACATTTGTAGGCATACGTTTTCCTGGGAACTCTTATGCCAATAACAATCAAAAGCCATTGTTTCCACCTATAAAGTGACTGAAGCCCTAGAAATGACACTGCTTTTATTTCCAGATTTTTTTTACCTTGGGCATCAAATTGGGTGCAAAACTTAAAAGCCAGAAAGAAAATATTAAATTCGTCTTGAGGATGTGCAGCGACTCTCCAGCAGATGGCTCTCCAGGATCATAAGGTTCTAAGGGATACCAGAATTTTCTGAAATAACTACCACAAAATCCAGCAACTCACAGTTAAGCTGACTTAGAATACATAGAATTTCATTACATTTCTAAAATGGAAATATTCCTGCCAAGTGCTTTTACATTTTTATCATGTAATAGGAGATATATATTAGACTATATACATATACCGTATTTATCTTATTAAGTTCATAGTGAAATGAACCCCAAAGAACTCACTATTCAATTTAAGGACTAGTAAGTTATTAATACTGTTACACCTATCTGCATATTCTTCTTAACATCCTTCTTCCCCTTAAAGCCATACAAAGTTACTGACTGCTATATTTGGGGACTTTCTTTCCATTCAAAATTATGGTTTTAAGTTTCACACATCTTGTTGTACAAAACACTAGTTTATTAATTTTCACGATATATGCTGTTCATTATGCATATATGTCACAGTTTGTTTATCCCCATGTCAAGGAAGATTTCGGGTATTTGGTTGTTGCTAATTTTTTTTTGCTGTTATGAATAGTGCTGCTTGAACACTCATAAATGATCTCTAGTGTATTTGTTCAAGGCTTTGTCTAGGGTACATTCCTAAAAGTGGAATTGCTAGGTTAAAAGGAATACAAGTGTTCAACATCCTAATGTCTAGATAAATGTCCCTAGCTCCACATCCTCATCAACCTTTGGCACTGTCAAACATTTCTTTTCAATCCAGTGTGTATAAAATGATGTCACTCCAGATGTCATTTGCACTTTCTTAATGACTAATGAGGTTGTGTATCCATTCAGTATCTGTGTGAGATGCCTACTCATGTCTTTCACTCATCTTTCTATTGGGCTGTCTGTCATTTTTCCGCTGATTCTTTTAGAGTTCTTTCTATCCTGGACATCAATCCTTTATCAGTTATATGGATTACAAATATTTTTGCTAATTTTAGAAGCTGTATTTTCACTTTCTTTCTAGCATCCTTTTATAAAAGGTTTTAGTTTTAATATCACTGAATTTATCAGGATTTTTATGGTTAGCAATTTTTGTGTCATATCTAAAAAAACTTTATTGTGAGGTCAGAAAAATATTCTACAATTTTAGTCAGTTTAAGGTTTGCCTATTACATCTGTTTTTAAACCACATAGAACTGATTTTTGTGTAGGATGTAGCTTCAATATAGTTTTTTCTATATGGACAACCAATTGTCCCAGAACTTTTTGTTTGTTTTAAATGCTTTCCCCATCACTCTGCAGTGCAATTTTCGTCACATGTCAAGGACCCTCTATAGCAGTGTGTTTCCATGCCTATTCTGCTTCACTGGCCACTTTGACTATTCCTGTCCATGTCCTCCTTGTCCAAATATATAATTATATAGTAAGAGCTTTATAAGTCTTAATATCTGTTAGGGTATTTACAGACACCTTCCTTCAATTTCTTTTTCTTCTTTAGGAGTACACTGGCTATTTCTTGGCCTATTGCTCTTCCATATAAATTTTATCAAAAGTTTACTAAGCTGTTCTGAATTAATGCAATGTAAAAATAAAATAATGAAATCTTACTGTTATTACTTCATTCTATTTTCTTTGGGTTTCTTCTATTTTGTTTTTATAGCTGTATTAGTCCATTCTCACACTGCTATAAAGATACTGCCTGAGACTGGGTAATGCATAAACAAAGGAGATTTAATTGACTCACAGTACTGCATGGCTGGAGAGGCCTCAGGAAACTTACAGTGGTGGTGGAAGGGGAAGCAGGCACGTTCTTCACAAGGTGGCAGGAGTCAGAAAGACCATGAGTGAGTGTGAAGAAGGAACTGTCCAACACTTATAGAACCATCAGATCTCATGAGAACTCACTACCACAAGAACAGCACAGGAAAACCACCTTCATGATCCAATCACTTCCCACTAAGTCCCCACCTCGACACATGGGGGATTACAATTCAAGATGAGATTTGGGTGGGGATACAGAGCCAAACCGTATCAATAGCTTAAGGTGGAAGTTACTTAGCTCATTAATTTTCATCCTTTCCGCTTTTCTAAGCTTTTGGGTTTTATTTTTTAAGCTGATAATTGTATATATTTATCATGTCCAACATGATGTTTTGAAGTATATATGTATTGTGGAGTGACTAAATCTAACTAACATATGCATTACCTCACAAAGTTATTTTCTGTGCTGAGAACGTTTAACATCCACTCTCAGTATTTATCAAGAATACAGCATGTTGTTATTAACTATAGTCACCATGTTATACAATAACAGAAACTTTTTTATTTTTTAAAGTGAACAAACTCACTGAGGGAGCTTTCTAAAGGTTAAAAATTTCCCATTATATAATCCTTCATCTTCACCCCACAAGTCTGATATATTTTCTCTGAGTCACTTCCAAATATTTTGATTTTCGATTATAATTTCTTCTTTGATCCACAAGTTATTTAGAAGTAGTTTTTTTCATTTTCAAAAGTATGGGGCAATTTATCTTTTTCATTATTAATGTCTAACCTAATTGCACAACCATCAGAGAATACAGCCTGCATGATATCAATTCTTTAAAATTTGTTGAGATTTTTTTTTTTAATTTTTGAGATGGAGTCCACTTTGTCACCCAGGCTGGAGTGCAATGGTGCCATCTCGGCTCACTGCAACCTCCACCTCCCGGGTTCAAGTGATTCTCCTGCCTCAGCCTCCCAAGTAGTTGGAATTACAGGTGCACACACACCACGCCCAGCTAATTTTTTTTATTACAGGTGCACACCACCATGCCCAGCTAATTTTTAGGAGAGACGGGGTTTTACCATATTGGCCAGGCTGCTCTTGAGCTCCTGACCTCAGATGATCCACCTGCCTCAGCTTCCCAAAGTGCTGGGATTACAGGCGTGAGCCACCACGCCCAGCCAGGATTTTTTTAATGGACTGGTTTATGGCCAATTTTTATAAATATTTCATGTGTGATTGAAGATAACATATTTGCTAACAGTTGGAGACAATATTTTATATATGTCAAGGAATGCTTTTGTCTCAAATTTTATTTTGTTTGAAGATTTTAACAAATTGAATACAATACATAAGAAGGATAATATATAATAATATAAAGCTGTTTTAGTATTCAAAAACCAATGAGTATAATTCAATATAGTAACTCCTTAAAAAAGAAAACCATATCATCATCTTAAAAGGTACAGAAATACCAATGCAGAAAAAGCATTTGATAAAAATCCAATATGCACACAATGTCCAAAAAGAAAAAAACAAAATCTAAGCTTTCAGCAAACTAAGAAGGGACAACTTGATTGTGTTAGTAAGTTTGGGCTGTCATAACAAAATTCCAGAAACTAGGTGGCTTAAACAACAGAAATTTATTTTCTCACAGTTTTGGAGGTTAGAAGTCCAAGATCAAGGCACCAGCCAGGTGGGTTTCTGGTAAGGCCTCTCTTCCTGGTTTACAGATGGCCACCTTCTTGCTGTGTCCTTACATGACATTTCCTCTCTTGCAGAGACTCTAGTGTCTCTTGTTCTTCTTCCTTCTTCTTTTTTTTTTTTATTTCATTAGAGATGGTCTCAGTCTGTCACCCAGACTGAAGTGCAGTCACACAATCACACAATCAGTTCACTGCAGTCTTGAACTCCTGGGCTCAAGCAATCCTCCTACCTCAGCCTCCCGAGTAGCTAGGACTACAGGTGCATGCCACTATCTCCAGCTAATTTATTTCATTTTTTGTAGGGATTAGGGTCTCTTCGGTGACCAGGCTGGTCTCAAACTCCTGGTCTCAAGCAATCCTTCTGCCTTCGCCCCCCTAAAGTTCTGGGATTAAAGGCATGAGCTACCCCTCCCAGCCCTCTTTCTCTTTTTATAAGGACACCAGTCCTATTGGATTTGGCCCCACTCTTATGACCTCATATAACTTAACTATCCCCTTACAGACCCTGTCTCCAAATACAATCACATTAGTGATTAAGTCTTCAACAAATAAATTTTCTACGGACACAATTCAGTCCATAACACTGATAAAGGGTGTCAACAAGAAACCTCTGGCTAACATCATAATTAGCCCACTTGTATTTATTGTCATTATTGATATATTTGTGTTTGTTACTTTATTTTTTCCACTTTTTCTGTGCTTAATTTTTCTTTTTTTTTTTTTTGGCTTTTTTTCTTATTCTATTTTCCCCCACTACTGGTTTAGAAATTATACATTCTACTGCCTACTGCATTTTTTCAGCTGTTACTCTTAAATTTTACCACGCATATTTAACTAACCAAAGACTGAACTTAATCACTATCTTATCACTCAATAAGAAGGGCTTTAGAGTCCTTTAACCCTGGCTATATCTTCCCAATTTATTTTATTGTCCACTATTTTAGCTCTGTCCTCTCTTCTTACTCCATAAATTAGAAATTATATTTTATACAGAGTGCTTATGATTTATGTACATATTTACCAATTTATTTGTTCACTATTTCTTCTTGCATCTCAGTCCCTCCTTCTAGAATTATCTTTCTTCTTCTCTAAATGCAATGCCTTCATAAGTTCCTTTTCTAAAATCTGTTGCCAGTATTTTTGCCTTTGTTCTTTAAAAGTAGAGGCACATATTTCTAGGTTATTCGTTAATTTCTCTTAATTCATTAAAGAGATTCTCCTGTCTTCTGGTTTCCAGTTCCACCATTGCTGCTAAGTCTGCTCTCAGTCTAAATTTTGTTCCTTTGTAGGTAATCTTTTTCCCCTGGCTTTTTTCCTTTAAATCTGGATCTTCAGATTTCTCTCTTTGTCTTCATTGTTCTTTCATTTCATTACAATGTATCTTGTTGAGCATTTTTATTTTTAACTTTTTTTATTGATGTAGAACAAACAAAAAGTTGACAAACCATAAGTGTACAACTTAATAAACTATTACATCATGAACCAGCATATTCACAACCCATATTCTTTTTTAAAAAAGCAACATTCTATTGTACCAGAAGCCCCCTTCATACCACCATCATTACCCCAAAGGTAAGCACTATTCTGACTTCTAACACCACGGATTAGGTTTGCTGGTTTTTGAAATTTCTATAAATGGAATTATATTGTGTGCATTTCTTAGTGTCTAGCTTCTTTCACTGCAAGATCAACCCCTATATTGCTGCATGTGGCAATCATCCATTCATATTTAGCACCATGTAGTTTTCCATTGTATTAACATAGCACAATTTATTTGTCTATTCTACTGGTGATGATTAGAATCTAGGTTATTTCAAGATTTTTGCTTTTTCAAATAATCAGTGTTACTGTTAACACTCCTGTACATCTTTTGGTGTGCTTGTGTTTGCATTTTTGATGGTTTATTTATCTTGTGTGATACATGTGTTTCCTATGTCCATGGATTCATATTTTATCACAGTTTTGGAAAAATTTTCAGCCATTACCACTATGAATCCTATCCCTCTGTTATCTCCGTATCTCTTCCATTCTCTCTATTTTCTCCTGCTGGATATCTGATTAGATAAGTGAGAAGTTTTCACTCTACCCTCCATAAAGCTTAGCTTTTCTTTCATGTTCTCTCACTTGTCTCTTTGTGCTACACTCTCTATAATGTCTTCAAATTGATCTTCCAGTTCATTAATTTTCTCTTTTGGATTATTTAACCTGTCATTGAGGCTTTTTTCCCAAAAAATTATATTTATATTTCTAAATTATATTTATATTTCTAAATGTTCTATTTGGTTATTTTTTAAAATCTGCTGGGTCATTTTTGATAGTGTTTTATTACCTCCTCATTTTTGTGACTTTTTTTTATTTCTTTAAAGCTTTTATAAATGGTTATTTTATATCTATGTCTGGATAGTTTTAGTAACAAAGGTCCTGAGTAAAGAGTAAGCCAATCTTACTTGGCTTTGTCTTTTCTGCTGACTGTCAGTCATGGTGGTTCATTTCCTTGTTAATTTGTTGATATTTTATTACAACACATTTATTTTATTCCTCACATTTGCTTGGTTCTAATCTGTGGGAAACCTATGGGACTCTATTGGACATGATTTTTTCCAGAGAGAATTTACATTTCCTTCTGTGGGAAGTCAGGGTGTGATACAAACCTGGAATTACTTTATTTTATTCCCCTTACACAGGCTTAATGTGGAAATTTTAGTCCAGGTTCCTCATCTTACTACTGGCTCAAGTGTAGACACCTAGCACAACAATGATATCACTACTTGTCCTAGAGCACCGTTACCTCTTCCTTGCAGTTAATTCCTTGGGTTTCAGCCCATCTTTGGAATACACCAAGCCAGAAAGCACAATCCTTGAAGATTTTTCTGACTACTTGTAATCCCATCAATTTATTAAGGCATATGTTTTACCCAAGATCTAGTCATTTTGCTATGTCAAGACCCATTAGTTTTCTGTCAGAATCTGAAATCCAAATAAGGTACTTTTCAAGGGCATCCATACTCAAAATCATCCATTTTATCTACTGTAAATAGGTCCAACGAGCTGAGTGAGAGTTTTTATTTGTTTTTCAAACTCCATTTTTAAATTCTCCAATTTCAAATACTCATAAGAGAATCTGTAATCTGGGTATATTTTAAAATTAGATCAAATCTGAAATGTTATTATTAAATATTACCTTCTAATAGAGAACCAAGAAATAAAGCTGCACACCTACAACCATCTGATCTTCAATAAAGTCAACAATAACAAGCAATGGAGAAAGGACTCACTATTCAATAAATGATGCTGGGATAGCTGGCTAGCCAAATGCAGAAGATTGAAACCGGCCCCCTAACTTTCACTATGTACAAAAATTAACTCAAGATGGATTAAAGACTTAAATGTAAGACATAAAACTATAAAAATCCTAGAAGAAAATCTAGAAAAAACCATTCTGGACATTGGCCTTGGCAAAGAATTTATGACTAAGTCCCCAAAAGCATTTGCAACAAAAATAAAAATTAATGAGTGGGACCTAATTAAACTTAAGAGCTTTTGCACAGCAAAAGAAACTATCAAGGGGGTAAACAGACAACCAACAGAATGGGAGAAAATATTCACAAACTATCCACTCAACAAATGTTTAATATCCAGAATCTATGAGAAATTTAAACAATTCAACAAGCAAAAAACAAACAACTCCATTAAAAATGGGCAAAGAACATGAACAAATACTTCTCAAAAGAAGACTTATGAAAAAATGCTCAACATCACTAATCATTAGAGAAATGCAAATCAAAACCACAATGAGATGTCATCTCACACCAGTCAGAATGGTTATTATTAGAAGTCAAAACATAACAGATGCTGGTGAGGTTATAGAAAAAAGGGAATGCTTGTACACTGTGGATGGGAATGCAAATTAATTCAGCCCCTGTGGAAAGCAGTTTGGAGATTTCTCAAAGAACTTAAAACAGAACTACCATTTGATTCAGCAATCCCATTTCTGGGTATACACCTAAAAAAAACAAATAATTCTACCAAAAAAACATGCACTCATATGTCCATACCAGCACCATTCAAAATAGCAAAGGCAGGTAATCAACGAAGATGCCCAACAATGGTAGACTAACGAAAATGTGATACATATACACCATGGAATACTATGCAGCCATAAAAAATCATTTCCTATGCCATAATATGGATGTACCTAGAGGCCATCAAACTAAGTGAATTAACACAGGAACAGAAAACCAAGCATCACATGCTCTCACTTGTAAGTGGGAGCTAAACACTGAGTAAATATGAACTCAAAGAATGGAACAACAGACACTGGGGCCTACTTGAGGGTGGAGGGTGGAAGGAGGAAGAGGAGTGAAAAACAAACTATCTAGTACTACGCTCACTACCTGAGTGATGGGATCATTCATATACCAAACCCCAGTGACACACAATTTACCCATGTAACAAACCTGTACATGTACCCCCAAACCTAAAAGTTGAAAGAAAAAAATAGACATTACCTTAAACATGTCTGTTAATTTATTCAGTTCTCTCCTTGTTAAATGCCTCATCGCCATGACTTTTTAAACTCCATTATTAATCTATAAAAATTTCTTGAAAACTTTTTACTAAATTTCAAATTTTCCACTCACTGTAAAATAGTAAATATAATAATTTAAAATTTCCTCCATTGTAGCCTTAACAATATTTAGAAGGTACATTCATGAGAAAATAAAAAGGCTTGAGACAAGATAGTCCACTTCAAACACCAGTGGCAAAATGTTTTGGATTCAATTTCCATTTCAGGCAGCTGTTTAAATATTTTCTTGGCTGGGTGCAGGAGTTCACACTTGTAATTCCAACACTTTGGGAGGCCGAGGCAGGCAGACTTCTTAAGCCCAGGAGTTTGAGACGAGCCTGGGCAACATGGTGAAACCCCGTCTCTACAAAAAAATACAAAAGTTGGCTGGGTGGGGTGCTGCACATCTCTAGTCCCAGATACTCAGGAGGCTGAAGTGGGAGGATTGCCTGAGCCTGGGAAGCCAAGGCTGCAGTGAGCTATGATTGCGCCACTGTACTTTAGCCTAAACAATAGAGTGAGACCTTGTCTCAACAATAAACAAATAAATAAATAATTTTCTTATTTCATTTAGTATTACTTTCTCTGAATTTGAGGATTCTGCTCTTGACAATGGCATTGCCTATATCTGGTTAACAAGCTGAAGATACCGATTTACATAAGTACCTTCGCATTTACTGCCCACAACAACTCCTTTTCAGCCATGAGCCCATATAATTGGTATGTTATCCATTATCTTCTATAAATCCTGCCCCAAAGTTACACTGGTAGAGCCCTGTAGCAATAATTACAAGTTCTAGAGTTCAATACTTGCTCCTTTATTTTAGAGACAGAGTTTCGCTCTGTCACCCAGGCTGGAGTACAGCAGCACAACCACAGCTCACTGCAGTCTTGAACTCCTGGGCTCAAGAGACCCTCCTGCCTCCACTTCTCCAGTAGCTGGGATTACAGGCATAAGCCACTGTGCCTGGCTTAACATCTGCTCATTAAATAACTCACTTATGATTCAGATGACAGCTTCATATACTTCCCTCTAGAAAACGAGACTACAGCAATCCTATTTCTCAAGTATGCTATAAAGAGAAACACAAAGCTATATTAATATTATATCTGTAAATTCTGAGCCATCTGGAATAATATCTTTTTCTTCAGCTAATTAGACACCTTAAAGGACTACTTGCTTTAAGCAAACATACACAAAACTTGTATATAAAAATCCACATATACTCAAAAGATAAATTATAGGTTGGTTAGGTTGATTATTGACTATGCAAAAATATGTATGAAAGTAGATTTCCCCTTCAAAATGTAAAGCATGTCTCAACCTATCTAAAATGAGGCTTACATAATAATTTGTGGAAATATGCATTTGTTTTATCATACTTACATGCATTTAGCTCCTTGAAAGCAGGTATTTCACCTTAATCCATCTTTGTGCCCCACTTCCCAGGATCAAGCATTGTGCCTCACACAGAATAAGCACTCAGTATATGTTTATTGAATGGAAATAAACTCAACAACACCCTATCTTCCTCTTCAAAATAAATATTTAAATGCCTTTAGAACTCCAATCCAATTTTCATTAAGTTATGTCGTGTATATGTTTCAAATGAGTATAACTTTTTTTTTTAAAGAGACTAGGTCTCACCCTGTCACCCAAGCTGGAGTGCAGTGGTATGATCACAGTTCACTTCAGCCTCGAACTCCTGGGCTCAAGCAATCCTCCTGCCTCAGCCTCCTGAACAGCTGAGACTACAGGTACATGCCACCACACCCAGCTAATTAAAAAAAAAAAAAATTTATACAGGTGGAGTCTCACTATGTTTCCCAGACTAGTCTCAAACTCCTGGCCTCAAGCGATCCTCCTGCCTTGGCCTCCCAAAGTGCTGGGAGAGAGCCGTTTTCCACTCACTTATTCTACTCATCAGTGTGGGCTGAGTGGTCCAGGAGGCTTCATAGAGGAGAATAAGTTTGAGCTGAATTCTTTCTGTTTCTTTCCTGGCCTCTTAACTTCATAGCTCCCTGTTTATGGAGCAGAGGAGCTCTGAGTATTATTTGCTATAGAAAGTGACAGAATGATCTTTTTATCATATGGGTGTATTTCTTGTGTGGTGAGAACAGTGCTATACTGCCTGGAAATGAATCATACCTTTAACTGGGATGGAATTTTCTCTGAAGGGTGGCATGTACATGGTATTAATCATGACAACTGTTGGACTGTCACTTGCCTAGGAATTAAATGTGTGTCCTTCAACCTGTAAACAGGACAGACAGTACGTATGCAGGGGGTAGGGGCTCACTACTACTTGGTGGTGAGCCCTAGGAGAAATTCATATCTTGGTCTTGGCTCTTCTATGCGGGGGCGGGGGTGGGGAGTAGAAAATGAGAAGTTTACCCTTTACATAGGGGGAAAAAAAAAAGCCAAGCACTGAGGTGCCAGAAAGCCTGGCAAAGTGCCTGAAATATTGTGCCAGTGCTTTGGGAACAGAATATAAAACACTCAGACAGAGCACGGAATGGGTCAGGGCCCATAATCCCTAGAAACTCATTAGTGAAGATCAGAGAGAAATTTGTACCAGACGAACCTAATTCATTTTCTGTTTCTTTCACTTCTCAGTTTATTTGCTTTGTGTTCCCTTAGGTTTGAGCCAGGTCTTTTAAAAATTTCTACTAATTTCAGCTGAAACAAGTGAAAGGATGTACATCTCTTCCTGAGCCAGAGTTTTAATAGGAAACAGGATTCCTCAGAGAGCATGTGAAGCAGACACCTTAAAAAAAATCCAGAGGGAGCAGCACCAGGCTCCTGCCCACCTGGAGAATCTCCTTCTGCTGCTAAAACGTTGCAGATTCTTTATGCTGTTTTAATAGAAGAAGAAATTTCTGTAGACTATTGTGTCTAGAGATAAGCAATGTAGAAGGAGACAGAATGGCTGGAGAAGAAAAGGCCCTGGTAAATGAGGGCAAAATCAATGTAAATCTTTCAGGACCAATGTAATGCTTCCAAGTGTGATAATTTTTAAATCTTGTAAGGTCATTTAAATTGGTGTATTACATTTTTCTTCTAATCTTTTCCCTCAGGGATACACATTCATTTAAATGCTAAGAGGTAGTCCGATGGCAAAACAACTTCGTGGTTATGAATACAGCTTGATAAAGTGTAGTTGATACTGTCCACACATTATTCTATACATATTTAAGGTTTGTAATTGTTTGTCCTCCAATGCAATAAAATTCTCATGTTTGCACCAATCAAAGAATACTTACATATGTCTATCCTCATATTGAAAAATCATGCCTTTGAAAATGCCTTAATTTTCTGCAAGCATCTAAAATATCTTTGAAATTTCTACCACTCACATATAGTTCCAAGCTACGTGTTTGCCTCAGCATCTGCACAAAAGCCACCACACATGGAAAGCCCTGCTTGGACCACTGCCCACAGGGATTCTCAACCCTGGAGTCTGTGCCCAGATTAAACAGTCAGAACAAATCCTTTTGCCAGGAGTCTGAACATCATCCTCAAAAACGACATGTATCTCTTTCTATAGAAATATCTAGTTTACTGTAAACTAGATATTTATTAGCCTGAGGCTGAGCACCTGATTGCCTGTTCTTCATGGAAAAGCAGCCGCTCCAGTTGTTAAAAGCTATTCTTAAGAAATAATTCATCTAACCAGTGAGCTATGACTTGGTTGATTGCACGGCTATAAAACAATTTATTGCTAGTGTGGTGTATATGGTATCTATTCACCACTCTTTAGAATTTTTTCCATATTGTTAGGTTTGTTCCCACTCATTTTTCTACAATTATCAATAAAATTATAAATATACAGTTGTACATCACTTAACAATCGGATACATTCTGAGAAATGTGTCATTAGGCGATTTCGTCATCATGCAAACATCATAGAGTGTACATACACAAATATAGAAGGTGTAGACCTACTACACATGTAGGCTATAAGGTATAGCCTATTGCTCCTAGGCTCCAAACATGTACAGCATGTTACTGTACTGAATACTGTAGGCAACTGTAACACAATGGTAAGTATTTGTGTATCTAAACATAGAAAAGGTACAGTAAAAGTACAATATTATAATCATATGGGACCACTATCATATATGAGGTGTGTTGTTGACCAAAACTTCATTATACAGCACATTACTATAAATATATACACAAATCTATAACACAAACACTCCCCCATGCCACACACACACACACACACAAAGACACACAGGGGTATACACCAATCCAGTGTTTTTCTAGGATGGAACTAAAGTCTCTCCTGACTCTTAGAGTCCTTTTTCTCTCCTGACTCTTACTTAGAGTCCTTTTTTTGTGATCCTTTCTGCCTTCTGTCGATGAACAGAGTCAAACTCTGTAAAATATTTGAAGAGATATATTCTGAGCCAAATATGAGTAACCATGGCCCATGACACAGCCCGCAGGAGGTTGTGAGAACATGTGCCCAAGGTGGTCAGGAAGACCTGGGATTGACAGAAAGGGAATGTTCAGGTTAAGATAAAGATTGTGGAGACAAAAGTTCTTTTGAAGTCTTATAGTGGCTGCCCTTAGAAACAATAGGTGACAAATGTTTCCTATTCAGATTTTAGTTAATCTCTTTAGGATTGGGAGGGTCAGGAAGAAAAAGATCTAGCTTCGTTAATGGAGATTCTTTACAGAAGCACATTTTCCCCCACAAAGGACGCTTTGCAGGGCCATTTCAACATATGGCAAAGAAACATGTTTTGGGGTAAAATATTTATATTTTCTTCCTTGTCTCATAATGTTATGCCAGAGTCAAGTTGGAAAGTAAGTCACGATATACAGGGTTAAATAAAACCCATCTGATGAAAATTCATGATTTGTAGGGCATGGCTCTCCAGACCCCTTAGATAGGAATTTGGTCAAGATTAAAACATCAGAGTTTAGTCCTCACTTATATGTTGCATTTCTGTTTTGTAGATATCTATCTTACCTCTTCTACTAGCACTCGTGCTCCCTTAAGAGCAAGATCCACCCCCAATTATTCTTGGTATCATCTGAATAGCCAAATAAATACTTGTTAAATGCACACATAACTGAAAGAATAAATAAAACCACTGAATATGTACAAAGCTAAATCCTTTCATCATCATGAGCCATTCTGTATAATTTTATGAGTGTCTAAGATAAGCTTACCAAGCAGTGCCGGACTGGCAAAAAAAAGGCACACACACACACAAAAAATAGATGAGGGGAACCAACTCTACAAGGTTTACTTAATTGCAATTATACCAATAAATGAATTCCCTGTGGCAGGAAAGCATACCAGAAAAACGAGAGTAAATGTCAGTTATCTTTCTTCAACAGCAGAATTTGTGAACACAGCTTTATGGCAATACCTCACAATATTGATTTTAAATATTTTTGAAATACCACAGGCTATGTGAGCATTATTAGCAAACGTGATGAACATTCTGAGTGCTACGTAATGGATGTACTAACCCACAGAGTATGCAGGTACTTAGGAATAGAGCTCTGTCATAAATGCCAAAGAAAGCACGATGATTTCAGGAAAAGACAACAAAATGACTTACCATAAGAGGCAACTGATAACTGAAATCACCAGCAATTCTGTGTTTCATAATCTGTCATATAAGACACTTAAAGTGACACAAAAATGAAAACAAGAAAAGGGAACCTCATCCTTCCCTAACACATTTGGCAAAAAGTATTAGATGTTTCATGTGTTCGTGTTAATAGTTATAAAATTATTTTTTATTTAATTCCCATTCAACAGAACAGGCAACTGGGGGAGAAAGACCCAGCATTGAGTTCAAATCAAATGAAGGGCATATTCCATGGAATACTCTTTTCCATGTCATCTCCACTGTGTATCAGTTAAGTGGCTCTGTCATTGAGGCAAAGTGAAATCAGAATCCAAAGCATTTCCAAGAACAAAAGCCAATACTCGTGCCCATTCTTAACACAGAGTGAACATTCATAATCTCACACTACAGAATCACAAATAGCAGGAGACAGTTCAAGCCTATCACACTCTTCTTGATCTTTAACATCATATACCACACAGCAGCAACCAAAGGAAAAATCACTCAAACTTGGTTTTATAAATATGGCCTTCTGATGGGATTTTGCTAACTTGCGTGCTAGAAGGACTAAGGAAAACTAGGAAGAAGCCTATGAATTATTCAGTGATGTCCACTATAACACAGGGAAAGGAAGAAAATCCTACTGCCTTTCTAGAGAGACTAAGGGAGGCATTGAGAAAGCATACCTCCCTGTCACCTGACTCTACTGAAGGCCAACTAATCTTAAAGGATAAGTTTATCACCCAGTCAGCTACAGACATTAGAAAAAAACTTCAAAAGTCCACCTTAGGCCCGGAGCAAAACTTAGAAACCCTATTGAACTTAGCAACCTTGGTTTTCTATAATAGAGATCAGGAGGAGCGGTGGAACAGGACAAACGGTATAAAAAAAAAGGCCACCGCTTTAGTCATGGCCCTCAGGCAAGTGGACTTTGGAGGCTCTGGAAAAGGGAAAAGCTGGGCAAATCGAATGCCTAATAGGGCTTGCTTCCAGTGCGGTCTACCAGGACACTTTAAAAAAGATTGTCCAAATAGAAGTAAGCCGCCCCCTTGTCCATGCCCCTTATGTTGAGGGAATCACTGGAAGGCCCACTGCCCCAGGGGATGAAGGTCCTCTGAGTCAGAAACCACTAACCAGATGATCCAGCAGCAGGACTGAGGGTGCCTGGGGCAAGTGCCAGCCCATGCCATCACCCTCACAGAGCCCCAGGTATGCTTCACCATTGAGGGCCAGGAGGTTAACTGTCTCCTGGACACTGGCACAGCCTTCTCGGTCTTACTCTCCTGTCCCGGACAACTGTCCTCCAGATCTGTCACTATCCGAGGGGTCCTAGGACAGCCAGTCACTAGATACTTCTCCCAGCCACTAAGTTTTGACTGAGGAGCTTTACTCTTTTCACACGCTTTTCTAATTATGCCTGAAAGCCCCACTCCCTTGGTTAGGGAGAGACATTCTAGCAAAAGCAGGGGCCATTATACACCTGAACATAGGAGAAGGAACACCCATTTGTTATCCCCTGCTTGAGGAAGGAATTAATCCTGAAGTCTTGCCAACAGAAGGACAATATGGATGAGCAAAGAATGCTCGTCCTGTTCAAGTTAAACTAAAGGATTCTGCCTCCTTTCCCTACCAAAGGCAGTACCCCCTTAGACCCAAGGCTCAACAAGGACTCCAAAAGATTGTTAAGGACCTAAAAGCCCAAGGCCTAGTGAAATCATGCAATAGCCCCTGCAATACTCCAATTTTAGGAGTACAGAAACCCAGCAGACAGTGGAGGTTAGTGCAAGAACTCAGGATTATCAATGAGGCCGTTGTCCCTCTAGACCCAGCTGTACCTAACCCTCATACTCTGCTTTCCCAAATACCAGAGGAAGCAGTGTGGTTTACAGTCCTGGACCTTAAGGATGCCTTTTTCAGCATCCCTGTACATCCTGACTCTCAATTCTTGTTTGCCTTTGAAGATCCTTCAAACCCAACGTCTCAACTCACCTGGACTGTTTTACCCCAAGGGTTCAGGGATAGCCCCCATCTATTTGGCCAGGCATTAGCCCAAGACTTGAGCCAATTCTCATACCTGGACACTCTTGTCCTTCGGTACATGGATGATTTACTTTTAGCTGCCAGTTCAGAAACCTTGTGCCATCAAGCCACCCAAGCGCTCTTAAATTTCCTTGCTACCTGTGGCTACAAGGTTTCCAAACCAAACGCTCAGCACTGCTCACAGCAGGTTAAATACTTAGGGCTAAAATTATCCAAAGGTACCAAGGCCCTTGGTGAGGAACGTATCCAGCCTATACTGGCTTACCCTCATCCCAAAACCCTAAAGCAACTAAGAGGGTTCCTTGGCATAACAGGTTTCTGCCAAATATGGATATTCCCAGGTACAGCAAAATAGCCAGACCATTATATACACTAATTAAGGAAACTCAGAAAGCCAATACCCATTTAGTAAGATGGACACCTGAAGCAGAAGCAGCTTTCCAGGCCCTAAAGAAGGCCCTAACCCAAGCCCCAGTGTTAAGCTTGCCAACAGAGCAAGACTTTTCTTTATATGTCATAGAAAAAACAGGAATAGCTCTAGGAGTCCTTACACAGATCCAAGGGACAAGCTTGCAACCCATGGCATACCTGAGTAAGGAAATTGATGTAGTGGCAAAGGGTTGGCCTCATTGTTTACGGGTAGTAGCGGCAGTAGCAGTCTTAGTATCTGAAGCAGTTAAAATAATACAGGGAAGAGATTTTATTGTGTGGACATCTTATGATGTGAATGGCATACTGACTGCTAAAGGAGACTTGTGGCTGTCAGACAACCGTTTACTTAAATATCAGGCTCTATTACTTGAAGGGCCAGTGCTGTGACTGCATACTTGTGCAACTCTTAATCCAGCAACATTTCTTCCAGACAATAAAGAAAAGATAGAACATAACTGTCAACAAGTAATTGCTCAAACCTACGCTGCTCGAGGGGACCTTTTAGAGGTTCCCTTGACTGATCCCAACCTCAGCTTGTATACTGATGGAAGTTCCTTTGTAGAAAAGGGACTTTGAAAAGCGAGGTATGCAGTGGTCAGTGATAATGGAATACTTAAAAGTAATCCCCTCACTCCAGGAACTAGTGCTCAGTTGGCAGAACTAATAGCCCTCACTTGGGCACTAAAATTAGGAGAAGGAAAAAAGGTAAATATATATACAGACTCTAAGTATGCTTACCTAGTCCTCCATGCCCATGCAGCAATATGGAGAGAAAGGGAATTCCTAACTTCCAAGGGAACACCTATTAAACATCAGGAAGTCTTTAGGAGATTATTATTGGCTGTACAGAAACCTAAAGAGGTGGCAGTCTTACACTGCCGGGGTCATCAGAAAGGAAAGGAAAGGAAAATAGAAGGAAACCACCAAGTGGACATTGAAGCCAAAAGAGCCACAAGGCAGGACCCTCCATTTGAAATGCTTATAGAAGGACCCCTAGTATGGGGTAATCCCCTCCGAGAAACCAAGCCCCACTACTCAGCAGGAAAAATAGAATAGGGAACCTCATGAGGACATACTTTCCTCCTCTCCAGATGGCTAGCCACCGAAGAAGGAAAAATACTTTTGCCTGCAGCTAACCAATAGAAATTACTTAAAAACCTTCACCAAACCTTTCAGTTAGGCATTGATAGCACCCATCAGATGGCCAAATTATTATTTACTGGACCAGGCCTTTTCAAAACTATCAAGCAGATAGTCAGGGCCTGTGAAGTATGCCAAAGAAATAATCCCCTGCACTGCAGGCCATACATTTCAATCCCTGTATCTTTAATCTCCTTGTTAAGTTTGTCTCTTCCAGAATCAAAGCTGTAAAACTACCAATCGTTCTTCAAATGGAGCCCCAGATACAGTCCATGACTAAAATCTGCCACAGACCCCTGGACTGGCCTGCTAGCCAATGCTCTGATGTTAATGACATCAAAGGCACTCCTCCCGAGGAAATCTCAACTGCACAACCCCTACTATGCCCCAATTCAGCAGGAAGCAGTTAGAACGGTCGTCAGCCATCCTCTCCAACAGCACTTGGGTTTTCCTGTTGAGAGCGGGGACTGAGAGACAGGACTAGCTGGGTTTCCTAGGCCGATTAAGAATCCCTAAGCCTAGCTGGGAAGGTGACCACGTCCACCTTTAAACATGGGGCTTGCAACTTAGCTCACACCCGACCAGTCAGATAGTAAAGAGAGCTCACTAAAACGCTAATTAGGCTAAAACAGGAGGCAAAGAAATAGCCAATCATCTATCACCTGAGACCACAGGGGGAGGGACAATGATCGGGATATAAACCCAGGCATTCGAGCTGGCAACAGCTACCCTCTTTGGGTCCCCTCCCTCTGTATGGGAGCTCTGTCTTCCCTCTATTAAATCTTGCAACTGCAAAAACAAAAGAAAAAAATCTTAAAAACTTCACCCTAATGCTACTTAAACAATGTATTTCCCAATTTTTTTCTGATTGATGATAAAAGAAAGAGACAAAGACATTGGCTTCAGTATGAGGCCACCAGACTCCCAAGAATATCATTCAGTCACCTGAATGAAGGCACACTTTTCAGAAATGACTTTCTCCTGAAATTCCCGTTATCAGTAAAGAAGACCGCAGAAGGGGACAGAACTAGAAACCCCAGATAAGGAAAGAGAGATAACACCACTATCTCTTCAGCAGAGGAAATTAAGAGACACTGCAAATAAATACTGGAATTGTTCTCTGAGGACAAAAACAACCATGATATTAAATACACACATACACATGCATGCACACATGTGCACACATGAAGGCAGGAAAATGGATATCTCTGAAACAGATTAAACAATGAGTGGCAAAATAATGACAGCTTTCTGCCCCATGTATGGTGCCTGGCTGGGAAAAAAATGTCAAAAACGCAATCATTTAAAAACTAAATATAAAGACAGACAAAACAGTCTTAGAAAAGCAAAAACTGTCAGAAAAGAAAAAAACTGTAGTTAAAGGATATATTTGGTTTTGTATTTTAAAAAATTAAGTTATTAAAGAAAGTTAAACGTAGCTTCTCCATTGGATTTTTTTTTTTTTTTTTTGAGATGGAATCTTGCTCTGTTGCCCAGGCTGGAATGCAGTGGTGTGATCTCGGCTCACTGCAACCTATGCTTCCCGGGTTCAAGTGATTCTCCTGCCTCAGCCTCCCATGTGGCTGGGATTATAGGTGTGTGCTACCATGCCTGGCTAATTTTTTGTATTTTTAGTAGAGGTGGAGTTTCACTGTGTTAGCTGGGATGGTCTCGATCTCCTGACCCCGTGATCCACCTGCCTCGACCTCCCAAAGTGCTGGGATTACCCCGGCCAAGAATTAAAAATCTCTATGTTAAAGGTAATTCTCCAGCAAGTCAATTATTATGAGTTTGTTTCATAAGGTCTATAATAAGCGGGCCTTTTGAAACAAATGAGGAAATGGGGATTTAATATGGTTTGGTTGTGTCCCCACCCAAATTTCATCTTGAATTGTAGCTCCCATAATCCCCATGTGCCATGGGAGGGACCCAGTGGGAGGTAACTGAATCATGGGGGTGGGTCTTTCCCATGCTGTTCTCATGACAGTGAATAAGTCTCAAGAGATCTGATGGTTTTATAAAGGGCAGTTCCCCTATACAAGCTCTCTTGCCTGCTGTCATATAAGATGTAACTTTGCTACTCCTTTGCCTTTCGCCATGATTGTGAGGCCTCCCCAGCCATGTGGAACCTCTTTCACTTTATTAAACCTCTTTTCTTTATAAATTACCCAGTCTCAGGTATGTCTTTATTAGCAGCATGAGAACAGACTAATACAGGGTTGAGACAATATCATGGGATTATACGCAACACTCAACATGCATGCCCACAGAAAGATATTAAATAAGACCAATCGGATCAAGAATTCAAGTTCCCCAGATGAGGAACACTGGAATTGCTTTTTTCTTGCAGAAGAGCTAACCCAGAAGAGTCCAAGCAAATTCAGTGTTCCTGTCACTGTATTCCTGTCTCTGTGTGGTCCGCACCATGGCAAGCACCAACTGGCTCCCCATTTCCCGCTAGCTGGAAGGCCCAGATATTGACTTCCAAATATTAAGGGAAGAAGTGCGGGGGGTGGGAGGGAGGACCGTCAAAGACTTAATCACAAGATCTGAGAAATCTCTGTTTTTATATTCTTATCTCCCATATGTTCTTAGAAACCTACTATCTGACACAAATAGACCCACAGTAGATTTTTCTGAATATGGAATTGCCAAAGCAACAACCTTCCATTCTACAGAATTATTATTACCACTTCAGAGCACAGATTAATTTCCATCTTCCATGGGGGTATACAGAAAGAATAAAATAAAAGTTTGATTTATTTAGAGTAAGCAGATATCTTCAGACAGATTTCTAACATACAGAAAGCGGGACTTCTTTAAGTAGGTAAGAAATATTAGTACTAAAATATTTTAAAGAGTTAACCCACATAAATTCCAGGTATGTTTTCAAGACTAATCAGAAATTTTAAGTTGGCATTTTAGAGCAGGAAAGACATTAATATTCAACAAGAGAAGAAAATCAACCTATACAAAGATCATGTCCAAAAATTAATTTATGCAGTTATAAAATATGTATAAAATTTGTCATTATCCCATTTTGAATAAAAAGAACATGTTTGTTATGTTTGTATTTCAAAGCTGCTAAATACAGCCCTCGTAGAGGTATGCCTGAAATGAGTATAAGGCATTTATCATTGTGAGAATATTTATCCCTAAAAAAAAGTCATACATAGAAATCAAATGTAACAGGCAAGGTGAAAAATAAACCATTATCCCTTCAAAAATCAAACTGCATTTTTGCTGACAAGATAAAAGACACTGAAATATGCACAAGGTGGCAGGCACTTATCAAGGCAGGCTTTCTTCAGTGACTAAGAAAAGGAAAACACACCAAAACTTCTCCCACTCTACCAATTCACATCACTCAGGTAGCACGTCTGTCTTCACAGACAGCTGGCAAACTCTTCAGAAGCAGACCCCTGTTACATGTTGAATTGTGTCCCTCAAAATGGTATGTTCAAGTCCTGACCGGTAGTACCAGTGAATGTGACCATATTTGAAAACAGGGTCTTGGCATACATAATTAACATGAGGTCATTAGGATGGGCCCTAATCCAATGACTGGTGTTCTTAAAAAGCAAGGAAAACTTGAGCACAGAGACACAGACGGCCATGTGAATAGATTGGAGTCATGCTGCCTCAAGCCAAGGAAACCCTGGGGTTCCTCCCCTAGAGGCTTTGGAGAGAGCAAGCCCTGCCTATACCTTGACTTCCAACTTGCAGGCTCCAGACTGCGTAAGAATAAATTTCTGTTGTTTTAAGCCACCCAGTTTGTGGTACTTAGTTATGACAGCCCTTGAAAACTCATACCCCCTCTCAGTCATCATGTTGTAGAGATGTGAGAAGCAGGGAAGAAGACAGGGTGCAAGTAGACATCATTTTTAGACTGATTTGGGCTGTTAGTTATCGCTTAAAGGATAAACAGAGCTGCGGATTCAGAAATTTCCATAAAGGTTCATTCTTCTTTGGTGTCTAATGTCTAACAAAGGATGTCCCTTTCCAAATCCCATGGAGAAAAGTACCTCATTTCCCAGAGAAATGCTCCTGCCCCCTAGTGAAAAAGGAAGATATTAAAATAACATATAAACTCATCACAAAGACTAAAACAAGAAAGGCTGCTAACCTGACGTAAGTAATACAGGGTTCTAGATAAGAAAAAAAATTACCTGCCTCTAGGCATAAGCTTATGGAAGAATTAAAATGTTTCACCCAGTCAAAGCTTCAAGCTGCACTTATATTCCCGGGCAAGGTAGAAAAACATGCATTGAAAATAGAGGCCTCCAATACATCCAGGAGTCTAGTAGGTTGATTTGTTTAAATCAGTGTAGTCAATTCAGCTTTTGGAGGACTAGAAGCACCAGCATAAAACTAACAATGGTATTATTAACGTATACTAATTAAACATAAGTTGTACTCCTTGGCATTTACGAGTAAAAATGTGCTAATTCAAAATCCTAAGCCCGACAATGTAGCAAAAATAATATCTTTTGACCAAAAATATTTTTGTAACCCATGACAAGGATAATTTAGATCAAAAACTAACAAAATATATTATCAAAAAGTAGCAAAATTGAATTGTGTAGAAGAAAAGAACTAAAACCCCAGGACACCTTAGGCATGTCGGAAAATTCTAACATATTTCAATACAACTGCCATCATCTACTAAATTTAGAAAGTTACTGCAGTTTCACAAGTATGGATTATTCACAAATATTTTTTTTCTCTGATTTAATGAGCCCTGCTGGGTAAAGCTGTCATGTCTAACTCAGGTTAATTTAGGGAAACCTGCTTTTTCCAGATGGCATCAAGGAGAGCAGACAGTTTATATGAGACGCTAAACTCAAAGTCATACAGTATTTATCTTAATGTGGAATGCAAGAGCTGTTAGCCTTTGAGCCCACTTTGATCTGTTTCTTAAACCAGGCTTCTACTGTGGAATTCTCCACACTGCTCCTAAAATGTCATGTTCCTCTGTCAGCAGCCAACCAGTGTTACCCAGAAAGTCTGCACCAGAGTCAGCTGCAAACCTAGCTCAACCTCCTTCCCTTCGCTTTAGACAAAAAAAAATAATAGCACATCCTATGTCTCTTACTGCAGCAAACACATGGCTAATTGAGTGCCCAAAAGCTTACCAGTGTTCCAGATTAGTTTAAGAAATTCTGCACTATAAATCTCTGGACATTTTGTATCTCCAGCCAGGAACTATTCACCTGCCAAAATGCTGATTAATTACGTGACTATGTGTCATATTTCTAGTCTTCTTATTTGTTGATAGGCAGCCGTGCCTCAAGTTTCTTTTACATGCTCAAAGCCAATGTCTTGGAAAGTACAATTTGGCATGAATTTCTTGGTCTTAGTAAATAAAGAGACTGCCTATCTCCAAATAGTAGCACAGACTAACCCAGAGATGTTACTAAGGGAGAATAACCCAGCATTAACAACCAGAGCAATGCTGTTAAAATACACCCCACATTAAAACTTGCAACCAAGAAAATCTGGTGGGGAAACTCAACATCTCCATCTTAACCTAGTATTCTCAATCCAGCTTGAATACTGAAATCATCTAAGGCAGTCTTTTAAAATGCTGATGCCAGATTCCACCCCCCACCATCTTAATCTCAATCACTGGAGAGTGATTCAGGCACTGGGATGTTTCAAAAGCTCTCCAAGGTATTTCTAATGGTCAACTATAGTTGAGAACCACAGATCCATAGCACAGTCAGCAAACTTGCTCTATAAAGGGCCCTATCATAAATGTTTCAGGCTTTGTGGGCCACTGAGTCTCTGTCACAGCTTCTTAATTCTGCTGCTATGGCACAAAAGCAGCCACACACATATGAAAATGAATTAGTATGGCTGTGTTCCAATATAGCTTTATTTATGAACACTGGAATTTGAATTTTTATAACTTTTCTATGTCACAAAATATTATTCTTCTTTTGACTTTTTTTTTCAATCATTTCAAAATGTAAAAACCATTCTTAGCTTACAAACCATTCAAAAACAAGTGGCAGGCCAGATTTGGCCCAGCTGTAGTTTACTGTCCTCTGATCTATACTGCAGATTGAATATACTCCTACTTAATTCTTTTTCAAAAACATTTGCTCAGTGACTCACTCAACCAGTCCTTGAAAAGATCCCCTTCAAAGCATGAATACCTTCAGATTCAAGTTGGTCCAGGCCATATGAGGCAGCTGTATTAACACGAGTAATAGATGGAACAACAGTTCTTCTCTCAGAGGATGCCTCCAAAGCAGGAAGTGCAGGGGAAATGCTGGGTTCCCCCACCATTATTCCAGGAGGTGTCACTGGAGATCCCAGAACTGGTGTGAACTCCTCATTTGGCCCTGTGACTGTGTCCATTTGTTCTGCCAAACACAACAGACAGGACTTGACCCACAAGATAATCATTATGGCAAATGTAAGCATGTGCTTTCACTTTTTAGGCAAGAAATGATTAAACCAATATCATACAATACAGCAAGTTTGGCACTTGGGTCAGCTCTCCTTTCCCATATTGTATTAATCCAACTCCCCAAAGCAAAGACTTTCAGGAAAATGTATTGTCTTACAGGAAAATGTATTATCTCTAATCAGAACTTTGTTTTTAAATTTTAATCTCCCATTTATTCTATTGGCAATATTATGGATGTTGTAAGATTTTATATTATGTATTGCCAAAGGTAAAATAATTAACAAAAATATATTAAACTGTATTTCAAAGACTACTTTGGAAAGATCGAGTGTCTTTCTCAAAATCAAGTCATAGAGTAAGAGCCTAGATCTGGGTCTGGAATGTCAATTTAAAAGCAGCCAAATATAGCCCCAGGAATTCCCAAGTCCAGAGACTCTAGAACAGCAGTAGCTTTCACATAGATTTGAAAACTTCACTGCCTTTAAGAGATCAGAGCATTTGAGAGCCTCCTATATAGAAAGCACTTTGTAGACATGATTTCAAATTCTTAAAATAACCTATAAAACAGATAGGCATTATTTAGAGGTGAACAAACCAAAGCTTACAGAAGTTAAGAAACTTAGCTTGAGGCTACAATATTAGTGAAAGCCAAAGTTGCGATTCAAATTCAGGTCCATGCTTTTTTCACCTCATCCCCCCCGGCTCCTAGCAGCAGAGTTGCCAAACAGGAAGAGCCTTCTCAGGGGGTCTGGCCTTTGAGGACCCAGAGGTGAGCCACCAGGAGACCTTACTTACAAACTAAACCCTTGTCCCTTTTTTTTTTTTTTTTTTTTTTTGGCACGGAGTCTCGCTCTGTCACCAAGCCGGAGTGCAGTGGCGCCATCTCCGCTCCCTGCAAGCTCCGCCCCCCGGGTTCACACCATTCTCCTGCCTCAGCCTCCCGAGTAGCTCGGACTACAGGCGCCCGCCACCACGCCTGGGTAATTTTTTGTATTTTTAGTAGAGACGGGGTTTCACCACGTTGGCCAGGATGGTCTCAATCTCCTGACTTCGTGATCCACCCGCCTCAGCCTCCCAAAGTGCTGGGATTACAGGCGTGAGCCACTGCGCCCGGCCAACCCTTGTCCTTTTAAGGCTCTGCCACACCTCTTCAAACAGGACAGAGCTCACACCCCTTTCCAGGTAAAGGTGTGTGTGTGTGTGTACGTGCACGCACGCGCGCGCTGATGGCAATGTCGGCTGCCTCACTCATTCTATTCCTAGTCCACTTAACAGAAGAGATCCACCCCCAAAACAGAGTCCAATATCCTCCCTTACAGACCTTCCACAGTGGGAGTAACTTCAAAAGACAAAGGGACGACTGTAGTTGAAATTGTAGTGGCCAGAGGCTCCCATCTTCTTGACAGCTGAGTAACACCAGGAACGTCAGACACAGGAGAGGGGTCCTCCTTTTCTTCCTCAGTCTTGCCACTGTCTCTGATAAGCTCGAGGGTAGCAACCTGCTCTTGTGTCACCATGGATAAAGTGGCATCTGGCTCTTGAACAGCTGTTGTCATCTCTTGAGTGATGATGTCTTAAAGGGGGGAAAACATTTAAAAATAGACCAAATCCCTATTTTTTTAAAAAAAAAAAATCATGATATGATTAAAAACTTGGGGGGAGGGGAGCAGATGCTATTTCAGGAACTGGGGAAGCAAAGAGAGAACTCAGAAGTAAAATGACAGTAAATAAATGTTTTCTCTGTCACGCTTTCAGTAGTTGTGAATCAATCTACAACAGAGATAAAGAAGTTCATGGAAAAAGCTAAAATGAAATCTAAAACAAAGTAGGAAGATCAATTGCTGAGCTCCCTTTCAGGCACATGTTTGAATGTCAACATAATCAGTTTGTTAAGAAACAAGTTATACAGAACTAAGTTACACTCAAAAACTCTCAGAAACATTTGTATACAGTGTATTAATTTTCACATTTGCATTTCTGGAGGGTCAAGGGAAGCTCACATTTTAAAATAAAGGAGTAATAATTACAATAACTAATATTTACTGAGTTTCTATGTTAAACACCATGCGAAGTGCATGACATATAGTATCTTAAGTATGCATCCTCCCATATGTACTACAGGGAGATAGGTACTAATATCATTCCACAGAAGCTGCATCATAGTGCTCAAGAATGCAGGTTCCAGAGCCAACCTGCCTTAGTCACTTACTAGCTGTGTAAGCATAAACAAATTACTTCACATATGTGGGCCTTGAGTTTCCTCAGCTATAAAATGGGGATAATAATAGTATCTATCTCACAGAGTTACTACAAAGATTAGATAACACAAGTAAAACACCTAGTATTTGGTAAGTATTCAATAATTACCAGCTATTATAACTCCACTTTACAGAACTTAGGTTTAGAAAAGCTAAGGAGCATGCCTTTGTTCACATTGCCAGCACCCTTAACCACTGTACTAACTATGCCCAAGGAACACCTTGGAGAGGCCTCTGTAGAAGGTGTGCATTTGCTTTCAGATCAGAAAAGGAAATGAATAGAACTGGCAGGGTATGACATTATCTGTCACAGGTCCACTTGCTTTACAACATTATAATTCCCTCAAATACAGTATTAAAGACTGTTTATAATAATACTCTGCTTTCTCTTCAGATCATATAAATGTTTTGCCTTCAACAGACTACTTATAAGTCAAGATTTTCCCTCTTATGAAGGGGCTATGCTAGAAATTTCAAACACTGTACAGAGCAACTACTAAAAACTTAATTTCTTGAAAACCTTATTGTCTTTTTTAAAATATTAGTTCTAGATACTAAGTATTTTAGCAAGATCAGTAAGTTATACAATGAAAAATAACATTCTAGGGATAGCTTTAAAAGGGTTCCTCAAAGTTTTTATTAATGACAGGCCAGGCACGGTGGCTCATGCCTGTAATACCAGCACTTTGGGAGACTGAGGCGGGAGGATCACAAGGTCAGGAGTTCGAGACCAGCCTGGCCAATATTGTGAAACCCCATCTCTACTAAAAACACAACAAAATTAGCTGGGCATAGTGGCACATTCCTGTCATCCCAGCCACCCGGGAGGATGAGGCAGGACAATTGCCTGAACCCAGGAGGCGGAGGTTGCAATGACCTGAGATCATGCCACTACACTCCAGCCTAGATGACAGAGGGAGACTCTGTCTCAAAAAAAAAAAAAAAAAAAATTTATTAATGACATCATGGCATATCCTATTACTTTAAAAAAAAGTTGCCTTGTAAACAATGTATTTGCTTTAAAATAATGTGTATTTGTTTGTTTTTCACTATAAGCAGTTCCTTTTCTTGGTACTCATCCAGTTAACACTATTTTTCCTTTTGAATTGAAGAGATTTTTACATTTGATGGATTAATATACCTGGTTACAGGACAAACAATGTGAGTCAGGGTAAGGTTTTCACATGAGCTTCATATTTGCACTCTATACCATTGTTTGAATTTTGTCTCTCTTTTTTTCCTTTCTCCAATATTACTGTAAATCCCTAGAGAGCCAGGATTCATTGTCTTTCTGTACCTCTAGCACATAGGGCAATGCTCTGTTTGCCACAAGAAGACAATAACATATAGTTTTACCATTTTAAGCAGTAGGTGTTCTCTATGTTGCCCTCATTTTTGAAAGCATAATGAACACTTTTGAGAACATATATACAAAAATAAATATGCAGGCGCTATTTGTAATTTTATGAAATAGCAAGAAATGTCAAAATGCATAGTATCTTGAATAAATAATTGCTGTTAGAAAAGTGAGAACTAGAAATAGTAATAAAATTTTTTAAAATAAACTTTAAAGTTTCCTAACATCTCTCATTCTTCCTACTTCATGTAGGAGAAAAAATAATTATATATTATTTTTAAAACCTGATCTTCAGTTGAAGCAGCTAACTGACTCAAAGGACTGACTATCATCTCAACATACCCATCTGTTAATAATATCTAAAAACACCAAGAAATCATTGCATATTCTGAAGAAGATAATGTCCTAAGTGGTCCCTGGACTCTAAATGATTAGCATTTAAGTTGTTTACTTCAGAAAAATACTTATGATCACCTGAAAATGAGTAGTAAAACATTTTGGCTATTGTATAACAACTGCTGTCAATAATTGCAATCTTTCCCATTCCTTTTAACTCTATGGGACAAAAAAAAAAGTAAAACAAAAGTAATAACTTGACTGTTCCTCTTGGTACAAAGAACATTTAGAAGTTGTTTGATTGACTTTGGGTAAGGTAGGCAATCACATTGGATAACTCCAGTCTGAATGGTTCTATATCCTCATTTGTAAATTAATTGAAAACATATTTATCGAGTTCCTACTATGTGCCAGGAATTGTGCTATGTGCTAGAAATTAAAAGTAGTGGCCTTTTAAAAGATTATAATTTGCTGAGGCAATTATGACTAAGAACCATATTCAAAAACCAAAATAATCAGGAAATTACCAATTCCATTTTACTTTTTAGGCTGTACTAATAGAAGCTAATACAAGTTTAGTACATAAGAATCATGGATTCAATTGTGCAGTGAACAATCTGGGGCTATATGACTTAATGCTCCAAAAGTAAAAGTTCTATGAAGAACTGAAGTAAACTTGTTGCTCAGTCATATCTAAGGTCTTCATGGCCATGTGCACCCAACTCCATGTAAAAACCAACTTACAAGACATTTTATGGAAGCTTCTATGAAAACTGAACAGCACACTGGGTCTTTAAACAAAAATGAATTAGACATGTAAAATTCAATCTTTCTTTTGTCATTTATCAAGTGATCTTTCACCATTTTAATTCAATCTCAACACCTTATAAAACATATTACTGATTTGATATTTTCTATTAATTGGGCTACTTGGCTGAAGTAACACGTTGTACATGTTCCAAAACAATTTGGAATGAGCATGTATACATTACACTAAGCTTTTCCTTCCCAATGTTGTTATCTGTCCAACTACCCATAATAAAAGAAAACCATTATCCATCAACAACAAATAGAAGGCTTTCCAGCTTATAATATTCACGGATGCAAAGGCCAAAAGAAAGTAGAAAATGCAGAACCAAGCAAGCAGATGATTTATCTTCCACCCTACCCCCTTCCTTATTTCTAAATGTTTTCTTTTTAGGAAAACAAAGTTAGAAAATTCATATAGTTAATACTATGAGATAACTGCAGTACTTACCTAAAGCTTTTTTTGTAAGAAATGTAAGGGATGTGAGCATATTTTACAACAATGTGTATGTAAGTATCCAACATTATTACAGTTTAAACATATAGCTAATTCTTTCACATTTTCTTGTATATTTATACATTTTCATAGTAAAATGTTTGAAAAATATTAGTCTAAAATAAAAATAATAGTATCAGGGTTTTTCAACCTCAGCGCTATTAACATGTTGGCTGGGATAATTCTTTGTTATGGGGGGCTGTCCTACGTAGTCTAAGATATTTAACAATATCTTAGCACCCCTCAGTTCTAACAACTAAAAATGTCTCCAAACATTGCTAAATGTCCCCTGGGGGAAGGGGAAAGCAAAATAAAACTATCCCCAGTTAAAGAACACTGGTCTATAGGCAGGATTTAAATTTGGGTGTAATTTTTTTTTCTTTTTCTTTTTTGAGAGGGAGTTTCACTCTTGTCACCCAGGCTGGAGTGCAGTGGTACAATCTTGGCTCACTGCAACCTCCGCCTTCCCAGGTTAAAGTGATTCTCCTGCCTCAGCCTCCCGAGTAGCTGGGATTACAGGCACCTGCTACCACACCCAGCTAATTTTTGTATTTTAATAGAGATGGGGTTTCACCATGTTGGCCAGGCTGGTCTCGAACTCCTGACCTCAAGTAAGCCGCCTGCCTTGGCCTCCCAAAGTGCTGGAATTACAGGAATTGGGTGTAATTTTTATATAAAATAGATGATGTATTTGTATGCTTCTGCTTTTCTTTTTATTTTTTAAATTTCATTTTTTTATTCTTTTTCAGAGAAGAGGTCTCACTATATCACCCAAGCTGGTCTCGAACTCCTGCGCCCAAGCAATCCTCACACCTCGGCCTCCGAAAATGCTGGGATTATAGGCATGAGCTGCTGCACCTGGCCTGCTTTTCATTAAAACTTCAACCTATTTCTAAATTGCCATTAAAAAAAAAATTGAAAGTTTCCAAATTAAACCAAAGTTTGTTTTTCTTTTTCTTTCTTTTACCTTTCATTGTATTTCCCAACAGTTGGTCTGCCTCAGACTCATATACAGAGACAGAAACAGTGGTTTCTAAGAAAAACAGGGCATCGTTTTCCTTGGTGGATTCCGTGAAGTCTCCCGTACTTTGGAGCAAGTTCACAATGGAAACTTTCATGTCTTCCATCAGACTTGTGGGGGTAAAGGAACTTTGATCAGTGAAAGCAGGTGATCTCTCATTCCCATGCGCTATTAGCAGGGCTGTGCCCGTGTGTGTTTCCCCTTCAGGCAGCCCCAGAGCCACCTGTGCAGCCTCTGTCCAAGGCTGGCCTCCTTCCATACCCTCATGGCTTACTTGTGCTGTCTGAGACATCTCCGTTCTCACCTGAGTCTCTTCATTGTCTCCAAGCTTGGGGGTCCTTATCCGGCTTACACTCTCTAATTTGGTGTCATCCCACTCATCACTTAAGGCAGAGGCAGCTGGAACAGCTGTGCTGACACTCACTGTGACTTCTGGGGCTCCCAGCAGACTATCAGTTTCTGGCTCAACACTCAGGGTGTACTCGGAAGTTTCGAGTGGTTGCTTGGTGGCAGCAGCCTGGGTGTTATCAGCTGTCATCTGCGAAGGCTTCTCCTTATCAGGGGTGAGGCTTCCAGGCTCACTGCCTGCTGTGGACTCAGCACCAGGAAAAGAAGTTGTCCTGTGGTCTGTGTCTGCTTCAAATTTCTCAGTCTTTGGATTGGTGGTTAGCATTTCCTTAGTATTCACATAGGATGAAGGTGAATGTCCCAAACCAACTCCTTCCTGACTTTCAGTTGCAAATGATTGATTATCCATATACTTCAGAAAACCTTTTGTGGTTTCTGTGATCTCTTCTACAATGGGCTGAAAGTTAGTGCTTGTAAGGAGTTCCTCCTTTTCATCAACAGTCAGAGAAGGAGTCGCAGTGATAGCAATGGTTAACATGGCCTTGGCAAGTCCACTTTCAGGAGATATTCTCTCTGGCTGGCTGGAACCAAATACTTCTTCAGCTGAGGGGACACCTGACTCAGTAGGTGTGGAAACACCAGGGCGTTCTGTTTGCATGAGCCCAGCTTGTCCAGGCTGGGTTTCTTTGTTAATCGAGAATGCTTTATTTAATGATGTTGCCGATGGTACTGCTGACATCATCATTGGATCTTCAGAGACCACCAGTTGGGGAGTCTGCTTTGAGGTAACAGAGCTATTTTCTAGGTCATCGGTGTTCATCTTATCGGACTGCCCTTTTTCCGCATGAACATGTGCTATCTCCCTCCTCCTTTCTATTTTGGGGAAGGCCAGACATTGTGTGGCAACGCTGAAAAGCAGAAGGCTACAGAAAGCCAGACAAATGTGCAATACAATCGGTCCTCTCATAGTGGAAGAGAAATGGCACGTACACTGGCAGAGTTGACAAGTCCAGTAATTGAATCCTGCAGAAAAATAAAGCATATCAAACTGTCATATAAATACATGTTGTAAATAAGTCTCTTTAAATTAAACCATAAGTAAAATAATCTCCTTGACTTTATAATACACAGAGATGGTAGGTAGGAGAGGACTGTTCTATTTCTTTGTACCTTTGAGACATGGATAACCCAGTTCATTTCTCCCTGCTGAATTTTGCTGATTTAACTTGAGGTTCCCTAGAAAAAGGTACACATAGTTCAAGTATTAAGTTCGTTGTTTCTTAAATACCTACTTGAAATAATTTACCCTTGAAGTCACATTTGCAATATTCTCTCCAAATTCCTCTATTAACCATGTAGTCAAATGACTGTAGAAATAGCAACATGTCCAAGAAATAAAAAGTAAGTCTTACACATTCATTCAAATAACTTTTTAAGTGTTGCCACAGTCTGAATGTTTGTGGCCCCCAGAATTCATGTGTTGAAACCTAATCAGCAACATGGTAGTATTAGGAAGTAAGGCCTTTGAGAAGTGATGACTTCATGAGGACAGAACCCTCGTGAATGGGATTTATGCCCTTATAAAAGAGACCCCAGAGCCAGGCACAGTGGCTCACACCTGTAATCCCAGCACTTTGGAGGCTGACATGGGTGGATCACCTGAGGTCAGGAGTTAGAGACCAGCCTGGCCAACATGGTGAAACCCCATCTCTACTAAAAATACAAAAATTAGCTGGGAGTGGGAGTGGGCGTAGGCACCTGTAATCTCAGCTACTCAGGAGACTGAGGCGAGAGAATCGCTTGAACCCGGAAGGCAGAGGATGCAGTGAGCTGAGATCGTGCCATTGCACTACAGCCTAGGCAACAAGAGCAAAACTCCATCTCAAAAAAAAAAAAGAGAGACCCCAGGCCAGGCACAGTGTCTCACACCTGTAATCCCAGCACTTTAGGAGGCCGAGGCCAGCAGATCACTTGAGGTCAGGAGTTTGAGACAAGCCTGGCCAACATGGTGAAACCCCATCTCTGATAAAAATACAAAAATTAGCCAGGCATGGTGGCACACATCTGTAATCCCAGCTGCTCGGGAGGCTGAGGCAAGAGAGTTGCCTAAACCTGGGAGGCAGAGGTTGCAGTGAGCTGAGATCATGCCACTGCACTCCAGCCTGGACAGGAGAATCCGTCTCAAAAATAAATAAATAAATAAATAAATAAATAAAATATAAAAGAGGGCCGGGTGCAGTGGCTCACACCTGAAATCCCAGCACTTTGGGATACCAAGGCGGGCGGATCACCTGAGGTCAGGAGTTCAAGACCAGCCTGGCCAACATGGTGAAACCCCGTCTTGACTAAAAATACAAAAAAATTAGCTGGGTGTGGTGGCGGGCATCTGTAATCCCAGCTCCTTGGGAGGCTGAGGAAGGAGAATCGCTTGAACCCGGGAGGCGGAGGTTGCAATGAGCCAAGATCGCGCCATCACAGTCCAGCCTGGGCGACAAGAGTGAAACTCCATCTCAAAATAAAATAAAGAGACCCCCAAGAGCTCCCTGGCCCCTTCCACCATGTAGGACACAGCAAAAAGGTGCCTTCTATGAACCAGAAAGTGGGCCCTACCCAGACACCAAATCTACTGTCACCTTGATCTTGGACTTCCCAGTCTCCAGAACTGTAAGAAATAAACTTCTGTTGTTTATAAAAATCCAGTTTATTATACTTTGTTATAGCAGCCCAAATGGACTAAGAAAAATGGGTTTGAAAACCCTAAATATCATCATTAAATGCTGAATACCAGTTACTTTTAAGAGTTTTTTAAAGTAAGTAAATAATTTTCAATGAAAATATGTCTTTTAGCTCTTTTTCTTCAGCGAGGCGGCCGGGCTGCAGACGCAGAGATGCAGATCTTTGTGAAGACCCTCACGGGCAAGACCATCACCCTTGAGGTCAAGCCCACCGACACCATTTAGAATGTCAAAACCAAAATTCAGGACAAGGAGGGTATCCCACCTGACCAGCAGCGTCTGATATTTGCTGGGAAACGGCTGGAGGATGGCCACACTCTCTCAGGCTACAACATCCAGAAAGAGTCCACCCTAAACCTGGTGCTGCGCCTGCGAGGTGGCATTACTGAGCCTTCCCTCCGCCAGCTCGTCCAGAAATACAACTGCGACGAGATGATCTGCTGCAAGTGCTATGCTTGCCTGCACCCCGGTGCTATCAACTGCCACAAGAAGAAATGCGGCCACACCAACAACCTGTACCCCAGGAAGAAGGTCAAATAAGGCTCTTCCTTCCTTGAAGGGCAGCAGCCTTCTGCCCAGGCCCCATGGCCCTGGGGCCTCAATAAAGTGTCCCTTTCATTGACTGGAGCAGAAAAAAAGAAAAGAAAATATGTATTTTAAATGCTTAAATCATTTGTTATTCTCTGCCACAACTATAAAAGTTACAGGCAAAACATGTTTCAAAATTTAAGGATTAGAAAAGGTTTAAGAGTTAAGCAAGGTTAATAGTTTCAGAAAAAAACAAAATATACTTTAAAATTAGCAATCTTTATTGAATACCCATTATTATAAGATAAAAAAATTATTGTAGTATTTGAAATAAACTACTCACATTCTCATTACAACTAAAACTATATTAAAATTGTTAATTTACCCCCAAATTTAAGGGTTTCAGTTCTTTTTTTAATCTATTTTGCTGAGTAGGGCCTTTTCTTTTCCCATCATCAGAAATTTCTCAGAGATGCTGCAAGTTTTCTAGAAAATTAAACCTTGAAACTAAAATTCTAAAATAAAAACCTCAACTTCATACAGTTTACATTTTTTTCTTGCTTTCATGTCTAATCATTCAATGATCTAAGTTAAGCAAATGATGTGCACATGTGAAATTTAGAAATTTCTTTTCATAAGGCCTTCTTCCCTTAAGGAGTTTCAAAGCTTCCATGTGTTATCTCATTTAGTCTTATAGGTCCTTTCAAGAAAGAAGAAAGGTAAAGTCCTCAGGACATGATCTACATGGCTGAAGACAAAAAGAAGCCGGAATTTTCCTTCCTTCCTCCTTTTTTTGTTTCTTTTCTTTTCTTTTCTCTTCTCTTTTCTTTTCTTTTTTCTTTTCTTTTTGAGATGGAGTTTCACTCTGTCACCCAGGCTGGAATGCAGTGCGAGTCACTCACTGCAACCTCCGCCTCTTGAGTTCTTGTGCCTCAGCCTCCCGAGTAGCTGGGACTACAGGCGTGCACCACCATGCCTGGCTAATTTTTGTATTTTTATTAGAGACGGGGTTTCACCATGTTGGCCAGACTGGTCTTGAACTCCTGACTTCAAGTGATCCACCTGCCTCAGCCTCCCAAAGTGCTGAAATTACAAGCGTGAGCTCCCCTCCCCTTCCTTTCCCTTTCTTCTCTTTTTTTCTTTCCCCAGGCTGGACTTGAACTCCTGGGCTCAAGCAATCCTCCTGCATCAAGCTCCTAAGTAGGTAGGACTACAGGCACATACCACCACACAGCACAAGAAGACTGACTTTTTCTACGTGAGAAAAAAGGAATCCATGGATTTAGAGCTAAGGCTTCCTGCCAACTACCACCACCACATGAGTGTACCATCTTGGAAATGGGTCCAGCAGCCCCAGTCAACCCTTCAGATGACTGCACCCCTGGCTGACATCTTGACTACACCTTCTTGAAAGACTTTGTGCCATAACCACACAGCTAAGTTACTCCCAAATTCATGATGCATAGAACTGGTATAAAATAACAAATATTTATTGTTATTTCAAGCCACTAAGCTACGGGGTAATTTGTTACACAGAAATCTTGAGTCCACAATGCTGCAGGGAAATACAGGAATGGAATGACAGCACGAGTACAATAGTGTCATGTGCAGAAAAGAAACAGCCTATCAGGGATTACAAATTTAGCTGAAGAAAACTGAAGCCAGAGATGACTAGAAGAAACATAAGTCCCCAAACAATCTGCAAGGATAATGAGACGGGTGCTAAGTTTCCCCATATGCTGATGGGGGTTTGAAACAAACATATCTGAATATTAAATTACATGCTGGTAGCTAGCATTGTTTTTGTTTATTTGTATGTTTATTTTTGAGATGGAGTCTCACTCTGTTGCCCAGGCTGGAGTGCACTGATGCCATCTCGGCTCGCTGCAACCTCTGTCACCCAGGTTCAAGTGATTCTCCTGCCTCAGCCTCCCAAATAGGTGGGATTACAGGTGCTCACTACCATGCCTGGCTAGTTTTTGTATTTTTAATAGAGACAGGGTTTCACCATGCTGGCCAGGTTGGTCTCGAACTTCTGACCCCAAGTGATCCACCCACCTCAACCTCCCAGAGTGCTAGGATTACAGGCATGAGCCACCGTGCCCATCCTCTTTTTTTTTTTTTTTTTTTTTTTTCTGAGACAGAGTCTTGCTCTGTCACCCAGGTCGGAGTTTGATGGTGTGATCTCAGCTCACTGCTCCCTCCACCTTCCAGGTTGAAGTGATTCTCCTGCCTCAATTTCCTAAGTAGCTGGGATTACAGGTGCCCACCATCACACCCAGCTAATTTTTGTATTTTTAGTATGGACAGGGTTTAACCATGTTGGCCAGGCTGATCTAGAACTCCTGACCTCAAGCGATCCACCCACCTCAGCTTCCCAAAGTGCTGGGATTACAGGTGTGAGCCACCACACCTGGCCACACTGTTCTTTTTAAAAAAGAGAAAATGGCAAAGATATTTGATAAAGAGGAAATAGCATGTGCCACAGCATGTCAACATTCTGGACATTAGTTATCACTGTACTTTAGATGAGCCAGGATGCACTCTAGTTCATAGCCAGGTAACAGATCACTGAATTTGGCTTGATGCCTCTATTTGCCTTCCTTAAAACAAAAACGTAATGAAGGGGCCAGGTGCAGTGGCTCATACCTGTAGTCCCAATACTTTGAGAGGCCAAGGCAGGAGGATCATCTGAGCCCAGGAGTTTGAGACCAGCCTGAGCAACATGGCAAATCTCATCTCTACAAAATGAGCCAGGCACACACCAGTAGTCCTAGTTACTCAGGAGGCTGAGGTGGGAGAATCACTTGAGCCCAGAAAGTCAAGGCTGCAGTGAGCCGTGATCATACCACTACACTCCATTCTGGGCGACAGAGAAAAGACCCTGTCTCAAAAACAAACAGACAACAACAACAACAACAAAACATATGAGGCCTGGCGCAGTGGCTCACGCCTGAAATCCCAGCACTTTGGGAGGCCAAGGCGGGTGGATCACGAGGCCAGGAGATTGAGACCATCCTGGCTAACACGGTGAAACCCCGTCTCCACTAAAAATACAAAAAAATTAGCCGGGCATGGTGGCGGGCGCCTGTAGTCCCAGCTACTCGGGAGGCTGAGGCAGGAGAATGGCGTGAACCCAGGAGGCCGAGCTTGCCGTGAGCCAAGATCGCACCACTGCACTCCAGCCTGGGTGGCAGAACAAGACTCCATCTCAAAAAAAAACAAACAAAAAAAATATGATAGCTGTGAAACAAGAGAATTGACAGTCAATGAAATTACACCTTCGGATTTCTGTTCAGACAAACTGACCTACTAAATTCTATCTATATAGTCGAACAGTCATAAAAGCTATAGAACTCTGTGGTTCATTTCTGATCTGTTCAGATAGCTGCCCCTTCCTAAACAAATACTTTTTCTATTCAGTGAAATCTTACTAAACGTGTGGCCTAAAACCTTGGCCCACATGATCCCATACTTCTGAATAAAAATCTGAAAGCCCCAGGCCATCATGAATGGTAATAGAGTTTAGAGGGACTTGGGCTGGCATCAGAAAAATGATTCCTGAATCTTAGCTTTATTGACATTGAAACTTGCTATATGATACTGAGCAAGTGGCCTCAGTTTCTCCTTTGACAAAATGAGGAATTAAAATAATCATTCAAATCCCTTCTTCATCCATGATTTTATTCTCATACCTCACCTATATGACATGAAATAAAAATACAAATATTTCTATATTCCTATAATGTTGCCATCAACTAGGAAAGGCACTCAAATGGTGGAGCAGATGCTTTATGTGCTATGTGTATGTTCTGGAGTCATGTGGACTGAGAGAAAAATTTTACAAACAAATCAGATCAAGGGAAGAAGGGATAAATAATAAAGACTTAATACAGCCCCACTGCCTTTCCAAAACATAATTTTCCTTCCAAGTTTATTTTCATCTGTATCTTGGGTTTTAGAATTTTTGCGTGAAGGGAATTCTGCTATTGCTCCAAAAGACTTGCCTTCTGTGATTGTCAGCCACCTGCTTTCTAAATTCAAATACAACAGAAAGAGTGGGGGTGAACCGCAAGCCTTTGCTTTTCTCCCCCCTTTTCAAAGGCATTGATGAAAGCTTTTTCTATGTCTGTGTATTGAGGCCATATGTTCCCTCTCCCCACTATCGAAAGCAACAACTATACGTTAAAAGGAAAAAAGACAGCCTGTAAAAAGAATAACAGAAAACACGTCTGGAACTCAGATAAACTGATAGATGACCTTCAAATTCCAGGATTTTCTCCATCTTTCAAAGCCCAGTATAGGTTCATGTAGTCACTCCCATTTTTCTAATGTCCCACAATGGGAGTTACATGATGCTCAAGAATAAACGAGAAGACTGTTGTCAGTTCAACAATATTCCTAAACCTAAATAACCATCTGCAACCATATTTTGAAGGCTATGAGCCTTTCCTTTTTCCTCAACACTGTATCCCCTTCCTGGCAATGTGCCTGGCACAGAAGAAATGCTCAGTAAATATTGGCTGAACAAACAGATGAATGTCTATAGCCCACTTTGCTGGGAGAAGTGGAAGGAGGAGAGATTCCATTGCATATTAGAATTCTGTGTCTTAATTATCTTCAATTAACTCAATCATAAGAATGTTTAACAAACAAACAAAAAGAACATTCCTCTTCCTTTTCCCTCCCACTGCGTATTTGGATGCTGCTTTCTTTTCACTGTATCTCTCCATGCAAATTAATTCAGATAAATAAGCTCTAACCAAATTACCAACTGATGTTGGATATCAGCTTTGAATAGCTTAAAAAGCATCTCCTTCAGAGCAGGTCAGTAGCACTTTGTCTATCATTTGCTATCAAGCTATCTATCCTAATAGCTTGGCAGTCTTCTAAACAATTTACTGCATTTCTGCCACCAGTGAGCAAGATAAGCTGTTCTGTCAGGCATTATCTTTGACAATCTTACATAGCTACAGTCCAGAATCTGTTTCTTTGTCAAGTCTAGGCATATTCAAGTTTCAAAGACAAACGAAAGGCAACATAAAAAATACCAGCCTTGGCCATCTGGTTAGACTTAATCAGATTTTGTAAGCACTTGGTCAATATTTTTTCCAACTAAAATGAATACTGCTATTTCAGTATGTTACCAAAATGAAGACACAAAAGGGAAACCAATATGTTAAATCATTCTCACCAGTGATGAAGCTACTACTTCCAGTGTCAACTGAGTTTCATATATAATATTAAGGCACAATGAGCATCGCCCCAAGAGTGCTCAAGACACAGGAGGGCTGTAGAGTGTGCCAAGAAACTGGTGACAGTTCGCTTTATATTTTCCTTTTCTTATGATATACACAAAAACTACAGAGAGCTGCTATGGGGTAGGTGAAGAAAGCTACCTCATCTTGGCTTTTCATTGTCAACTGGAAGTTACTTTGATGACACTTCAAACACAACCATCTTCATCTGAACTTTGGTGGCCACCTTGAACTCTTCTCTCCTTTACATTCTAGATTCACAACCGCTGTGGATCCTCCTCTCATAATCTCTTTTGGAATTGTAACTTCTGATCACCTCATTGGATAGTTATTTTAAATGCCTCTTCATTGATAACCTTGTCTAGGCTCTCTCCTCTCCAATCTATTTTATACAATCCAGATGGTTTTTTTTTTTTTTTTTGATAGGAAGTCTCACTCTGTCTCCATGCTGGAGTGCAGTGGCGAGATCTCAGCTCACAGCAACCTCCTCCTCCCAGGTTCAAGCGATTATCCTGCCTCAGCCTCCTGAGTAGCTGGGACCACAGGCGCACGCCACCACGCCCAGCTAGTTTGTGTGTTTTTAGTAGAGACGGCATTTCACCATGTTGGCCAGGATGGTCTCAATCTCTTGACCTCATGATCCGCCCACCTCAGCCTCCCAAATTGCTTGGATTATAGGTGTGAGCCACCACACCCAGCTGGTTTATTCTTAAGAATAAAAATTGCAATAATCAATCAAAGACAGCTACCACTTAGGAGCTGCTATGTGCCAAGCGTTCTAAGTGCCCAGTGGAAATTATCTTATTTAATCCTTACAACAACCTAATGAGGTATACTGTCGTTATTCCACTTTTTAAATGAGGAAAACAACAGGCTGGTAGAGGATAAGTAACTTGCCTAAGGGATAGTGTCTGTTTTTGATCTTTTGGATTCTGTCAGAATTCAACGTCCCTACCTTTGCCAGACAACTCTCTGCTTTCCCAAAACACAGCATATAATGTCCCCAAATATGCAATTGCCAAAATCCATCTCTAATAAGGCAACCCCATACCACTGGTGCCCAGTATAAACACCATCATCAGTCACATACATAGCACTTTTATGTGCCATACTCATCTCAGGCTCCTAAGTTGGTTTTTTGTTTGTTTTATTTTCGAGATGGAGTCTCGCTCTGTCGCCCAGGCTACAGTGCAGTGGCATGATCTCGGCTCACAACCTCCACCTCCCAGGTTCAAGCAATTCTCCTGCCTCAGCCTCCCGAGTAGCTAGGATAACAGGCATGTGCCACCACACCCGGCTAATTTTTGTATTCTTAGTAGAAATGGGGTTTCACCATGTTGGCCAGGCTGGTCTCGAACTCTTGGCTTCGTGATCCACCCACCTCGGCCTCCCAAAGTGTTGGGATTACAGGCGTGAGCCACCGTGCTCAGCTCTCAGGCTCCCAAGTTTTGAGAATGACACTGTACGACCCATGGTTCCCTACCCAGGTATCCAAACCCTGGCCTCCCAGGTCACATCCCATTCTGGCCCATTCTTTCCCCACCCTTCTCCTAGCTCCTGTAGCATGAATTGTCATTTAAGTCTCAGCACCTCAAATGAGATTATGTTCTTTGCATACAAACACTAGTCTTTACCATTCCTTTGTTTGCCACATAATTAGTAATAAGGGTAGGCACAAAGAGGAGAGATTCCATAAATATTTGTTGGCATGATGTGAATATAAATAACCATTTAAGAATATGAAAAAGAACGTTTCAAGTCCTTATTTTGTACTGTAAGATTTTTTTAATGACATTTCATGGTCTAACCATGTCTACTTGTATGTTTTATTCAATACCTAGCCAATTTTGGCTACTTATTTAACTGTCACTCTAACAATAACAATAACTTATGTGTTCTCATTTCTGCTATATTTTAAGGTTTCAGAGTTTATTACACACACACACACACACACACACACACACACACGCAACAGACCAACAGTTACAGGTAACAAGTCTCACAGCGTCAAGTCAACATGCTTGCCAAATACCATCTCACCTTTTGAAATACAATTAGTGATTCTCTGATGAGGGGGATAGTGTCTTAATAATCTTTGTGTCTTAATAATCTTTCCATTTTGTGTCTTAACAATCTTTCCACTTTGTCCTTTTCATGACCATTCCTCAATGATTAATTTATCATTGTCTTACTTTTTCTTTTTTTAAATCCTTAAGGCTGTTACTGCCAACACTATTTTATTGCCAATACTATTGTATTTACTTAAAGCTGAGCTTATAAAGACTCTCACTCTATTAACCCAGCTGTGGCAAATGGCATTAAGGTACCACGTTTCTGATTCACTGTGCTACTGACAATCATCACTGGTCTGTTATATTGGCTTTAGGATCTAGGCTGCAGCTATACTTCACCATAAATTAAATAGCTGAATGACAAACAATCCTTTCAGCAGCATGTTCCATCACAATGGAAGGAGGGAGAAGGAGTAAGTAACCACAAAGAAAAGCATGGTCCCCCAGGAGGAAAGCAGCCCCAGAGCTGGCAGGGAAGAGGGTAAGTAGGCTGGGGTCAAAATAGCTAAATTACTGGAAACTAAATACCAGTAAAAAGTACTTTACCATCCCTGAAGACCACACCTAAGTTCTACATACTGAGCCCAGGAGCTTCAGTCTCTACAAATTAGTGATGTAGACAAATGAAGATATCCGTGCTTATCACCCCTAGCATATCATCTCATCCCTGGTAAAAGGAGATGGACTTGAAGATTTAAAAACAGGCTTCTTCGAGTTCCAGTTCTACCTTAGGCAAATCACTGAAACTCAAGTTTTCTTGTTGCAAAGTAGAAATAATAATGCTGGTTATATTTTTTCAAAGGGTGGAGAACACACACAAAAGTGATAATAGACATAAAAGCAGTTTGAAACAAAAGTAAATTATCATGCAATAGAAGACATACTAGCATGCTACTGACATGCATTCCTGTCAAATACAGAAATGTGAGCAATTTGGAGCATCTGTAACATCAGCCACAAATGGAGTAGCATTTTTTTCCCCAAGGTACTTTCATGGAGCTTCTCCTTTCAGCTTTATCATGTAGACAATGTGACCTGAGAGGGTTCTGCTGTCTGCAGAATCCTATCCTGATGAATCTTGATCAACAAACTCTTCTCCATCCATCAGACAGTTTATTTCAGTGACCCAATTGGACATATCATTTCTGGTTTTTGTGGTACACAAATGTAGCCATTTGCTTGGCTAGATCTCTAAGTAGCTGACATTTAAAGGGAAGCTGAAACTAGCTTCAGATACTTCTCTTATAATCACCAAGTAAACACAATATGGAAAAATAAGATTGACCTCACATCTTGCTTAGGGAATGAGTTTTCATTTTACAAAAATTAAAAGCAGTTTCCCTCTGCATAGACAGCTTCCCTATGTGAGAAGTTTTTTAAGTTCAATTAACAAAAATACAATTCCATACACCACTTTTCAGACAAACATCTACAGAATAAAGGGCAAAGGACACCTTTAGGTGGGGAGTGGACATTTTCCACAGCAGATAAACCCGTTTTCCTCATTTTGATTCTACACTTATATTTAGCATCGAACCATTTCCGTAATACCAAATTATAATATTGTAAAGGTCTGGCAGGAAACTCCGGAATATGTAGTAAGAAGCCTCCCATGAAAACAAAGACAAATTCACATCTCTCTAATTGGCTCCGTTGCTGTAGCTACCTTAGACTTGGTGAGCCTTGGGAGTTTCTATGAATAAACTCAACTAATATCAAATCTGTCTGCTGCACAAGTGCTCGGTTCATTATTGTGACAAATACAAAAAAAAAACCACTTTATTCATAAGAGCAAGTCAGAGTACCTTTAAACCTCTGTGTGTAAAAGAAGCAATGTTCTGATACTGTGAAACCTTAGCCGGTTGTGTGTTTCAATAGATGCTACTGTGGGGTTCTACTGGCATACGTGCCGAAGTCAGTCAATGACTGTAGATGCTTGGCTAAAAGGAGACTCCCTGGAGCCCAACAGCATCACTTGTGATCAAGGAAATACACCAAAATAAAGAGAAGGCATGTGAATTCTGACCACTCAAGAATTTTTGCCCTTTGGAGAAGAGATCCTTCAGAACCCTAGGGATGGTTTTGTGAACCACTCCCCACTCCCCCTCAAGTTTCAAACTAAAACTTCCAAAGAAAGAAGGCAGACACTTTAAAGCAGCCATCTCTCCTCTCTTCCACATCAGTTCTGCACTGAAATTGGATGCCAAGTGCTAGGCGGATCCTCGGGATCATCTCATCTTTGAGAACCCAAACTCTTAAGGGTCCTGTTTTGTTCACTCCTGCTTGCCTCCTCGCCAGCCAAGGTTCTACATGTTTGGAATCTACACAAGTCAGATTCTGTCAGTGACCACGAGGCACATGAGACATTTGGGCACCTCCGGCAGCACCTCCCAACTATTCCGGAGTCTCAAGCAGAGCCTCGCCTCCCCCAGGTCTAACCCGCAGGCCCTCTTTCTAATTAAGTGACCTTTCCAAGGAGCGTCCTCCAGCCGCGTCCTGGGGGACGAGTCAGGGGCTGAGCAAGGAGGCTCGACATCTCTGCGCTAAACACTCAACTGTTTGTTTTCTGCAAAGTGGCAGGACATATTTCGGTGGTGACCGCAGCAACGATTCGCTCCTCGATTGTTAGGCTCTGAGTGGCATTGGGGACACTGCGATCGACGGTTTGAAAGGAGTAAACCGTTGTTTTCGGGAACTTCTCTCTCACTGCTGTGGGATTGCGAGCGGAGGGAGAAAGAGAAAGAAAAGCCCACACAAAAGCAGCCAGCCCTGCAAGCTCCGCCAGCACAAAGGCCGGCTCGCTGGTGCGGAGCTGGGAGGCTGGGCTGGAGCTAGGAGTGCGGTGAGTCCTCCGAGGCCTGCGCGCCGCGCCCAGCGCGCCCAGAGCTGCCCCCGCGCACCCCACACCTGGGCACCGCGCTCCGGAGGAGGATCGGGGCGCACGCCTGGCGCACCCAGGGCTGCAACGCTCCCGGGACTGTTACGCTCGCGGAGCGACCCCACGCCACTGAGGCTCCGGTTCCGTCCCTGCCCCGGCGCCACGTCTGCAGCCGCGGCCGCCCAAGTGGCCGGAGCCGGGCCCGTCCTCACCTGTGCGCCTTCAGCTGAGCAGCGCGCGGAGGACAGAGGCAGCGGCGGCGCGGGCGCTCGGCATCCCAGCGGCGGGCCCTGCGGCGGCGGCGGCGGTAGCGGCGGCGACTCCCTCCGCTGTCTGGGACGCTAGGGGGAGGGCGCTTCGCTTTGTTGCTTATTCATAAGGCCGCGGCTACGGCCGGGGATTGGGCGGTGAGTAGGTGTGCCCGCCCTGGCTCTGCTGGCACTGACAGCCGACGCCGTCGCCCACGCCCCCCTGCGCCCACTTCCCCGCCTCCGCTCTCCCGCGGGGGCGGCTTCTGCTGGAGTCCCGGCACCTGGGACCCCTCGGAGATCCCGTGCTCCGCTTCCCCTCTTTAAGCGGGAGCTTCTGCGGCAGCTCGCCTCCCTATCTACGCGGAAGAGACCAGGGCACCGTTTACACGAGAAAAACCTCAATTTTGCTGTCTTTGGTTCAGGCAAGGAGCGCAAATCTGAGACTGCAGTGTTCCTTGTGGAAACTATGGACGGCTTGGCGGTGCCCTTAAGTAGGACCCTTAAAGTAACTCTACACAGAATGTCCCTTCTCAGTCCGTCGGAGAAGTTGCAAACTAGTGCTAGTCACAAGTAAGGTTTATTGAGCCCTTACTCCTGCCAGGCACAAGAGTAGATGCTTTGCCCATTACTTTACCTGCTTAATCTGCACGATAGAAGGGTAGATATTGTAGTTCTCATTTACCAGGGTAGGAGGTTAAGGCTAAGGGCTGTGTAACTTCTCCAAGGTCATCCGGCTCGCGTGGCCACCGGGAATTTGTGTCCTCCATTCTTGAGCCTCTCAAGGACTGTTTTCTTTTTCTGTTACTTCTAATGGTGTGGAAAGAGGTGTCGGAATCTAAAGGCCCGTTTTGGAACAACCTCCACAACGCAGCATTTTACATTTGCAGAGCACTCTTCACATTTGTCCCTTATTGTGCTTATTAGCTCCCTTCTTCATAATACCTTAGTCCCCTTTTGTAGTTAATTATAAACACCTTGAAGTCAGAGCAAAAGCTGGCTCACCTTTGACCCCCACACCTAACACAATGCACAGGTATGTACTGGTTTCTGTTTGTTTGTTTGTTTGTTTTTGAGACAGGATCTCACTCTTTCCCCCAGGCTGGAGTGCAGTGGCGCCATCATGGCTCACTGCAGCCTCGACCTCCTCCTGGGACCTCAAGCCATCACCCACCTCAGCCTCCTAAGTAGCTGGGACCACAGGCATGCGGCACCACGACTGGCTAATTTTTTATTATTATTATTATTATTATTATTATTATTATTATTATTATTATTGGTAAAGATGGGGTCTTCCTATCTTGCCCTGGCTAGTTTCAAACTCCTGGACTCAAGCGATCCTCCTGCCTCGGTCTACCGAAGTGTTTGAATTATAGACATGTGCCACGGTGCCCAGCAGGTATGCACTGTTACCCATTCCCCCTCCCTTTAGAAATTATTATCTATGTATAATCATGCATTGATTAATTAGGGGAATACATTCTAAGAAATGTATCCTTAGGCAATTTTGTTGTTATGCGAGCATAATAGTATACTTACACAAACCTAGATGGCATAGCCTACTACGTACCAAGGCTATATGGTATAGCCTATTGCTCCTAGGCTACAAGCCTGTACAGCATGTTACTGTACTCAGTACTGTAGGCAATTGTAACACAATGGTATTTCTATATCTAAACATTGAAACAATACAGTAAAAATACAGTATAAAAGATAAAAAATGGTGCATCTGTATAGAGCACTTACCATAAATGGAGCTTATAGGACTGGAAGTTGCTCTGGGTGAGTCAACGAATGATGAGTGAGAATATGAAGACCTAGGACATAACTGTACACTACTGTAATGTACGTAACCTTACACTACTGACATAACTGTATACTATTGTACATAACTACACTACTGTAGTTATGTAGGCTATAACTGTATGCTACACTACTACTGTAGTGTAAACAATGTACACTTAGGCTGTACTGTAGACATAAACATTTTTTCTTCAATAATAAATTAACCATAGCTTACCTGAATTTTTTACTTTATAAATTTTTTTTAACTTTTGACTCTTTTTTTCTTTGAGACAGGGTCTCACTCTGTCACCCAGGCTGGAGTCCAGTGGTACAATCACAGTTCACTGCAGCCTGGACCTCCTAACCTCAAGCAATCCTCCTGCCTCAGCCTCCCCAGTAGTTGGGACTACGGGCACATGCCACCACGGCTGGGTAACTTTTGACTCTTTTGTAATAACACAGCTTAAAACACAAACATATTGTACAGCTGTTCAAAAATATTTCATTTCTTTATTTCCTTATTCTATAAGCCTTTTTCTATTTAAAAAACAAAATTTTAAAAGGCCAGGTGGGTCATGTCTGTAATATCAGCACTTTGGTAGGCTGAGGCGGGTGGATCACCTGAGGTCAGGAGTTCGAGACCAACCTGGCCAACATTGCAAAACCCTGTCTCTACTAAAAATACAAAAATTAGCCAGACATGGTGGTGCGTGCCTGTAATCCCAGCTATTAGGGGGGCTGAGGCAGCAGGATCGCTTGAACCTGGGAGGCGGAGGTTGCAGTGAGCCAAGATCGTACCACTGCACTCCAGCCTGGGCAACAGAGCAAGACTCTGTCTCAAAAAAAAATTAAACTTTTTGGTTAAAAAACAAAACAGAAACACACACATTAGCCTGGGCCCATAAAGAGTCAGGATCATTATCACCATCTTTCACCTCCACATCTTGTCCTGCTTCAGGGGCTATAACACACATAGAACAGTCATCTCCTGTGATAACAAGGCCTTCTTCTGCAATACCTCCTGAAGGACCTGCCTGATGCTGTTTTACAGTTAACATTTTTATATACAAGTAGAAGTAGTATAATCTAATGATAAAAAGTACAGTACAGTAAACACATAAGCCAGAGTAGCATAGACATTTATTATTATCAAGTATTTACTGTACATTATTGTATGTGCTGTAATTTTATATGACCGGCAGTATGGTAGGTTTGTTTACACCAGCATCACCACACAAAGGAGAGTAATGCATTATGTTGCATCGTGCTAGGATATTCCGATGGCTACCATGTCACTAAGTGATAGAAACTTTTCAGCTTCATCATGATCTTATGGGACCATCATTTTATACGCAGTTTGTGGTTGACTGAAACATTATTATGGGTACATAAGGTACTTCCAGAATGTGATTGGATTGAATTGAATCTATGAAGTTTGTTTGTTTGTTTTTAGACAGGGTCATGCTCTGTCACTCAAGCTGGAATTCAGTGGCCCAATCACTGCTCATTGCAGCCTCGACCTCCCCAGGCTCAAGCAATCCTCCCACCTCAGCCTCCTGAGTAGCTGGGAGCACAGGCGTATACCACCACACCAAGCTTTTTTTTTTTTTTAATTTTTTGTAGAGACGAGGTTTTGCCATGTTGTCCAGGCTGGTATTGAACTCCTGCACTCAAGTTATCTGCCTGCCTTGACCTCCCAAAATGCTGGGATCATAGGTGTCAGCAACCACACCTGGCCTGAGATCTGCTTTTTGTATGTATTCAGTGCAATACATTGCACTGTGGCCAGGTCTTCTACCTGGATTCAGTACCCACCAGGTGGATGAGCCACACCCAGCCTGACCACGTTGTATTTCAGCATTTTATTTTTAAGTCAGTTGTTTGAAACTCAGACCACATCTTCTTGTAAAAACAATGTTATATAGTATGGCGGGGCTACTAGCTAGCCCACAATATTAAGTCTACTCAACCCAAATACAGGTAAATAATAGTACTAAAAAAAAACTAACCTGAATTCTGGGTGTTCTAACCAGATGGCCAGGCAGAAGAGAGACAGCAAGAGGAAGGAATTCCAGTTCTCCTCACATTTACACACAAATCTGAGACATTCAAAGTTTCTTCTTTTTTTTTTTTTTTTTTTTTGAGACAGAGTCTTGCTGTGTCGCCCAGGCTGGAGTGCAGTGGCGCAATCTCAGCTCGCTGCAAGCTCCGCCTCCCGAGTTCACGCCATTCTCCTGCCTCAGCCTCCCAAGTAGCTGGGACCACAGGCGCCTGCCACCTACTCCTGGCTAATTTTTTGTATTTTTAGTAGAGACGGGGTTTCACCGTGTTAGCCAGGATGGTCTCGATCTCCTGACCTCGTGATCCACCCACCTCGGCCTCCCAAAGTGCTGGGATTACAGGCGTGAGCCATCGCGCCCGGCCAAGACATTCAAAGTTTCTTTGACATCTTCCTGCCTCCTTTTCAGTATCCCTTTCTAACATCCTACTCTTCTTAGAGACTCAGTAGCCACATGATAATCTAAGTTCCAAGTACAGAATTCTAGTTCCAGACCTGAGTTAGACTCAAAATTTTCCATTCTTCAAAATTACCCTTCTCTCATAGCAAAATTCCTGTCTCCCATTTCCTCAATATAAATTATTTCAGATGTGCAGTAAAAGTAAAGTGATCTTATTGGAACTCATTTATACTAGTCCTGTATCCTTCCAAAAATGGTTTGTACTGCTTTCAACAACTCTGGTTTATACAATTTATCTCAACATCTGCTGTTGATACATGGCAGTGGTCATAAGATTTACTCTTCTCTTCCCTCAACACACACACACACAAATTGTGGGTTAAGGAAAGTTGTACTGTGCAAGCCAAATAAGTAAATCCACATACAATGAATGTTATTAACCTTTTACAGGTAAAGCAAGAAACTATGGGGCGGTGGCGGGGGGCGGGTGTGAGGGGGAGGTTTAGAGCTTGGGAATAATAAAAACTCCAATCAGGCCAGGTGCGGTGGCTCACACCTGTAATCTCAGAACTTTGGAAGGCTGAGGTGGGCAGATCACCTGAGGTTGGGAGTTCGAGACCAGCCTGATCAACATGGAGAAACCCTGTCTCTACTAAAAATACAAAATTAGCCGGGTATGGTGGCACATGCCTGTAATCCCAGCTACTCGGGAGGCTGAAGCAGGAGAATCACTTGAACCTGGGAGGCAGAGTTCACGGTGAGCTGAGATTGCGCCATTGCACTCCAGCCTGGGCCAAGAGCGAAACTCCATCTCAAAAAAAAAAAACAAAAACAAAAACAAAAAAACCTCCAATCAAGGTAATAAGCAAGGAAACTTAGGAAGGCAGTTTTAAGGTTGCCAGATTTAGCAAATAAAAATAGATGATTCCCAGTTAAATTTGAATTTCAGATAAACCACAAACAATTTTTAGCAAAAGTGTGTCCCAAATATTAAAAGAATGGGACAGACAGTACTGAAACATTATTTGTGATTTATCTGAAATTCCAGTTTAACTGGGCATCCTGCATTTCATCTAGTAGCCCTCTCAGTTTTAGGCAATTAGTTGGTCCTGGTTAGTAGAAAGTTTTTGTGTCACAGAGGAACTGGTCAAGTTTAGCAAAGAACAGGATAACCAACCACCAAGAGCCAGAAGTGAACGATACCCATTCAAATACCACACAGAGGGAAGAGCCTTGGCAATGCAGATGTAAGCATTATGGTGTCCTTGGAGAGGCTGTCACTCAGTTGGGAAGAAATGCTTCTCAGTATGGTAACTAATTGTCATTAGTTTGATTCCCACGTACCAAGTCCCATGTACATGGCACGTGGGTCTCTGCTGATACGAACATTTCTGTCTGCTTGACCTCTATAAAATTGTTATTCTGTATTATGTGAGTGAATTGTTTGAGTCTGTTCCTAACACATCTATTCACGCCCATAAAAATTGGGTTTCTGATCTTGCAAAGTTAAGAACAAGGCCTTGAGCAGAGCTGACTTGACCGAGGTAAGTGCCACTTCATAAGGGTTCTTGCAGACCAGCTGGCAGGTCCTCCCCAGACTCTGCATTACCGTTTGCCGAGGGCGTTTTTTGTTGCAGTTTGTTTTGTCTTGTTTTCATTTGAAATTGTACCGCCACAAGGATTTGAGGCCGTCGAATAAAATGAAATGGAAGAGCCACATGAGAAAAAATTCTTCTTGGAAGGTTGAGTTTACCTGAGATCTCCTCAAAACCATTCCTGTTTTTCAGTGATTTTTTTCCTCCCTTTTTATAAAATTCCTTCCTTGGATTTTATAGTTCTTATTGGCTCCCCAAATACACAACAAGGAGGTCCTGCCGTGGAAGATGAAGAACTGGAGCTGCTATGTAGAACAGGAGTCATTTGTAAGTTGGATATTGAAGTCCTCCCTGCAATAAATGATCTTTTCCTTTTGGCCTTCCTAAAAGTTTATGAACATGAGCATTTCAGCATCTCCCACTGTTCTCTGCCCAACTGCTCCCTGACTCTAATTCTCCATTGGGGACTTTCTTGTGGCTTTTAATTTTTTCTGTTTGTTTTTAGTTTTGAGACAGTCTCGCTCTGTTGCCCAGGCTGGAGGCGCAGTGGCCCGATCTCAGCTCACTGCAACCACCTCCCAGATTCAAGCGATTCTTGTGCCTCAGCCTGCCGAGCAGCTGGGACTACAGATGTGCACTATCAGGCCTGACTGATTGCTTTTAATTTTTTAAGTTGAAATTCTAATTCCCAGGAGTGGACTTTAGTGTAAAATAATATTGCTAAGTATACTGCACTCACTCTTGGTATTCAATAAATATTTTATTTTTGTGGTGATGATGATGTAGATAATGGTAATCATGTTAGACAGAATCCGCTTTATTAATTCTGATAGATGTTTTCATTGCATCCAAAACCCTCTGAACACTTGGCATGACCCATCTTGAACTACTGCAGTGCCAGTGGGCTTAGATTTTTACCTCCTACTAAATTAGGTCATTGGTATGCAGTTTTTTGTGAAGACAAGTAGGAAGAATAATCCCATAATAAAACTATTTTCCTTAAACAAGGCTTTGGAACAGACTTTTATACATTGTAGTTGCTTTTTTTTGAAACAGTCTCCCTCTGTCACCCAGGCTGGAGTGCAGTGGCACGATCTCGGCTCACTGCAACCTCCGCCTCCCAGGTTCAAGCCATTCTCCTGCCTCAGCCTCCGTGTAGCTGGGATTACAGGTGCACACCACCATGCCCAGCAAATTTTTTGTATTTTCAGTAGAGGTGGGGTTTCGCTTGGCCAGGCTCGTCTCAAACTCCTGACCCCAAGTGATCCACGCACCTTGGCCTCCCAAAGTGCTGGGATTACAGGTGTGAGCCACTGTGCTTGACCTGTAGTTGCTTTTAACTGCTAATACACAAGTCCACTACATTTACCTGTCTTTATTACCTAACACTCTGGTGAATCCTCTTGCTTCTCTGCTCTCCCCAAGAAAGTTATTACAATTATAGAAGCAGAATATTGTATGCCTTACATTTGCTTCTTTAAAAATCTATTCTTTTCAATATTCTCTTATTAAGTGTTGGATTTATTTAGACCCTGAACTTTCTATTCAGTTCTAAGAGATGGAATTTTGTCTGTTGCCTTGAAAAAGCAAGATAAGAGAGGAACGGACCACTAACGCAGGTACAGAAAGAAACAAAATTACAAAAAGTATACCAGCCATTTTTAAAAAGCTTTTTTAGATAAAGAGGCTGAAAACATTTACAAAAAATAAATCTTGTCCTTTCCTTTACTGCCATGAATATGTCCTTGTGAGACAGTCTATAAAAATCCCTTTCAAGAGATTCGAACATCGAAGGTCTAATGTCTTCTGTGGAATGTATCCTTTAATTCTAAATGAATTGGCCATCAGGAGTAACTATTGTGTATTCAAAATGGCATCCATAACTCTAAAAAAGATATGAATTGCCTTTTACTTTGTCAGACAAAAGAGTCTTATCTCCATCTTTGTATTTTTTAATGTTCAATGGTAAATAAATCAATGACTCTCATAGGCTCCCTATCTTAAACAATGGGTTTGAGATATTTATTCCTGACATAATGGTATACATAACCACTGCCTATGTTGCAAAGAAAGATTATTTACTCTTCTCTGTCTCTATTAAGGGTAGAATTAAAGAAAATGGATTTACCAGGAGAAGCAAAGTTCAGGCTCAAGGAAGCACTCTTGTCACAGAAAATTCTCAGACGCTGGAGTAGATTAGCAAGAGAGATTATATATTCTCTTTTGTGTAGGCTCCTAAAACCAGGATGAATTTAAGTCTGACTGGGTTGTGGGTTTCTGATGAAACACCATTAGTTCACTCAATAAGGACATTATGGAGATAGTTGTAGATGTGGAAAAGCTACCAAGTGTATTTACTGAGAAGAACTGTATTATTATTTATTATCCACCTTCCAACAAACGTTGTTTATGTCACTTTTAAAGAATATGATTCAGTTATTAACATCAAGTTCAGGACACACAAGAGTACATTCAAAGAGCACGTTGACAGCAAAAGCAAAGGACAGGATACTATCAATGGAGATTTTCTCCATTACAATGTAGCTCATAATCAGAATAATACCAACAATTTGAATACTGGTTGACCAAGGTTTAAATATGGTATGGATGTCAGTGAAAAAAAAAAAAAAAGACTTTCCTTCAGTGTAACACTCAACCTCCTGCTAAATTTTTTATTCCTATAAAATTTTGGTAAATTTTGGGGGCCAAACAGCCCTAGATGAGTTTGTGTTTCATAGTCATTAAGCCATGGGCACTGCATCATGTAATGTGGGTTATGTGTGTATTTTGGCATTGAGCTTAGCTCCATGGTTAATCACCAACAAATGTTTTTGTTTTGTGGGAGGTATATGGAGTATGCAGAGATCAATCATTGAACTCAGCATTCCCTGGGAATCTTAAATTTAGTTGAGAGGAAAAGGTATATACTTAAAAACATTACCAATAACACACAATGTAAAATTTATTTATAGGCTTCTTTCATGATCTAAAGGGAGTATGGATTTTCATCATCTTTTTCCGTGATACTATCACAAAGCAGAGCTATTTGATAAAGTCTACATGGAAAGCCAATTCTTAATATAGTTAGTGCATGTGTGTGTAACTGTCTTTCCCCCAAGAAAACTATAAGCTCTTTGAATTAAGACAGTGTGTTTTTTTTTTTTGTTTTTTTTTTTTTTTTTGAGACGGAGTTTCGCTCTGTCGCCCAGCCTGGAGTGCAGTGGCCCGATCTCGACTCACTGCAAGCTCCGCCTCCCGGGTTCACGCCATTCTCCTGCCTCAGCCTCCCGTGTAGCTGGGACTACAGGCGCGCGCCACCATGCCTGGCTAATTTTTGTATTTTTAGTAGAGACGGGGTTTCACCGTGTTAGCCAGGATGGTCTCGATCTCCTGACCTCGTGATCCGCCCGTCTCAGCCTCCCAAAGTGCTGGGATTACAGGCGTGAGCCACCGCGCCCGGCCGACAGTGTGTTTTAAATAATCTCACATCTCCCACAACACCTACAGAAGTGCCTTGACATAGCAGCTGCTCAAAAGGTATTTGTTGACCAATCATGGCCATAGCTTATGCCTAAATAAATATGTAACACTACAATGCTCAACATTTTATAATTATGAAGCATGAAACTGAATACTACTCACATGCAAAGGAAATTGGCTAGCTTCAGAATGAAATACATCAATCTCATTCAAATTGGGAAGATACATTCCAATGTAAGTGCCTCTGAGACTTAAGATTTAATTATTTTTTACATCCTTTGAAAAGGAGTTAGTCCATATGTGCATGTGTCCTGTATGAAACCAGAGAACTGAGCCAATTGACGTTTCAAGTCCCTTTCTAACCACAAGTCTGTGATCCTTTTTATTGGTGAAGTTCACATTAATTTAAAGAAGAGTTGCAGGCCTGACATGGTGGCTCACACCTGTAATCCCAGCACTTTGAAAGGCCAAAATGGGCAGATCACTTGAGCCCAGGAGTTTGAGCCTAGCCTAAGCAACATGACCTAGCCACCACACCTGGCTAATTCTTTGAATTTTTGTAGAGGCAGCCTGGGAGATTGAGACTTCAGTCAGTCGTGATCATGCCACTGCACTCCAGCCTGGGCAATAGAGTGAGACCTTGTTTCAAAAAACAAAACAAAAAAACAAAAAACAAAGAGGAGTTGTGCATGAACAAGAAATATCCTGAGTGTAAGATTAAAAACAAAAACAGAAACCTGCTTCGAGATGAATCCAGAACTAGATTTCATGCAGGCCTAAGTCCTTTGAAGTAGCCACAGCAATATGTTTTGTTTTATTTTTTTTTCCTCAAGACCTACAATATAAAGTAGGCATAAAAGATTCACTTTGCAGAATCAGTCCAAAGCAATTCCTCCATAACTTGTTTACAAAAATAGCCCAAAGGGGTGGAAAGACTTCCTTCAGAATCAGGGTGATTGAAAGCATGTCTCATATAGAGAAAATTATTTACTTCTGGACTGGTCTAAAGTGTGAGGCATCACCACAAAAGACAAAATGAACTTTTCTCCAAAAGATTCCCAGTAAAGATAAATGGAGGGTCATGTGATGTTCTTTCTTTTCTCCTCTTCTTGCTTTTAGGAGCCTTCTATAAGTGGTATTCAGGCATAGCGACATGTTTTGTTTTCCTTCTGTTTCTCTCTTTGCAAAAGGCGTTTTAAGGCACTTGCCATTGCCAGCTAACGTTCATTTTATGACATTGTTCCTAGCAATCAGTCTTACATTGATGGGCACTTCTCAGTCAGATCATATTCTGCTCAGTTCATAAAAAAAAAAAAAAAAAAAACAGATTTTTTTCCTTGTTACTCTCCATTTCTCTTTTAAATTCTATTCTTCTGATTTTCTCTTCTCATACTTCTACTTTCTAGATTTCATACTGCTGCTTTTAAAATCTAATGTCTTCTCCAGTGTATACATTGTTCCTTGTTTCAAAGACATGAGCCTGAGTACTTTGGCCCAATCCTTTTCAATTTCAGAGTCTTTAATTCCAGTATGCTGCTGTGTTTGAGGCAGCCTTGAGGAATATAACAAAATTTCACGTGGTGCAATGCATTATTCATTCATAAGCAGTTTTACAGGCCCATTCTTTTGCCCAAGGCACAAACATAAGCAATTGATCTTACTTCCTCTCCCTCTCCTTCTACCTGGGTATAAGAAATGTGGCAGACATCAAGGACATCTAAAGCAGATGATAAATATATGGAAGAAATTATCCATTATCCCAGGCTGTTGCTCCAAGCCTGCCCAATGTCATCCCTTTCCCAGCCTCAACTCCTCCGCCTCTTCCCCACCATCCTGAAGTAAATGGGAGTAACGCCTGTGTTATGGACTGAGTTGTATTCCCCCAAAATTCACATGCTGAAGCCCTAACTCCCAGTACCTGAGAATGTGACTGTATTTGGAAAGAGAGTCTTTTTTAGATTTTTATTTTTATTTTTAGAGACAGGATCTTGCTCTGTTGCCCAGACTGGAGTGCAGTGGTGCCATCATAGCTCACTGTAACCTCAAATTCCTGGGCTCAAGGGATTCTCCTGCCTAGCCTCCTGAGTACCTGGGACTACGGGCATGGACCACCATGCCTGGCTAATTTTTTTTTTTTTTTTTTTTTTTTTTTTGTGGTAGAGACAAAGTCTCGCTATGTTGCCTGCTGGTCTCGAACTTCTGAGATCAAGTGATGCTCCCACCTTGGCCTCCCAAAGTGCTGGAATCACAGGCGTAAGCCACCAAGCCCAGCCAAGAGGGTTTTTAAAGAGGTAATTAATTAAAAATTCAACCCCATATGCCTTGTGTCCTTATAAAAGGGACACAGACAGACATGGAAGACCATGTGAAGTCACAGAGAGAAAGTGGCCATCTACAAGCCACAAAGAGAGGCCTCGGATGAAACCAACCCTGTCGACACCTTGATCTTGGGCTTCTAGACTCCACAACTATGAGAATATTAATTTCTGTTGTTTAAGGCACTTGGTTCATGGTACTTTGTTAGGCAACCCTAACAGACTAATACACCCTGGCACAGTTGAAGGTCTCTTCTGATTGGCTAGTGCTTTTGCCATGCTGAGTATTTTTAATAGCTTCCCTGGTTGAAGCAAAACAGTTATATATTTAGAGGGGGAGCACAGGAAAATCACTGTCCCAAAAGGAGCATATTTTCAGACCAGAAAATCCACAAGTGGCACCTTTTTTACATTGCAGCTCTCCTTAGTAGTAGAATCTGGCTATGCCTTTGAGCCATTTCTTAGTAACATGACTTGAACTGCTGTAGAGGTCACCTGGAGGTTCTTGGCCTTTCCTGAGATAAGAGAGCAAATAAGTGTTCAAACAATCTAAGTAAAAGTATTGCATAGGAACCAGGAGCATGCATTTAGCTTCAAAATAGGATAATAATAGTTTTGATATCCTAGGATTATTGGGAGAATTAAACGAGATAAGGTGTAATGTACTAAACACAGTGTCTTTAACACCCATTACATATTCAATGAATACTATTATGTGAAACAATTGCAGACCCGGGTAATGAAGTATTGATTTTCAGCTATAGAAGCACGTATTTCCTGAGTTGATGGCTAATGGATTTTTTTTATTTCTTGAGGAACTTTCTGGGAATAAAAATGGACCTATCAGTATCCCTATATTTAAACTTCAGGTTATTGTGGAAAGAACAATTTTCTGGGAATAGATTTTAGAATGGTAATTTTGGCATAATTCTGTGGTATTTTCTTGGAATTTCACCAAGTTTCGCCAATGAAACTGTCAAATTTAACTAAGTAATTTGCACTATGTCCATCCACCAGGTTCCCATTAACACTAAATTTTTCCCCAAGCAGAAACATTTTTACATAGGCAGAAAATGTTTTTAAATTTATTGAGATTATACTATTATTTAAATGATCTAGCATTTTATGAAACTGCACTTAACTAGAACCAATTACATGACTTACATAGCTGAAAATAAGTTGGAATTATAATAATGTCTGGCCTATTACAGATATTTAATAGATTTATCTCATTTAAAGATCTCAAAACACATAATAATTATGGAGGTGTGCTTCTCTTCTGCTCCAATTTCCTTATTTATCAAATGAGACACTAAACCTGCAAGAGATTGCCCAATGTCAGGGCAAAGCCTACACAGGAACCCAAATCTCTGGATGCATAATCCAGGACTCTTCCTCTCCTATTCAGTGGCACTTTCCTGTTTCAAGGGTAAAGAAACACATTTAAGAGTTTAACCAAAGATTTAGCTTCCCGGCCAGGCACGGTGGCTCACACTGTAATCCCAGCACTTTGGGAGAACAAGGCAGGTGGATTACCTGAGGTCAGGAGTTGGAGACCAGCCTGGCCAACATGGTGAAACCCCGTCTCTACTAAAAACTACAAAAATTAGCCAGACATGGTGGTGCATGCCTGTCATCCCAGCTACTCAGGAGGCTGAGGCAGGAGAGTCACTTGAACCCAGGAGGCAGAGGTTGTAGTGAGCTGAGATCATGCCACTGCCCTCCAGCCTTGGTGACAAAGATTTAGCTTCCCAACTAAGCATCGTAATCTACATTGACACCTCTGTGCCTGGGATGGGCTCATGTTCTCTCACCTGAATTGAACATTTGTGTCTTCTTTGTCTGGCTAAGGATACTTACACATGGTTCCAAACTCACCTTAGCCATCCTGTTCAGGAAACTCTCCCTGATTACCGAGGCTGGGTGGAATGCTGCCATCACACCTGGGCATGCAGTTCTGTCTTAGCACTCAGATTCAACTAGCCACGTGTCAGGCACCCAGCTGCCCACAGTGCCTCCTCCAGCATCCCACTCCAGCCTGTATTGTTTTTAGTGTGTATCACTCCTCAGCCCCTCAGACCTTCCCACAGTCTGTATTCTCCCTGGCCTGTATCCTCCCTTGACTTTTATCCTCTCTTCAGCCTGCATCACGCCCCAGCCTGTATCCTCTCTTAATTTGTACCACTTCCTAACCTGTATCCATCTCGGCTTTTTATTATCCACCTTCCTGTATCCTCTCCAATCTATTGCCCCACCAGACTGTATCCTTTATCACTCCCCAATCCCCCAGCCTGTATCTCCTCTTGAAAGGCAGGATTCTAAGATGGTCTCAAAGACTCATAGCCTCTGGTATGCATAATTCGCATCAGAGTAATTCAGTAATTACTCTTTTCCCAGTCATTCAGTCAAACATGAGTCAGTAATTCGGTCAAACATGACTCCTTTCCCAGTAATTTAGTCAAACATGAATCTAGTGCAGCTGTGAAGTTGCAGATGTAATTAAGGTCCCAAATCAGTTGATTTTAAGATATGGAGAGGGCTAGGCCTGGTGGCACGTGCCTGTAGTCCCAGCTACTAGGGAGGCAGAGGTGGGAGGATCACCTGAGCCCAGGAGTTCCAGGATGCAGTGAGCCCCAATCACACTATTGCACTCCAGCCTGGGCTACAGAGCAAAATCCTGTCTCAAAAATAAAAATAGGGAGATTATCTAGTAGGGATGACATAATCAATGGACCCTTTCAATCTGAATGTAGAGGTTATAAACAGAGAAGTCAGAGACTCAAAGCATGAGAGGACCTGGGAAGGGAACCACACAAGGAACTGCGGGCGCCCTCTAGTGGTTTGGAATGCCGTGGCCAAAAGCCAGCAAGATGCTTCACTCCCACAACCACAGGAACTGAATTCTTCCAACAATCCTGTGAGTTTAAGAGGTTCCTGAGCCCTAGAAAGGAGCACAGCCCAGCTGACACGTTCATTCTCCCCTTGGGATACACTGAGTGGAGAACTCAGCCACACCGTGCTGGACTTCTGACCTACAGCACTGTGAACTAATAAATGGTGTGTTTTAAGACACTAAGTGTGTAAAAATTTGTTATATAACATAGAAACTTAATACAACACCTTCTGCAGCCCGTGCACCCCAGTCTGTATCCCCGCAATCTATATCCCACAACCTGTATCACCCCAGCCTGAATTCCCCCAGGATACATCTCCCCAGCTTGAATCATTTCCCAGCCTGTATCACCCACTCCAGCATGGATGCCTCTGGCCTACATTCCTCTCAGCTTGTACCATCCCCCCACCTAAATGCCCCCTACATACTCACAGTTTGTCATATAATGTCCCCCCATCAATCCCATCTATCTCTCTCTCTCACACACACACACACACCACTAGCACCACTAACACCACCACCCACCACCTGCACCTCACAGCACCCTGAGTGATTCTGCCCAAGGAGTACACCACTCAAGTTCACAGTCTGCAGCACCAGATGGAAATTTTGTCTCCTTTCCAAGACTGGTGAGCAGGACTGGGCAACCCAAAGCAAAAATGTAGTCTCTTCTTTGCTTCTTTGAGCCTCAAGCCAATCATGAGCAGCCAGTCAGCCCTGCTTCCTATGCACTGAGCTCTGCACTAGTTTCCCCAGCAGTCTAGAATCACCCCCCACCCCCACCAAGCCAGCAGCAGGCACTCCCTTTCCGAAGGGAAATGAAATGGGGCCCAAATCAGTTGGCCAAATCCTTTCATCTCTCCTCTCGAAGGATTTGAAAATCCCTTTTCTCTAGGAGGATTGCTGACCCCTCCACCCATTCTCCACCTGCAGTCCAGAGCTGACCTTCTGGACTTTTCTGTCCTTCTGGACTTTTCTTCATCTGTGCTATCCCACAACTTACATTTGCAAGATGGTGTGTTTGTGAGTGATGTATTCCTCCATAATTATCCTTGTATGTTAACCTGAACTTTTTCTGAGTTGGTTGGCATAAGTAACCAATACCTACTGTCAAATAGCAAACATTAGGTGAAGAACATAGAACATCTGTGTAAAAGCATAAGTAACTATATGTACAAACATATACACATACAAAATACATGCATCTATACAGTGTATATGTATATATACATATATGATATATGTTACATTTTTATATATTTATAGATTGTATATATATATAAAACAACAACCCTGCAAGGTGTAGTTACTATTCCTATTTCATAGACGAGGAAATTGAGGTTCACAGAAGTTAACTAGGTTGTCTAATGGCACACAGCAAGCAAGCAACAGAGCTGGAATACCAACTCGAGCAGTCTGGCTCCAGAGTTGATCTTCTTACCCACTCTGCTGAACACTTACAAGGTGTCAGGATCACTGTGCTAAGTAGGGCGCATGCATCAATTATGGCAAGAAAAGAGCAGGAGAGAAAGCCGAGAAAACTGTGTGCTAAAGCAATCAGGACAATTTTCACAGAGAAAGTGGGGCTTGAGCTAGCACGAAGGGAAAAGTTGGACTCAGACTTACAAGGGTAGGGTGTTCAGGCTGGGGGAATGGAATGAACTAGGCACAGGAGTAGGGGCATGCATGTCATGGTAGCATAATTTGTATAAAGGAGCTATGGGAAATAAGGAAGGAGAGGTTACGTGGAGACCAGATTGTGGCTGCCTTGAATGTTAAACCAAGGCATTTGGCCTTAATTATAAGGCAAGAAGAGGAAGCCCTAGGAAAATTTTTGAGCAAGCAAGTGGGAGAGGAGAGGGACAGTTGAATATGGTGAATGACTGAGAGATAAAAAGAATTTAAAAATTAGTCCAAAGTTTAGCTTGGGTGATTCAGGTAATTTTTGTTTTAATAATAGAAATTGATTAAATTATACGTGGGGCTGAAATTTGCTTCCTTGCGATAGTTACGCATATGATTGTTCTTTAAACTCTGCTGGGATGGAAATCCCATTTTGCCTTCTCCATAGAGCAATCCAGGAAAAATTTGTATAGGGCTAGACAAGTATGAAGAGTCAACAGGATCATTAGAATCCTATGGATTCTCCTACCCTAGAGAAAAATTCAAAAAGTTCAGCTATACTATGGGCATTTTAGCCACAAGCCAGTTGCCCTCTGGGATAGTACCCCAACTAAATAGGATGTTATGTCGCTTTGCAATGATTCCAAATACTTACATAGTTTGTTGTAGGAGTTACATGTTTTGCTGTGGGAATAACATGGAGTCTAATCCTTCTCCCTGTGAGAATGCTATGTCACATTTTATCAGACCATATAAATGAGTTATTGGCCTCCAACTACTGGACTCCAAAACATATACAAACCCAAGATTTTGATAGACAGATTGAGAGCTTAGGCTGCGGCAGGGCTACTCTCTGTCAGCCTTCAAGCTATTCTCCAAAGCATCTCCAGCCAACACCAGCACCACGTGCTAGCCTGGAGGGAACTTGCCCATCATTGCATGTCTTTGAGGATCTCTGCTGTGTTGGTCAAACCATCTTTGCCAAGAACTTCTTGTAGCTTTCTACAAGAAAGCTTTTGTCCTTTTATGTCTAGCTTATTTCACATAGCGTAATGTTTTTCAAAGTTTACCCATGTTGTAGCATGTATTAGAACTTCATTCCTTTTTATGGCTGAATAGTATTCCATTGTATGCCTCAAACTTTGATTGGACTCTACATCCGCAGAGGCCTGCTTCCATCCTAACTGAGTAACTAGACTTTAATAATGGACTCTAAATGAAATTGGAACTCACTGATTCTGTGGCTAATGCACTCTGTCTATTGAGTATTAATATATTCCCTGTGAGATTTGTTCTTGTTATTCTCCCTCTCTTTCAGCATTATGGAAAAGAAAAATATATCTTTCTATGGCAATAAATCATGTGATTCATGAAATCATACTTTGATCATCTCCCTATTTTAATCTACAAAACATAGAACAGCTGAGGAACTCAACTCTAGGAGCTCCTTTCTTGCTCTATATTTATATCGAGTGGGTGAGAAGTAGGTTTCTGTTGACAGATCAAAGCAGGCCTGATTTGCTAATGGTGTAGAAAATATTATTGGTTCAACGTTATATATCATAGTTAATCACTACATACTCTCCAGTCTTTTTAGATACGTCATTGTTTTAAAGTGTTATTAGGGGGTTAGTTGCTGTAAATATGCAACCTAAAAGACATACTTTAAACTTTTCCTCCACAGAGGGAATTAACAATAAATGAGAACATAAAGTGCGTGGGAAAATATACTTCACACCAGCCCTGGTACACGTTGCAAATACTCAACCCAAAGCAGGAGAAATGCCTGGTGTCCTTCAGCACTGCCTGGCATGGGAGAGTGAATGGAAGAAGGACAGGGCAGGAAGGGAGCAGTAGAGACTGGAACCTGTCACACCAGCCCCACCTCCACCTCCACCACAGGATAGTCCACACCTGCTTGATGAAGCCAAAAAATAGAAACTTTAGAGCCAGTTCAGTAAACACTCTAGTCTCGCAGTTTACCAGCTGCATTTACCTTGGGCAAGTTACCTCTGTGTGTCATATCATTATTCCAAAATAAAAGGTTAAAAATAATCTATGCTGGGCGCAGTGGCTCACACCTGTAATCCCAGCACTTTGGGAGACCAAGGCGGGCAGATCACAAGGTCAGGAGTTCGAGACCGGCCTGGCCAACATGGAAAACCTTGTCTCTACTAAAAATACAAAAATTAGCTGGGCATGGTGGTGGGCGCCTGTAATCCCAGCTACTCGGGAGGCTGAGGCAGGAGAATCACTTGAACCCGGGAGGTAGAGGTTGCAGTGAGCCGAGATAGTGCCATTGCACTCCAGCCTGGGCAACAAGAGCCTCTGTCAAAAACAAAATAAATAAATAATCTATTACATTAAACAACACTTGCAAAGCACCTACCATAGCACCCAAAACATCGAGGATACCCATAACTATTCATTCCTTGTCCCTTCCCCGCAGTGCGCAGCAGGAAGCAGTGGGGATAATGGGATATTCCAACAGGCATCTAGGCAGAGCCCAGGACCAGGGAATCCAACAGAAAGCAGATTGTGAAGTATTAGGGGGTCAGGTGCCTCCACAGCTAACCTGCAGCTTACTAGGACAGACCGGCAAGGTGGATTGTTAGTGGGAAGGTAAATGGAGTCAGAAGTGGAGTCCCAGGGAAGGCACCAAACCCCTGGAGATTAAGTAGAGAAGAAAGGGAATTTAAACGGGAATTATGTATAATGGGGAAGGGTATGGGAATGGGAAGGAATTGAGGAATAGAGTGGATCTTATAAAATCTTGAAGGTGAGTACCTTCAATAAAAAATACTGAGCCAAGGCAGGAAAACCTTCCTCCCAAGACCAAGATTCAGGGACAGACTCCCCTGAGAAAACTGGCAAGAAAAGGACAGGGGTTTGGCGACAAAACAAAGACCCAATTATCATAACTGGGATAGAAAATGAGAGCAAGGTCAGAGCCGGTGACAAGATCAGATCAGGAGGAACAGCTGCCACACGGTGCTGAGTCACTGCGACCTGATGCTGAGTCAGCAGAAGACCGACCTTCTGATTGGTCCCCAAGCTTGGGGCAGGGCTAAGCATGCAGATGGCAGTCCGGAGCCCTCAGCTGGGAGCCAGAAGCAGGAATCTAAGCTTGACATTGAAAGAGCAAATATTCCACAGAATCTTACAGTCAGGGGCCCTCCAGACACCAGAAGACATTCTTTTCTCTGTTTTCAGAGTGTATTAACAAATATCTTTAAGAATACTTCTGTCCTTTGGCTTCACACTCACCTGGGAAACGTTAAAAATAAGTGTTCCAGCCCACCTCAAACTTAACAAATCAGAGTCTTTATGGATGAGGACAAAGCAGTTAGATTGGGTGAGTCTTGATATAAACTAAATTTGGAAAGACAAGAGTATTAGATTCTAAACTTTAAAACGACACTCTTGCTCACCTTGACTCTGATTTTATGTGTTGGGACCTGCCTTAGTTGGCAGTCTCTCCCTTCACTCTCTGAAAAGTAACTAGTCTCTAATACCCATATGGGTCTCAGACTCTGAGGTAGGCTCAGGGAGGTTCTTAGGAAGAAGTGGGGAGGTAAAATATATACAATATAAAATATGCCACTTTCATCAGTTTTAAGTGTAAAATTCAGAGGCATTAATTATGTTATACAATTATCACCACTATGTATTTTCTTTTTCATCACTCATAACAGAAAGTCTATGTCCATTAAGCAATAACCACATTCTCCCGTACTTCCAGCCCTTGGTAACCTCTAATCTACTTTCTGCCTCTATAAATTTGCCTATGCTTGATATTTCATATAAGTGGAATCATACAATATTTGTCCTTTTGTGTCTAGCTTATTTCACATAGCATAATATTTTTCAAGGTTTATCCATGTTTTAGCATGTATTAGAACTTCATTCCTTTTTATGGCTGAATAGTATTCCATTGTATGTATACGCCACATTTTGTTTATCCATTCTTCTGTTGATAGACTCTTGGATTATTTCCACCTTTTGGCTATTGTGAATAATGCTGCTATGAACATTGGTGTACAAGTATTTTTTTGAGTAACTCTTTTCCATTATTTTGAGTATATACCCAGGTGTGCTCATATGGTAATTATGTCTAACTTGTTGAGGAACTGCCAAACTGTTTTCCACATCAGCTGCACCATTTCACATTCCTATTGCTAACTTATAAAGATTTCAATTTCCCCATATCCTCAACAACACTTGTTATTTTCCATTTTTTAATAATAGTCATCATAGTAAGTGTGAAGTGATAGCTTGGAGTTTTAATTTGTATGTCTCCATTGACTAATGATGTTGACATCTTTTCAAGTGCTTATTGGCCATTTGTTTATCTTCTTTGGAGAAATGTTTATTCAAGCCTTTTGTCCATTGTAAGATGGACAAAAATGGTTGTCTTTTTGTTGTTTGTTTACAACCATTTTGTTTTAAAATGTTTTGTCTTTTTGTTGTTGAATTGTAGAAGTTTTTTATATACTTTGGGTATTAAACCTTAACATATATACAATTCGCAAGTATTTTTCCTATTCTATAGGTTGTCTTTTCACTTTCTTGACAGTGTTCTTTGTTGCACAAAAATTTTTAATTTTGATGAAGTCCAATTTATATATTTATTCTTTTGTTGCTTATGCTTTTAAAGTCATATTAAGAATCCAGGCCAGATGCAGTGGCTCACGCCTATAATCCTAGTGCTTTGGGAGGCCAAGGGGGTGGAACACCTGAGGTTAAGAGTTCGAGACCAGCCTGGCCAACATGGTGAAACCCCGTCCCTACTAAAAATATCAAAATTAGCCAGGCATGGTTGTGGGCACCTGTAATCCCAGCTACTCGGGAGGCTGAGGTAGGAGAATTGCTTGAACCTGAGAGGCGGAGGTTGCAGTGAGCTGAGGTTGTGCCACTGCACTCCAGCCTGGGCAACAAGAGTGAAACTCCATCTCAAAAAAAAAAAAAGAACTCATTGCCAAATACAAAGTTGTAGCCCTATGTTTTCTTCTAAGAGTTTTATGGTTTTAGCACTTATGGTTAAGTTGTTGATGGATTTGGAGTTAATTTTGTATATGGTATGAGAGATAGAGGTCCAACCTCATTGTTTTGCATGTGGAAATTCAGAACCATTTGTTGAAGATGCTATCTTTTTCCATTGAATGGATTTGTTGCCATTATCAAAAATCAATTGGCCATATTACTATTTAATGGGTACAGATTTTCAGATTTGCAAGATGAAAAAAGTTCTGGAGATGGATGGTGAAGAATGCAAATGTATATAATGTCACTGTACTGTACACTTTAAAAGATGGTAAATTTTGGCCGGGTGCAGTGGCTCATGCCTGTAATCCCAACACTTTGGGAGGCCAAGGCGGGCGGATCATGAGGTCAGGAGTTTGAGACCAGCCTGACCAATATGGTGAAACCCCGAATACAAAAAAAAAAAAAATTAGCCGGGCGTGGTGGCACACACCTGTAGCCCCAGCCACTCAGGAGGCTGAGGCAGGAGAATCGCTTGAACCTGGGAGGTGGAGGTTGCAGTGAGCTGAGATCATGCCACTGCACTCCAGCCTGGGTGACAGAGTGAGACTCCATCTCACAAAAAAAGATGGTAAATTTTATGTTATGTGTATTTTAACACAATTGTTTCTGCTAATTTAATTTTATTTTTAAAATTTTTAAAAATACATTTGGGGGTGGGTACAAGTGCAGGTTTTTTTTTTTACATGGAGATAGTGCACAGTGGTGAAGTCTAGGCTTTTAGCATAACCATTACCAAAATAGTGTACACTGGACCACTAGATAATCCTCATCCCTCACCCTCCCCAACCCTCCCACCTTTCCAAGTCTCTAATGTCTATTATTCCACTATCTATGTTCATGTTATTACAATTTTTAAAACCCAATTGGCCATAGATGTATGGGTTTATTTATGGACTCTCAATTCTATCCCATTGGTCTGTGTGTCTATCCTTATGCTAATACCACAGTAGTTTTATTTCTGTAGCTTTGTAGTAACTTTTGATATCAGGAAGTATGAATAATCCAACTTTATTCTTTTTGTTCAGGATTGTTTTGGCTATTCAGGGCCCCTTGCAATTCCATATGAATTTGAGGATCATCTTTTCCATTTATGTGAAAAAAAAGATGTTGGAATTTTGATAGGGATTGTGCTGAATCTGTAGATAGCTTTAGGTAGTATTGCCATTGTAACAATATTATGTCTTCCAGTCCATGAACATTCCAGTCCATACTTAAGTCTTGTTTCTTTCATCAGTGTTGGTCATGTTCAGTTCAGGTAGATTCTTAAGCTATAGAGTTTTTCTTCCACTGCTTCAGTATGACACATTTTACATTAAAAAAAGAAAAAGAAAGAAATGTAACTTACAAGAAGGCAGCCAGTATTTTATTCATTTTGCTGACATTTACTCATGAGAAGATAAGACTTATAGACCACTCAGTATTAAACCAGCATTGATTGAGATTCTTTCTATTCTGAGCCCTGGGCTAGATCCTGGAAAGTCTCTGCTTTCCATAAGCAGCTAGTATAACTATCAGGTAGAAATCTAACTAGTGATGGTAAAATAAGAAATATTATAAAGCTTGTACAGAAAGCTGAGAAAACACAAAGGAAGCACAACTAAGTGCCCATGAGGGAGGCTGAGTTAGAAGATCTGTCAAATAGGAGGCTTTGAAAGTGGGGTGAGATTTTGCCAGTCAAAAAAGGAAAATAAGAGGAAGGGCATTTTGGGAAAAGGATGTGAATAAAAGGCGAGAAAAGGCATGTTCAAGAAATGCTAAAGAGGGCTACTGAGGGGTGTGTGTTTGTCTGGTGTGTGTCTGTCTGTATCAGTGTATCTTTGTGCCTGTGTGTATCCGTATATGTCGGTGTGTGAGATAGAGGATGGAAGGTGGGGAGAAATATGGAGATAACAGGGAGGTGGAAGTGCCTACATTGTCTGTGGTTAGTAAACCAGCCCATTCCTTTGAACACTTGTTTAAAAAAAAAAAAAAAAAGTTAGGGCACATATCGATTAACACATTCTTTTCAATAAATGATGATACGATTAAAAAGTAATGCTGTTGGGACAGTTTTAAAAATAGAATAAAATCTGTGGAGCAGATAATAGTACTGTATCGATGTATTTCTTTGTTTTGTTTTGTTTTGAGACGGAGTCTTCCTCTGCTGTCCATGCTGGAGTGCAGTGGCATGATCTCAGCTCACTGCAACCTCCATCCCCCAGGTTCAAGCGATTCTCATGTCTCAGCTTCCCAAGTAGCTGGGATTACAGGCATGTGCCACTACGCCCGGCTAATTTCTGTATTTTTAGTAGAGGCGGGGTTTCACCATATTGGATAGGCTGGTTTTGAACTCCTGACCTCAAGTGATCTGCCTGCCTCGACCACCAAAAGTGCTGGGATTTACAGGCATGAGCCACCGCACCTGGCCCTGTATCAACATTAATTCCCTGATTTTGATACTTATACTAAGGTTATGACAGAGGATGTTCTTCTTAGGAAATACAAGCTGAAATAATTAGGGAAAAGGGATGTCATAAATACAACTTACTTTTTAATGGTTCAGAAAAAATAATACATATATATAAAAACAGAGATAATTATAAAATAAATGTGGTAAAATGTTAACAATTGGAGAATCTGAGTGAAGGGTATAGTTTTTGTACTATTCTTGCAACTTTCTTATAAGTCTGGAATTAATTCCAAATAAAAATTACCAAAAATAAAAAGTACACTTTGGGAGGCCAAGGCGGATGGATCACCTGAGATCAGGGATTCAAGATCAGCCTGACCAACATGGAAAAACTCCGTCTCTACTAAAAATACAAAATTAGCCGGGCATGGTGGCGCATGCCTGTAATCCCAGGTACTCAGGAGGCTGAGGCAGGAGAACCACTTGAACCTGGGAGACGGAGGTTGTGGTGTGCTGAGATTGTGCCATTGCACTCCAGCCTGGGCAACAACAGCAAAACTCCATCTCAAAAAAAAAAAAAAAAAAAAAAAAAAAGTAGCACTGTTTCTTCTCTACAACATAAAGTTCTGGAAAAGAGTTAATGTTTTTAATTTAAAATGTTTTTATACCAATAGAAAACTGTCTGAAAGCACAACAAACTATTTCCCAATGACTACTTCTAAGGAGTAGGACTGGGAGAGATAAGAGGATTTAAAATTTTACTTTATATGTTTCTGTATTGTCTGAATATTTTATCTAGAGCATATATTAATTTTGTAATTAAAAATAAAACTAGAAAAGACATTAAAAAGAAAAAACCTGAAAGTGATCATTGATATTTTAAAAACTCCATTCTATTATGTTTTAATAGGGATAGAGTGGTAAGAAAAGATATGTTTAAAGTAAAAACAATACATATTTTATAAACATACACAAAGATCAACAAATATATGCCATTATAGAAATAATGGTTGCCACTTACTGAGAATGATTTTTTATGTTCCTGAGAAGGTTTTTTCAGAAACTGAGAGCTTGAAAATCTTACCACACAGTGCTTCATTAGTAAAGCAAATCAAAGAAACTCTCTTAATTTGAGCAAAAAGCCCACATCTTCATCTTAATTACTGCCTACATTTTGCTGAAGCTAAGGTTGTTTTTGTTCAGGATGACTTCTGTGGGCTGACAAAAAAAATTACAGCCTGTTGTAGTTTCCCTAGACCATTACCATGATCACACAGAATTAAGCTTTCATTAAAATCATGCACTTAAAAGAAAGGGGTGGGGAGAGAGGGGGGGGGAGGGGAGAGAGAGAGAGAGAGAGAAAGTACCATTTATTCTGCATGTGAATGAAAAGAGAAATATAAAAATGACACCAATCAACCAGTACTCAATCTCCTGGCCCTGGCCCCAGAATAGAAGACCACAAAGTCACGCTTTCCCTAGAGTTGACATGAACCCTTTCCCTAGGGTTCACTTAAAACAGAAGTGATGCTAATAAAGAATCCTAAACAAAGGCCATGGATTCATGCCATCTTTCCAGTTTGGGAGAGGGCCAGAAGAGTCAGGTAAAGTTAGGCATTAACCGATGAGACAGATCTAATGCCAATCTCGGAAGCTTCAGGTGGCCAGGGCTCATCCCTTTTATACTGTTTTATACCGTTGTCTCCCAACTCATTCCTACCACCTCTGTACACCATTGTCCTTGTCCCTCTGCCTCGAGGATGTAGGTGCAGAAGCAAAGCCTTGTCTGTTAGTTCCTGGCTTGACTAATCTATCTTACTGGTGATCCATTCAATAAATGAGAAACATTATTCTGGCTGGGTCCTTTTGTATCTAAGTATAATATTATCTTTTGACTGTATATATTTTTGAACTAAAATAGGCTTATATAAACTCTGAACATAAATATGACCTAGGGTTTTTTTCTTTAATAAAAGGAGAAAAAAACTATAGAAGAAATCTTCAATCACAGACTGAAATTACTTCAATTTTTTAAAATTCCAAATTCCAAATTTTAATGATCACAAATATATCTTTTAAGATATATACTCTACAGCTTAAATTTATTAAAAAATTATTTAGTGCCACTATTATGTTGACTAGAACCTATCCACAAGCCGGTTGCAGTGGTGCACACCTGTAGTTGCAGCTACTCAGGAGGCTGAAGCTGGAGGATTGCTTGAGCCCAAGAGTTCAAGGCCAGCCTGGGCAACATAGCAAGACCCCATCATTTAAATGAAAAATTACCCTGCCTTTAAGAGCCTTATACTCTAACAACTCTAACTATTTTCTTGACTTTTAAAAAGAGGACAGGCTGGGCATGGTGACTCACCCCTGTAATCCCAGCACTTTGGGAGGCAGAGGCCAGCTGATCACCAGGTCAGGAGTTCAAGACCAGCCTGGCCACCATGGTGAAACCCTGTCTCTACTAAAAATACAAAAATTACCCGGGTATGGTGGCACGTGCCTGTAGTCCCAGCTACTTGGGAGGCTGAGGCAGGAGAATCACTTGAACCCAGGAGGCGGAGGTTGCAGTGAGCCAAGACTGTACCATTGCACCCCAGTCTGGGCAACAGGGTAAGACTCCGTCTCAAAAAAAAAAAAAAAAAAAAGAAAAGAAAGAAAAAAAAAGGGGGCAATAAGAAATCACCTAAATATACCATATCATTCTATCAGTTAGATAATAGATTCTTTGGGGCAAGTTTGCTGAATGACACCCCAAAAATAATAGAAACTTATCATGTTGGTCCATTATGTCTGCCATGACAAAATACCATACTGACTTACAAACAAGAGATTATATACAATTAACAAACTTACACACGTACTCCATAAATTTGTAAAAATAAAAAATATATTTAAAGACTTTTTAAAGACTTCCAAGAAACATGTGACCACTTTTCTGAATTAAATCCCTTATGAAATTTCAAAAAAAAAAAAAGAGAAATGTATTTCTCACAGTTCTGGAGGCTGAGAAATCCAAGATCAAGACATCAACAGATTCATTGTCTGGTGAGGGTGCTCCTTACAGATGGCCATCTTTTCACTGTGTCCTCACATGACAGAAGGGGTGAGCTAGGTCTCTGGGGCCCCTTGTATACAGGCAGTAATATCAATCGCCTCTCAAAGGCCCCACTTCCTAATACCATCACCTTGGGGGTGAGATTTCAACACATGAATTTTGGAGGGAACATAAACATTTGGTCCATTGCACTTGCTTTCAAATCGTCTTGTGTTGGTGGAATACATTCAAATTCATATTGAACTACACTGCATGTATGTAGCCATTTTGTATTTTGTTCTGCCCTGATGTCACTTTATTTTAGCAACATTTAATTTGTGAACCAGAATAAATATTGAAAAAGAATATCTTCATTGAAATATTGCAAAGCAACAGAAACAAATTCTGAGTAATGACAACAAAAAGAGGCTCATTTGTTTATTTTTCTCTACTTTTTTTTTTTTTTGAGACAGGGTCTCTCTCTGGGAGCTAGAATCCAGTTGGGCAATCTCCGCTCACCACAACCTCCGCCTCCCAGGCTCAAGCGATTCTCCTGCCTCAGCCTCCCAAGTAGCTGGGATTACAGGCACGTGCCACTACCACCCGGCTAATTTTTGTATTTTTAGTAGAGACAGGAGTTTCACCATGTTGGCCAGGCTGGTCTGCAACTCCTGACCTCAAATGATCTACCCGCCTCCGCCTCCCAAAGTGCTGGGATTACAGACGTGAGCCACGGCTCCCGGCTGATAATTAGATCTTGATAGAATTTTAGAGTAACATTTTTTAAAATTGTAACTACATCCCACAACTAAGTTACCATTTTTTTAAAGCTGGGTTTCTGTATTCTTTCTTGCTAAAAATATCACCAAGGTGAGTCAGAAATTTAAACATAAATATATGACACCAAGAATGTACCAGAAATAATGAATAAGTATTTTTATAGCCTTGCATTACAGAAGTGTTTTCTAAATATTACAGTTATTTCAGAAGCCATACAAAGAATAACCAATTAGTTCATACAGAATTGAAATTCTAGCTGGGTATGGTGGCATGAGCTTATAGTCTCAGCTACTCGGGAGGCTAAGGTGGGAGGATCTCTTGAGACCAGGAGTTCTGGGCTGCAGTGCGCTATGCCATTGGGGTGTCCACACTGAGTGTGGCATCACTATGGCGACCTCCAGGAGTGGAGGCCCACCAAGTTGCCTAAGGAGGGGTGAAACAGGTTGAAAACAGAGGAGATCAAAACACCCATGCTGATCAGTAGTGGGATTGCACCCGTGAATAGTCACTACACTCCAGCCTGCAGCAACACAGCAGACCCCATCTCATTTAAGAAAAACAAAATAAGATTCTGAAGGGTAAAAGTTACTTTAAATAGAGTTGAAAGAAGAAGCAGGAAAAATATTTGTAACAAACATGACACAAAAGAGGTGATTTATTTCATAAATAAAGGGCTCTTATAAATCAAATAAAAGCAGTCAAAAAATCAAAGTGGGACAAGGGGATGAGGAGGCCATTTCCATTACCTGTCATCCATTCTTTGATAAGAACAACGAACAATAGACCTTTTCTCAATCTTATGTAAACTATGGCACAATCACAATTTTAAGGCAAGGTCCTTAGCTTTACCCTTTCCAACAAGGTTGCTTATCTTAAACTCTTTCTGTATAGAAATTCCGGTGTTGCCACTAAAAAGAAGACACTCAATTCAACAGAATAATGGGCAAAGAACATAAGTAGGCAATATAAAACAATCACATAAAAATATATTCAACCCCAGTCATCGTTACAGAAAGTTACATTAAGATAATAATGTGATATCATTTCCCATCTATCAAATGAGTAAAGATTTAAGACTGAAGTTACCCTGTGTTAGAGAAAGTTAGGCAAATGGGCATTCTTATTTATTATTGGTGGGAGTGTAAACTGGTACAACTTTAGGGCTGCATTTAATATATATATACAAAAATATATAGGGGTGTGTGTGTGTGTGTGTGTGTGTGTGTCTGTGTGTGTATGTCTCCTTTACCCAGCAATTCCACTTTTAGAAATTTATCTTATAGATATACTTGTATATACATACTATAAGTATATATGCATACTATAATGTATCTTATAGAAATACTTGCATATACAAGTACACAAAGACTACATATGTATGTATACGTTATATATGTGTGTGTGTATGTGTGTGCGTGTGTGTGTGTGTGTATATATATATATATATATATATATATATATATATATATATATATATATATTTTTTTTTAAGAATGTTCATTGTGGCCGGGCGCGGTGGCTCACGCCTGTAATCCCAGCACTTTGGGAGGCCGAGGCGGGCGGATCACGAGGTCAGGAGATCGAGACCATCCTGGCTAACACGGTGAAACCCCGTCTCTACTAAAAATACAAAAAAATAGCCGGGCGTGGTAGCGGGCGCCTGTAGTCCCAGCTACTGGGGAGGGTGAGGCAGGAGAATGGCGTGAACCCGGGAGGCGGAGCTTGCAGTGAGCCGAGATCGCGCCACTGCACTCCAGCCTGGGCGACAGAGCGAGACTCCGTCTCAAGAAAAAAAAAAAAAAAGAATGTTCATTGTAGGACAGATGCGGCGGCTCACATCAGTAATCCTAGCACTTTGGGTGGCTGAGCCAGGAGGATCACTTGAGGCATTCGAGACCAGCCTGGGCAAAATATAGTGGGACTCCATCTCTGCAAAAAAAGTTTGTTTTTGTTTTTGTTTTTTTTTTTGAGATGGAGTCTTGCTCTGTCACCCAGGCTAGAGTGCAATGGCGCCATCTCAGCTCACTGCAACCTCCACCTCCCAGGTTCAAGCGATTCTCCTGCCTCAGCCTCCCAAGTAGCTGGGATTACAGGCGCCACGCCTGGCTAATCTTTGTATTTTTAGTAGAGACGGGGTTTCACCCTGTTGGCCAGGCTGGTCTCGAACTCCTGACCCCAGGTGATCCACCCGCCTCGGCCTCCCAAAGTGCTGGGATTAGAGGCATGAGCCACCATGCCCGGCCATTTTTGTTGTTGTTGTTGTTTGTTTTTTGAGACGGAGTCTTGTACTGTCGCCCAGGCTGGAATGCAATGGCGCGATCTCAGCTCATTGCAACCTCCACCTCCTGGGTTCAAGTGATTCTCCTGCCTCAGCCTCCCAAGTAGTTGGGATTACAGGCGCCCACCACCTTGCCCAGTTAATTTTTTGTATTTTTAGTAGAGGCGGGTTTTCACTGTGTTGGCCAGGCTGGTCTTGAACTCCTGACCTCGTGATCCGCCCGCCTCAGCCTCCCAAAGTGCTGGGATTATAGGCGTGAGCCACCACACCTGGCCCAAAAAAAGTTTTAAATTAGCCTGGCGTGGCTGGGCGCGGTGGCTCACACCTGTAATCCCAGCACTTTGGGAGGCCGAGGCAGGCAGATCGCCTGACGTCGGGAGTCTGAGACCAGCCTGACCAACATGGAGAAACCCCGTCTCTACTAAAAATACAAAAAAAAAAAAAAAAAAAAAAAATTAGCCGGGCATAGTGGTGCACGCCTGTAAATCCCAGCTACTCAGGAGGCTAAGGTAGGAGAATCTCTTGAACCTGGGAGGTGGAGGTTGCAGTGAGCCGAGACAGTCCCACTGCACCCCAGCCTGGGCAACAAGAGCGAAACTCCATTTAAAAAATATATATATATAGCCTGGCGTGGTGGCATGTGCCTAGCTACTTGGGAGGCTGAGGTGGGAGGATCACTTGAGACCAGGAGTTTGAGGATGCAGTGATCCAGCCTGAGTGACAGAGCTAATCTCTGTCAAAAAAAAAAAAAAATTCACTGTGGTTTTTGATAATAGAGAAAAACTAAAAATAATCTAAGTCACTAAAAGGACTCTGCTAAAAAAAAATAATAATACATCCATGAATCCATGAAAACTATGGCTATTAAAAAGGAAGAGGTGAGAGAATATATATAGACTTAATTTGATTTTTTAAGGTAACTTCAGTGAAAAAAAATAAGTTTTAGAAGCAATTATCACATTCATGTAAAATAATGTGTGAGTTTGTACACATAGAAAATATCCAAAATGTGAGAGTGGTGAGCTACATGGAGTCATATTGAAGGAGCAGAGGACTGTATTGGGGAAAGGACACATTTTACTTGATATACTTCTGTGCAATATGAATATTTTTCCAAAGAAAAAAGTTAATAAGATGTGTTTTTATCCTATGTATGAAAAATGCTTGAATATTGTCAAAAACTACAAAGCCTGTTTGAACTTTTCTAGAAAAATTAAATTATACTTTGGAGGAAAAAATTATTTATGCTTTAAAATCAAAACATTTGCCAACTTTATTTAGACATTTTTTAATGTCCTCTTTGCCAAACTAGAAATAAACACTGAATCATAGTTAAGTGATAAAATTAGAAAGAAATGCTACCCTAGGATGATATGTTTAGTGATATATTTGTACAGTGATAGACGTTGATGGGTAAGTACAAAAGAAAACTACAACTGAGAAGAAGTGTGTGGCATTAATCAACATGAGACCCAGTGAAATAACTCAATTCTTGTCAGTTTTCTTCCTGATTGCCTTCTCTCACATGCAAAAGGGAGTATCATCCAAAAATTAAAGTATTTCTCTCCAGGCCATTTGAAACTAGATGCTAATTACTTTGTTTTTTTAGAGACAGGGTCTCACTATGTTGCCCAGACTGGTCTGGAACTCTTGGCCTCAATCACTCCTCCTGTCTCAGCCTCCCAAGGGGCTGGGATTACAGACATGAGCCACTGCATGTGCCTGGCCATGCTAATTGTTTTTTATAAGGCAGCTGACAAAAGTCATGTTAAAAACCAGAACAAAGAAAGGATCAAGGGAATTACTCTCTTATAGTTTACTAGGATAGACCTCAATGTAATGAACTTTGTAGGCAGTTTACTGTGCAGTGGTAATTTAGGGCAACAAGTCTGGATCTCTCCTCTGAAGGTTAGTTGGCTGGTCTTCTTTATAAACAAGGGGGAAAATTACAGACTCTGTTTTACTCATTCATTATATGCTTAATTCATTCATTGTTCTATGCATCATTGATCGATTTTTTTTAAAATTTATTGAATACTTTGTATGTTCAGCTCTGAGAATAAGAAGTTAAAACACCATCCTTAGACTCAAATATTTGGAAGACCAAGGGTGGATAAGAAAAGAGGAAAATTACAAAACAAAGTAATAAAAGGTTTGTACAGAAAGTGAAGGGAACCCAAAGGAGAAGCACTAGTAAAAATTGGAGGGCCAGGGAAGACTTCCTAACAAAGGGAATGTCTGAACTGAGTCCTGAAGGATGAAGGTGTTCCAGATAGGGAGAGGGAACAGTGTGCTAAGTCATAGGGGCGAACTGAAAAAACACACACATTTTGGGAAATACTCATAGTTCACTACTATGTTAGCAGAGTTCTAAGAGGGGAATGGTAAGGCCAGGGAGAGATGAGCAGGGGTCAGGTCATGAGGGACTTTGTTTGTCATACTGAGAGATCTGGAATTCATTTGGAATTTGTCCTGATGATTATGGGTTTTAAGCAGGAAGATGACATGATGAGGGCTGGGTTTTAGAAAGATGTCTTGGGCAGCAGTGTAAAGAAATAAAACTAGGTGAGAAATATGAAGGGATAGTATGATACTTAAAGGCAGGAAAATTAGTGAGGAAGCAGTTGCAGTAACATAGGAAGGAGATGCTGAGGGCTTTTACTTTGTAGAGGACATACCAAATAGCAGATGAAGATGCTGGTTCTTTGACTAAACTCTGATGCGCTGGGAAAGACAATCAAGTCAGGGACTGAGGCAGTTTATAGAATCCTTTCTCAGCGATGGCTAGGGCCTTGGCAGCAAGGCCTAGGACAAGGAGTGGTCCTTGGTATACAAGCTGGGCCACCTGGCCAAGGCCATGGAAATTACTTCCTTGGAGGGGATCTCTTTCTGCTTATCAAGGAGTCTGAGGGGTTTATTTCCCCCCTCTCCTAGGGCAATCACTCAAGGTCCTGAAGAAGATCCAGGCTGAAGGCATTTGTGGCCATTGGGTTGATGTGGCAGTCTATTTTTTTTTTTTTTTTTTTTGAGACAGAGTCTCGCTCTGTCACCCAGGCTGGAGTGCAGTGGCGCTATCTCCTCTCACTGCAAGCTTCGCGTCCCAGGTTCACGCCATTCACCTGCCTCAGCCTCCCGAGTAGCTGGGACTATAGGCACCCGCCACCACACCCAGCTAATTTTTTGTATTTTTAGTAGAAACAGGGTTTCCCTGTGTTAGCCAGGATGGTCTCAATCTCCTGACCTCGTGATCTGCCCACCTCGGCCTCCCAAAGTGCTGGGATTACAGGTGTGAGCCACCGTGCCCGGCCAGATGTGGCAGTCTAGCTGCTTCATGGAAGTCAATGGTGCCATCATCTTGACCAAGATAGCTTAATTCCTGTGAATTGTGCTAGGAGAACAAGATTAACAAGCACTTCATGCTTGCCAGGTGATACTCTCTTTTAAGGTGACAGGGTGCTGGGTCTCATTAGGGATGCATCTTACTCTTGCCCCTAAATGAAGTGACATTATCTCTCTGTTCTTGTGCCTAAGAGACTTCTGCTGATTACTGACATCAATAACTGCTATACTTCTGCCAGGAACTGCACTCCTACTTGGACAACTTGGCTAAAGTCATCTTTGATGCCATCTCCAAATCCTACAGGCTATCTGACCCCTGAACTCTGGAAAAAGACAATATTCACCAAACCTCCCTCTCACAGATTTACTGATCATAAAGACTCAAGTGACAATGCAAAGAACCTAAAATCTTTGTATGGCTACCATGCTGTGTTCATATACAAGTAAAATTCAAGAGAGAGTGGGAAAGAAAGATGATGAAGGCCTGAACTAATGTAGTAGTAGTAAGGATGGAGAGAAGGGGCTATGATCTGAAGGTTTATGTCCCCTCAGATTCATGCATTGAAATCCAAACCCCCAAGGTGATGGTATTAAAAGGTGGTACCTTTTGGGAGGTGATTAGGTCATGAAGGCAGAGCTCTCATGAATAAGATTAGTTCCCCAATTTTGAGAAAGAAAAAAAAAAGCCCCAGGGAGCTGCCTTGCCCCTTCCACCATGTGAGGTTGCAGTGAGAAGGCACAATTCAGTGAACTAGGGAGTGGGCCTTCACTAGACACCTTGATCTTCGACTTCCAAGCCTCCAGAACTATGAGAAATAAGTTTCTGTTTTGCATAAGATACCTAGTTTACGGCATTTTATTATAGCAGCGTGAACAGACTAAGACAAATGATAATAGACCCAAGATGTACGAGAAGGAAAAATCATAGGACTTCGTAACTGATGGAAAATGGGAAGTAAAAGGAAAGAAGGAGTTGAGAAGAACTATTTCTGGTTTCCAGCCTAGGCTCCTGAAAGATCTTTCATAGTGATTGGAAAAAAAAATGTAGGCTATGGGGACACTTTTCAAAGGATTATGAGTAGTTAAGTTTTGGACATGTTGAGTTTAAGGTGGTTGTGGGATCTCCACAAAGAATGTGTCTGTGTTTTGTTGGATAATAAAGTTTTAAGCTCAGGCAACATATCTGAGCTGAAGTTACAGCCTGTGTGAGAGTGGAGTTGGGCATGAGTATATGATAGTAAATGAAGCCATGAAAGAGAATAAGATAACTGAGGAAGCAAGTGTGGAGATGAGAAAAGAAGTGATCCCAAGACAAAATGGTAGAGAACAGTATATTAACATATTAAGAGATAGAATAGTAGACAACTCCAAAGAAATATCTATAAAATATGTGATAAACCAAAAAAGAGTAACGTTGTAGAAGCTAAGGGAAGAGAAAGTTTCAAGGAGAGAGCAGTCAACAGTTTGAAAATTTACAGAGAAGTCAAATAGGCTAAACACTGACCTATGTCCATTGGATTTAACAAACAAAGAAGAAACTGATGTGGTTGGCAAGAGCAATATTGGTCAAGTGGCAAAATCCAGACTGCAATAGGTTAAGGAATGATGGGAAGAAAGAAAGATGAGGCAATGAATGTAGACAACTCTTTCACAAAGATCAAATAGAAAAGAGATAGGGTGGCATCTAGAGGGGAAGATAAGGCTAAGGGAGGATTTTCTTTTTTTAAAAGATGCTGGTGAGAAACAGAAGGAGGCAGGTATAACTGAGGAAGCATGGCCACTGAGAAGGTGTGAGGGATGAGGCCCAGAGCTCAAGTGCAGGGATTGGCTCTGAATTGAAGAAGAGAAGCCTCTTCCCCTAGGATAATGAGAAGGACTTTCAAACATTTCTAAAAGACATGCACCCCACATCAACAATTTTTTTTTTTTTTGAGACGAAATCTCGCTCTTGTCACCTAGGCTGGAGTGCAATTGCGCAATCTCGGGTCACTGCAACCTCCATCTTCCAGGTTCAAGCGATTTTCCTGCCTCAGCCTCCCAAGTAGCTGGGATTACAGGCGCCTACCACCATGCCCGGCTAATTTTTGAATTTTTAGTAGAGATGGGGTTTCACCATGTTGGCCAGGCTGGTCTTTAACTCCTGACCTCAGGCCATCCGCCCGCCTCGGCCTCCCAAAGTGCTGGGATTACAGGCATGAGCCATCACGCCCAGCCCACGCCAACGATTTTTTATACAAAGCTTCTTGGTACTGGAGTTCCAAGTCAGGCATTTGGAACATTGTAAGATGTGACAAGCAAATCTTCTTTCTGGACTACACCACTCCACTAGCTTTGATCACTGCCACATCTCATACACTCAAAAATATCAAAAGTGAAAAATAAGATTTTAGAGCTGATTTGATTTTTATAAAAAACAACTTTGTTGACATATACTTTAAATATCATAAAATTCACCGGTTTTAAACATACAATTCAATGATTTTTAGTAAATTTACCGAGTTATACAACCATCACCATAATCCAGTTTTAGAACATGCCTATAACCCCACTAAGATCCCTAATGTCCACTTAGAATTAATGCCCATTCTCATTCCTGGCCCTAAGAAACTCTACTTTTTATCTGTATAGATTTGCCTTTTGTGGACAGCTCCTATAAATTGAATCATATATTATCTTCTGTATCTGGTGTCTTTCATTCAACATAATGATTTTGACATTCATCCAATGTCGTAGGGTATTTCAGCAGTTTGTTCCTTTTTGTTGCTGAATTGCTGAATAATATTCCATTGTATGGCTGTACCACATTGTCTTTATCCACTTTTCAGTTGAGGAACATATGCTGCTCTGCTTTTGCCTCCACCCTTGTCCCTGAATTACAGGGCATAGACTGACAGTTTTCTCTTTCCCTCTCGTGATGCCTGCTGACAGCGTTAGACAATACGGCAAATTATTTTCCGTAAGGATGTGTGACTAGGCTTTACCAATCTTTAACGACAAGTGAGAATATAGACATCATGGTAAGACTCAATCATTAGAGCAGTGCCTCTGAAATATTTCCAAACGACAGACGACTGTGGCAGAACCCTACATGCCATGGGATATATACCTCACACACTCCCAGTTGTTGCCACTACGGAAAACAGTACCACAAAATAGGAACAACAGCAATGACAATGATGACCACAACAAAACCTCCCGGAAAATAATGGGGAAAATTGGGTTCTTTTAGGTATGCTCTTCTTGGACAACCCCAATGAGAAAAATCACATCAAAATTTCTTATACCAAAATAGTAATGAAAATGTTATCCTGATATAAATATTGGCTGATACACACTGATGCCTATGGACAACAAACAATCCTCTCAGAACATACTTTGAGTACTGCTGTTCTACCCTACATAGTGTACTTGAAGGTAAGGATTATTATAAAGTGAATATATATCCCAACATGTGAGTCAGACTTGTTAGTCACATATTTTGTTTTTTAACCTTAATTTTTAATTTTTTTATTTTTATTATTCTTTTTACTTTTTTAAAAAAAGCTTTAACTTTTTCTTTTGTTGTATTCTTTTTTGATTATATATTTCCAGAGGTGAGTGCATTTTTTAACTTATTTTTAAATACATAAACATATAGATACTAGTGTAATAAACCCCCAAATAGCCATCACCCAGGCCAACAGCCATCAACCTATGGCCCATCTGCCCCATCTGCAAACTCACTAACCTCTCTCTCCACATTATTTTGAAGTAAATCTCAGGCATGATATCATTTTCCCATAAATATTTCATCATGCAATTCTAAAAGAGAGTTCTTTCCTAATAATATAACCATAATACCATTATCACATCTAAAATATTTTAACAGTATTTGCTTAGTACAAAATTTGCAATCAGTGTTTCTGTTACTTGAATTTCTTTCTTGGAGAAATAAACCCTATTGGTAAAATGACCTCTGTCTGATAAGGCCTTTGAAAAGAAGGGCTCAATGCATGTCCTGATAGAGTGTACATGATAACATTTCTTTACATCTAAATCATCTAAGTAATCTTTTCAGGCTGGGATTGAAAGGACTGAAGGGAATATAAAAATAAGCTTGGAAAACGTATGCCATATGGACATTAAAGGATTACTCCCTTCTTTCTGGCTATGAAATGACTAATTAACTATTTGCAGCTGAAATGTGTGGGATCGTTTTCAGAAAATGGAATATCCTTCTCTCACTGAGCATATTGATCAGAGACATAATCTAGACTGTCTGGGAATACTTTTTCTGTAGCAGAACAAATCACACCCTTCAATGCACTGTTTAATTTTAGATATATCTTGTCACATTTATTTAAATGGTTTGGCTCCAGATTTTTTTTTCCCTTTAGGAGTGCCTGATGAACACATGTATAATTTAGCTGTCATTTTTTTTTTTCAGAAGGCAATGTGGGGTAATAGGAAGAGCAAGTCCAAATTTTGTCACACACTAGCAGTATGACCTCATACAAGTTACTTAACCTCTATGAGCAGGAGATTTTTTTCATATGTTGATAAATAAAGATTTGCAAGGATTAACTGAGATACCAGACTTAGCACTCTGCCAGCACACACTAGACAAGAAATCATTGCTGGATGGGCATGGTGGCTCATGCCAGTAATCCTAGCACTTTGGGAGTCTGAGGCGGGCGGACCACTGGAGGCCAGGAGTTTGAGACCAGCCTGGCCAACATGACGAAACCGCGTCTCTACTAAAAATACAAAAATTAGCTGGGAGCGGTGGCACACATCTGTAATCCCAGCTACTCGGGTCACTGAGGCAAGAGAAGCACTTGAACCTGGGACGCGGAGGTTGCAGTGAGCCGAGACTGCACTCCAGCCTGGGCAACAGAGCGAGACTCTGTCACAGAAAGAGAGAGAGAGGGAGAGAGGGACAGGGGGAGAGAGGGAGAGGGGGAGGGAGGGAGGGAAGGAAGGAAGGAGGGAAGGAAGGAAGGAAGGAAGGAGAGAGAAAGAAAGGAAAGAAAGAAGGGAAAGAAAGAAAGAAAGAAAGAAAGAAAGAAAGAAAGAAAGAAAGAAAGAAAGAAAGAAAGAAAGAGAGAAATCATTGCTTTTGTTAACAAAATAGGAATTTTCTATAATAAATATGTATAATTTGGCCAAGCACGGTGGCTCATGCCTGTAATCCCAGAACTTTGGGAGGCCAAGGCGGGTGGATCACTTGAGGTCAGGAGTTACAGACCAGCCTGTCCAACATGGTGAAACCCCATCTCTACTAAAACTATAAAAATTGGCCGGGCACGGTGGCTCACGCCTGTTATCCCAGCACTTTGGGAGATCGAGACCATCCTGGCTAACATGGTGAAACCCCGTCTCTACTAAAAATACAAAAAAATTAGCCAGGCGTGGTGGTGGGCGCCTGTAGTCCCAGCTACTCGGGAGGCTGAGGCAGGAGAATGGCGTGAACCCAGGTGGCGGAGCTTGCAGTGAGCAGAGATAGCGCTACTGCACTCCAGCCTGGGCGACAGAGCGAGACTCTGTCTCAAAAAAAAAAAAAAAATTAGCTGGGCGTGGTGGCACACGCTTGTAATCCCAGCTACTCAGGAGGCTGAGGCAGGAGAATCACTTGAACCCAGGAGGCAGAGGTTGCAGTGAGCTGAGATTGCGCCACTGCACTCCAACCTGGGCAACAAAGCCAGACTCCCTCTCAAAAAAAGTGTAATTTATTAAAAGTTCCCTATCAATAGATTTTTTTCTTTAACAGTATGTCCTACTGATGCCTCAACAAGACCATAATGTTACTATGCATGGGTCAAATATCTAAGGAATAATGTTCTTTCCATCATTGCCTTGAATGTAAACAAGAACTTAGAGTAACAGAACTATAATTGACATTCTCAAATCATTCTACTTCTAAACATTTTTTAAAAATCAGATCAACCTAAGCATTTTTATTTATAAAATATCAAACTTACCTGGTTGAGACTAACAGAAGAAAATGACTAGAAAAAACAAAAAAGCCTCATTCTCTCATCTTAGCAACAATATAAAAAAATTAAATCGTTAGGGTCAATTCCACATCTGATGCTGGCCTGAGGTACAAATGTGGAGAAACAAGAAAACTTCCATTTTTGTCCATCCATTGGCAGGCACAGCATGAAAATCATTTATAGTAGAATATTAGTGAAATAGAATGCTAGGTCGTCAGCAAATGAATACTTTATGCTTCATGAATGGTTTATAAAAAGCTTTATTAAATATTTTAGCCAATTTTCTCTCCCTTTACAAGTAGAAATATGTGTGGGTAACTGATTCTGTGATTGATGGTTCAAGATTTTGTCATACCTTGTAGTTGGCAATACATTTTCATTGTCTGGTTCTACAGAAATTAAGAGCCTAATAAATCAGCCTGAATGTGTCCTGACCTTAACATAGTTCCTGGTACTTTTCTCTGGTGAATTACTTCTCTTTCTTAGAAGAGGACACACTACCATAATTCCAGCTGCTTGTGGGCTCTAGCTCATTATTTGGAGTTTTATTACAATGTGTTATAAGCATTCATGAAATGTGGCATGAAATTTTCTTTAAGAGGTTAGCTTCAAAACCACTATTGTGGTCAATCACATAGATGGATAGCTAAATGCTCAGACTCTAAAGTAGTTTCTTACTATCCCTTGCCAATTGGCTGCAAGGTGAGCTGAGAACCGTTCAGCTGATCACATTTTCATGCTACTGTTATCTATTCAAAAAAACTACTAAGTGCCTAGTCCATACTCAGTCCTCTCTAGGTGTTGGCCTGTAAAGTTTGTAATCTCAGAGTGAAGACACAGTAAATAAAGGACTACTTTACAGTAATAGGTGCTAGTCATTTATCAAATATTTATCCAGAACCTACAATGTGCAGGTGCTGTGTTGGGCACTGGGGATACAATAGCAAACTAAGCAGAAAAAGATCCCTGCCCTCCTGGATCTTGTGTTTTAATGTGCTATAATATGCACAGGGCGCTGTGAAAGGCCAGATGAAGATCTAAAGTAGATTAACATAGGCCAGAGGTCAGAGAAGGCTTTTCAAAGGAGGTTATACTTCCGCAGAATTTGGAAAGACAAAAAGGAAAGCAGCTAGATAAAGAAGACATTCTAGGCACAATATAGGAAGTGTGAAGTAGCAGGATACATTTGGGAAACTACTGGTTGGCTGATACAGCAGCTGCTTTATCTGAGAACTGCAGAGTGTCATTGAAATATTTTAAGTGAAGAGTGTCATGATTATGTTTGCATTTTAGAGTGCTCACTCTGCCTGCAGTATAGACAGTGGACTGTGGACAGGCCAGAGACCAATTAAACAGCTGGTGACACATTTCTGATTGCAGAGAGTTAGAATCTACAGGACTTTGCAACTCATTAGGACAGGAAAAGATGGAAGGAGAGGGATCTAGGTGACTCTGGTTATAAAATAAACTTCTAGCAATAAATGCAACTACTTGGGTCACTGATGCTGATGAAAATTCTTCTTCATCAACCAAACATTAGAGGGATTTTATAGCTCATTCAGAAACCTAAGATTAGGTCACCTTCCCAGCCGCTCTGGACCCAAAATCAGTTTCTGAGTTAAAGAAGCTGAGTATTCTTGGAGGCAGTGATCATTAGCTCTGAGGAGGGCTTTGGTGACTAAGAACGAGCAGTTTATCAACATGGGCTCCCAGGACTCATTATTATCTTCATTTAGGTTAGGCAGTACAGTAGGAATGGAGTAAAATAGGCTGTGTATGAGAGAAAAGGACAGAGGCAGCTTAGGGCTTCCATTGTTTCAGCCTGTCCATCATCTATTCCCGTTGCTTCTAAGAAAAATACCCTGGTTTTCTGCTGAGAAACCACATTTCCCCCACTTTTTGTCCTTTAGTTCTCACAGGGCAGAGCCCACCTCAGCAATGGGCAGAAGACCTGGCTGATAAGAGTATCTCATTTTCCTGCTCATGGTTCAAGTATGAACATGGACTGAGGCAGGGCCAGTCAGCACCAGAAGTGCTGGAATTTTAAAAAGAGAAGCTTTCTCTCTTGGATATGGCTATAATGGTTGGTATATATCTGTAATTTCTGGGAGCGACATTGCCCTCACAAGGAGAAAGGCTGCCTGAGAATGAAGCCGACCTAGAGGAAAACAGAAAGATGGAAATATTCTGATCGCACTGTTAGCACAGGATCCAGCCATGCCTGATGCCCCATTCTATTTCAGGATTTTCAGTTAAGCAAGCCAGTTTTGAGTTAGGTTTCTGTTCCATGCAATGGAAGGAGTCCTTTTTTGCCTCACAGATGGCAAGAAGATAATTCTTTTTCCTATATTTTGTGAACTAGTACTATTTTTTTCTACCTTCTCCTTTTTTCTCTTCCCTTTCCTCCTTCTTTTCTCTACACAAGAATATGTGAACTCTTCGAAGGGCAGGAGAGGGTATTAACATTGATCTCCTAGCCACTTACAGCCCAATAGTTTCTCTAGTCCACATCCTGACACCTCATAGGGCAAAGGTCTAATGGGTTATCCTCCCACAATAAGGTTTTTGAGCCAAAATAAACTAGTTATTTCCTTATAATAGACTGTTCTCTAACCCAGAAGATAGTTTCAAAACAAACGATGCCATTAAATACATGTTTTGTTGACTAGTTACTATGACAATCTACTACAAAGAATTGCAATTCTTTGTGTCTGTGCTTCTTCACTGTGTGAATTCACTCCCCTTTCCAACAATTAAATGGAGTCTATTTCCCCACCCTAGAACCTAAGCTGGGCTTGTGACTTCCTTTAACTAATAGCCTGAGACAGAAGTGATGTTGTGTGACTTCCAAGGCTAGGCCTTAAGCAACCTTGCCACTTCAGCTTTCAGGGTTTTGGTATGCTTCTGTTATCAATTAAATAAAACTGGTTTCATGTTCAAGAGGGTAGGAGGTCACAAAGAGAGAGGGGCTTCACTGAAAGCCACCACCATCTGCCAGACACGTGACTGAGGCCTTCTTGGACCAGCCAGTCCCCAGCTGACCTGTTAACTGACTGCAAACACATAAAAGCCTAGCTGACACCATGTGGAATCTAAGAACTACCTGTTTTAGCCCAGCCAAATTATCAAAATCATGAGCAGATAAGTGGTGGTTGCTTTAAGCCACTAAATTTTGGGAAAATTTGTTAGGCAGCAATAGATAACTGACACAACTAGTTATACAAAATGTTGGTTTTAAAATCAGTTTCTGGAGGGACTTCTCCTGTAAGACATGATAGAGTAACAGGGACTCCTACCTAAAACAACTAAAAAACAGGACATAATATATACGAAACAAAGTTTTGCAGATAGGAAGCAATAGGCAGTGCAAGACAGTGATCCCTGACAGAAAGGAAGCAAGTAAGGTAAGCCCTGTGATTGCTTCAGCCTGTTGTCTGGAGGTTCCAGGATGCAACACAGGGAGAGGGAACCCACAGTGCTCCCACTAGGGACAAAGTCATAAATTCAGGAAGGCTAAAGCAGTAGGATTCGCAGAGGACAGTACCAAAGGGACAAAGCTGCAGAAGGAGGAAAGAGCTGCACAAAAAGAGAGAAAGCTTTGGCAATCTGCACAGGGTTCTCCTTGAATTTTTAGCTACATGCATATAAGGAAACTACTCAAGGCTGGGGGAAAAAAGCCACCAGAAAAGCGAAGGCAGATTAATTCCCTGAAGTTCACATACAGCTGGGAAGTGTTTGTGCTCCCACCAACCGCAGTTGAAAACCCTGTAATACCTCGGGCATTAGGTAGAATACTAAAAGAGGGGTCTTACTTCACTAGTGGAGAAAAATTAGCTCTGGCCTAAAGGCTGCTCTGGTCCCACCTACCAAAGCAAGCCCCAAAAGGATAAAACTATTTTTGAGTAACTTGATTGCATTCCAGAACAAAGCTTGAGAATATTCTAAGAAAAAAAAAAAAAAAATCAGTATCTTGACAATGTAAAATTGACACTGTCTGGCATCTAATCAAAACTTAACAGTCATGCAGAAAAGAAAGAAAATATGTCTCATAGCAAGGGGAAAACATAGAAATAGAACCAGAAAGGGCACGGGTGATAGAATTAGCAGACAAGCCCGGTACAGTGGCTCACACCTGTAATCCCAGCACTTTGGGAGGCCGAGGCGAGTGGATCACCTGAGGTCAGGAGTTTGAGACCAGCCTGGCTAACATGGTGAACCCCGTCTACACTAAAAATACAAAAAATTAGCCAGCCATAGTGGCTCATGTCTGTAATCCCAGCTACTCAGGAGACTGAGGCTGGAGAATCACTTGAACCAGGGAGGCGGAGGTTGAAGTAAGCCAAGATTGTGCCACTGCACTCCAGCCTAGAAGACAGAGGAAGACTCCATCTCAAAAAAAAAAAAAAAAAAAAAAAGAATTAGTAGACAAGAACATTAAAATAATTATATTTATAGTCATACATTCAAGAAGGTAGAGGAAAACACAAGCATGTTTCAGGAAAGACATAGAAGATACAAAGAGTGTCTGGGCGCAGATTACACCTGTAACCCCGGCACTTTGGGAGGCTGAGATGGGTGGATTGCTTGAGCCCAGAAGCTCGAGACCAGCCTAGGCAACATGGCAAAATCCTGTCTCTCCAAAACAAACAAACAAAAAAGAGCTGGGCATGGTGGTATGTGCCTGTAGTCCCAGCTATTTGGGTGGCTGAGGTGGAAAGATCACTTGAGCTCAGGAGGCAGAAGTTGCAATGGGGAGATCACACCACTACACTCCAGCCTGGGTGACAGAGCAAAACTCTGTCTAGAAAAAAAAAAGATACAAAGAAAAAGACCTAAATTGAACTTCTAGAAGTTAAAGATACAATTTTGAGGTGAAAAATACACTGGATGGGATTAATAGCAGATTAAATGCTGCAAAAGAGAAGATCAATAGACATGAAGACAAAACAGTAGAAACTATACAAAAAGAAACACAGAGGAAAAAATATAAGTGAGAAAAAGAAAAAAGAACAAAGAGTCAGTGAGCTACGAGAAAGCTTTAAACCACCTAATAACATATGTACTTGGACTACCCAAAGGAGAAGAGTCAGTATAGAAAAATTACTTGAAGAAACAAAGGTCAAAATATTCCAAATTTGATGAAAACTATAAAACCACAGGTCCAAGTTCACTTAATCCCAAACAAAAGAAACATGAAGAATATAATGTCAAGGCACCTGAAAAGACATTCCCACCAGTGCCACAACAGTTACAAATGCCATGGCAACATCAGGAAGTTACCCTATGTAGTCTAAAAGGGGGAGAAACCCTCAGTTCCAGGAATTGCTCAACCCTTTCCCAGAAAATCCATGAATAATCCACCCCTTGTTTAGCATATAATCAAGAAGTAATGATAAGTATAAGCAGTTAAGCAGCTCACGCTGCTGCTCTGCCTATGAGTAGCCATTCTTTTATTCCTTTACTTTCTTAATAAACTTGTTTTCATTTTACTCTATGGACTTGCCCCGAACTATTTCTTGTGCGAGGTCTAAGAACACTTTTGGGGTCTGGATTGAGACCCCTTTCTAGTAACAATAACACTTAACTCATAAAGTTGCTGTGAGGAATAAATGGGATCATATATAGCAAGGAGAGCTAGCAAATAGAACTCAACAAATATTATCTCTAGCTGTATCTATGGGAGTGGAAGAGATTGGCAAAGGAGAGGGTGTACAATAAGAAAAGAGGTTCAAGAGCAGAACCATGGAGAACAACAACATTTAGGTTGTGTACTGGGTTGAATAGTGTCCTCCCCAAAATTCGTGTGAACAGAAATCTTAGAATGTGACTATATTTGGAATTAGATCCTTTGCAAATGTAATCAAGTTAAGATGAAGTCATACTGGGTTAAGATGGACCCTGAGCCAGTAACTGATATCCTCAGAAGAAGAGGGAGGCCGGGCACAGAGGCTCATGCCTGTAATCCCAGCACTTTGGGAGGCCGAGGCGGGCGGGTCACTTGAAGTCAGGAGTCGAGACCAGCCTGGCCAACATGGCAAAATCCCATCTCTACTAAAAATACAAAAAATTAGCCAGGCATGGTGGCAGGTGCCTGTAATCCCAGCTACTTGGGAGGCTGAGGCAGGAGAATTGCTTGAACCTAGGTGGCAGAGGTTGCAGTGAGCTGAGATCGCGCCACTGCACTCCAGCCTGGGCGACAAGAGTGAAACTCCGTCTCAAAAAAAATAAAAATAAAAATAAACAAGAAGAGGGAAATTTGTTCAGCCGAATACAGAAAAAATAAAAAAGAAAACAATTAAGAAAAAAGGAGGGAAATCTGGACACAGAGACACACACAGAAGGAAAGTGATGTGAAGACACAGGGAGGAGTACATAATGTGAAAAATGCAGACACAGCGAAGAAGGCCAAGTGATGACAGAGGCAGAGATTGGAGTTATGTATCTACAAGCAAAGGCACATCAAAGATTGCCAGCAACCACCAGAAGCTAGGAAAAGGCAAGAAAGAAGGCCAGGCACGGTGGCTCATGCCTGTTATCTCAGCACTTTGGGAGGCTTAGGAAGGCGGATCACCGGAGCTCAGTAGTTTAAGACCAGCCTGGGCAACACGGTGAAACCCATCTCTACAAAAGATGTTAAAATTAGCCACGCAAGGTGGCACATGCCTGCAGTCCCAGCTACTTGGGAAGGTGAGGCAGGAGAATTGCTTGAGCCCAGTCTGGGGTTCAGTGAGCCAAGGTTGCACCACTGCACTCCAGCCTGGATGACAGAACGAGACTCTGTTAAAAAAAAAAAAAAAAAAAAAAAAAGCTGGGCGCGGTGTAATCCCAGCACTTCGAGAGGCCAAGGCAGGCAGATCACCTGAGGTTAGGAGTTCGAGACCAGCCTGGCCAACATGGTGAAACCCTATCTTTACTAAAAATCCAAAACAAACAAAAAAAAATAGTTGGGCGTGGTGGCAGGTGCCTGTAATCCCGGCTGCTCCAGAGGCTGAGGCAGAAGAATCACTTGAACCTGGTGGGGCGGAGGCTGCAGTGAGCTGAGATCGAACCTGGGTGACAGAGCGAGACTCCATCTCAAAAAAAGAAAAAAAAAAAAAGACAAGAAAGGATCCTCCTCAAGAGCCTTCAAAGAGGGCATGACCTTGCTCTTGCTGACACCTTGATTTCTGACTTCTCACCTCCAGAAGTGTGAAAGAATAAATTTTTTGTTTCCTTGAACCACCGTTTGTGGTACTTTGTTACGGCAGTCCCTAGCTAACAAATACAGCTGGTGAGCTGTCATGGAAAACATAGAATAGGTAATAACAAACTTCATCATTTCAATAGTTTCAGAAACATAATTTCAAATTGATCCTTACAAATACCTTGTGAAGCAGCAGAACAGTTTACAGATAAGGAAGTGGACGATCAGAGGTATTAGGGACTTGACAGAAAGTGGCAGAAACAGAATCTGAACTCAAGTAAGGGGTCCTATTCAAATAATCTGACTCTATTAAGCAAAAAATTTAATCTCTTCCCACGTTTCTTAAAGTTTTCTTCCCCGTCACAACTCCAACTTCATTCTCCTGTCTCCAGGAATTTGCTTTCAAGGAGGATCATTGATCAGTAATTTGGACTTAAACATGAATTTTACTAATATCACATTCCAAATTTCTGCATTGTTACAGCCTTAGTTTTTGTTATGGAAATAGCTTATCCCCAACTACCCCGCTAACTCTAGTTACCAACCATTAGAGTAGGGCCTTTTTTTTTTTTTTTTTTTTTTTTGAGAGACAGGCTCTCACTCTTGTTGTTGCCCAGGCTGGAGTGCAGCGGCACAATCCCGACTCACTGCCGCTTTAGACTTCTTGGGCTCAAGGGATCCTCCCGCTTCGGCCTCCCAAAGTGCTGGGATTACAGGTGTGATCCTGCGCTCGGACAGTTGGGACATCTTAATACAGTATAACCTCATCTTAACTTGATTACATCTGCCAAGACTCTATTTCCAAATAGGGTCACATTCTGAGGTTCCCAGTGGACAAGAATTTTGGGGGGGGGGGCATCATTCAACCCAGTACACCAGCTAAATGTTGCTAGTCCTCACCGATTTACCCTTGAACCTCTTTTCTTATTGCACAGCCTCTCCTTTGACAGTCTTTTCCACTCCTATGCATAGATACAGTTAGAGCTAATATTTGCAGGAAAAAAATATTTTCACAGAAAGCTGTGAAGTGACAAAGATGTAAACAGTAATGTAAATGTTAAAAGTAGTGGCAAAAACAGCAATTACTTTTGCACCAACCTAATAGGGGCCTTTGCTTCAATGTTTCTTCTATTAAACCATCCCGACCGCTCCTCTATGGACAGATTCAAGATTCACAGACGCTACTCTAGCTGCTTAATTCTGGAGTAAAATAAAAACTTTCAGAAAGACTACTAACTAAAGTATTGTCTGTACGTATTATTCTCTAAAGCATCATTAGCATAGGCTTTGCAATTAGGAAGTCTGTGGGTTTGTTCCTGGCTCTGCCGTGGGACATTGGGAAAGTTAATCTCTCTGAGCGTCGGTCCCCACAGATAAGAAAACACATATTCTTGTTATTTCTTGAGAAGATTAAATATTAGGCAAAACGCCTAGCACAGAATAGGGTCTCAGCATCTTCTGCCCCCCAAGAGCATGAATCAAAGGTTCGGAATTGCGTCGTCTCTCGGCTGCCCCTTGGCAGCCAGGTCCTCAGTGACCTCTTCACAGTGAGCTGAGACCGAACCTCTTCACAGCCGCGCGTGGGTGCGGCTTTGGGGCGTGGTGGGAGGGAAGGATAGGGAGGCCGGCTCCGCCCCCTCAGGGCGACCGGCGCGCCTGATCGCCGCGGCCTCCGCGCCCCCGCACTCGGATTCGCGCCCGCCAGCGCCTCTTTTCCCCTAGTCCTGGCGACGGCAGCACCTGCAAGGGTGGGTCCAACGCGGAATGAGGCACAGCCTGGGACAGCCCGGGCCCGGCGCGCCGCGGCCGCGCGAGGCCCCCGCCGTCGCCGACGCCCGAGCGCCGGAGCCCCGGCCCCGCCCCGCGAGCGCCGAGACTTGTTGGCCGCGGAGACTGCGACCCTCTTCTCTCAGTCTGCCTTACTACCATGCCGCTCTACGAGGGCCTGGGGAGCGGCGGGGAGAAGACGGCGGTCGTGATCGACCTGGGAGAGGCCTTTACCAAGTGAGTGGCCGTGACGCCAGCTGTGTTCGACCCGAGGGGAGGGCGGGTGGCAGAGCCCCAGGCACTGCCTGGGTCCTCATCGCCGACTCGCTGGGCAGCTCCGGGCCTCCCCTTTTCTTCAACCAGCGCCCTTGCAAATAACAGCTCTTATTATTTCCTCCCTGGGCGATGCGAATCCGAGGATCGGGGTCTGACTCCCAGAGAGGCCCAGAAAGCTTCTGTTGAATTGCCCTCGTCGCCGCCCCTTGTCATCACCCCAAACCCAACAAACCCTTTGGGATCATCTGTGTAGGGGATGACAACCGTGACCTAGACCCCGCTTACCCTGGGCTCCTCAGTTGAGGAAGGCAGCCAACCGAATGTAAATGCTCGATGACGAATTTCATCATAAAATATTGAACGGAGTTTATTTTGGTGCTGAAAATGGAAAGATGTTTAAGACAGGGCTATCGCTGCTCAAGAATTAGGGAGACTGGGCACATTAAGAGGTGAAACCCTATAGATAAGATTCTGGAAATCCTTTGTTGGCTCCCCTAAACTCGAAGGTTAGATTTGACATGTTTTAAACAAACCAACTTGTAAACAATAGAGAGGAGGTTCTCAACCTTTCGGATGGCATAGATCTCTTTAATGGCTGGATGAAAACCACAAATGCACAAATCTTAAGGTACTTATACACAGTTTCAGGGAATTGGCAGACAATCAATGTGGTCCTGGGACCCTAGATTAAGAGTCCTTGTGATGGGCTCAACAGAGAGGGAAGTAACAGGCAATTACATCATATATGTATTTATGAAAATGAAACATTTGAAAAATCTTTTTATATCTCTAGGCACTTCCTGACGTGTAGTAGGTATTTAATAACTATTTATTGACTAAGTGGTTAAAAGAGCCTATTTAAAAATTGGACCCCAGGAACTCCAGAATTGGATTAAACATAGTCCTTGGTTAATGACATTCTCTTATTGTTCTATGCGAGGCCCTTCCTTATTTATATTTTCTTATTAAAATTATTTTGAAAGCGTAATAAACAGTTCGAGGCTTCTAGTCAAAGATAATTATTTTGGCTGTACTTGGAAGAAATAAGCAAAAAGCTATATTTGAAAAAGACAGCAGGAGGATGATAAGATAAATGTATGAAGTAAAAAAAAGGAATTGAAGTCTAATGGCTTGCATTCTGAGATGTTTGAGGAGCACTGATGCAAGTAAACATGGAGACGGGAATAGGAGGAGATGGAGAGAATTATTTGGGAATACGAGGAGAGCAGTATCAAAAACTAGACAGGACAAGAAGACAGGATGTTAAGACTAAACTAGTATGATGATCATTTTTAGCAACGTTTTTAGCAAATTTTTGTTTTACTAACATGAAACAAAAATGGAAATACCTAAATACTCAAGAAAAGAGCATCGTTTTTAAAATAATGAAATATGTGGTTTTAAAAATAATACTGTAATTCCAGCAGTTTGGAAAGCTGAGGCGGGCTGACCACTTGAGCCCAGTAGTTCAAGACCAGCCTGGGCAACATGGGGAAACCCAGCTCTACACAAAATACAAAATTTAGCCGGCGGTAGTGTCGTGCCCGAAATCCTAGCACTTTGGGAGGCCAAGGGGGGAGGATCGCTTGAGCCTGGGAAGCGGAGGCTGCAGTGATCTGAGTTTGTGCCACTGCACTCCAGCCTGGGCGACAGAGCGAGACCCTGCCTCAAAAAAAAAAAAAAAAAAAGTGATAGCAATGAAGATTATGTTAATATGGGCAGAAGCTTACTGTATGAGTTAATTATGTATGAAGTGTGATTAAAACTATGTCAAATATATATGCATAATCATAAGAAGTAGACTGAAAGTGAATACACCAATATGGAAGCTAACAATATTAGAATGATGGAATTATGAGTGATACAGATGAATTATATGAATGAAGTCACATAATGTAGTACAGATTCAGAGTTGTAGATATGTCTTGCCTAAATTCTGCTAAAATTAACAACTAGGAAAAAAGTTGGCCAGGCGCGGTGGCCCACGCCTGTAATACCAGCACTTTGGGAGGCCGACGCGGGCGGGTCACGAGGTCAGGAGATCGAGACTATCCTGGCTAACACGGTGAAACCTCGTCTCTACTAAAAAAAAAAAAAAAAATTAGCCCTGCGTGGTGGCCGGCACCTGTAGTCCCAGCTACTCAGGAGCCTGAGGCAGGAGAATGGCGTGAACCCGGGAGGCGGAGCTTGCAGTGAGCCGAGATCGCGCCACTGCACTCCAGCCTGGGTGACAGAGCCAGACTCCATCTCAAAAAAAAAAAAGTAAATGCTGCCCTAAAATAATACATTTGTTTTTTTCAGCATCACGAATTTCATAGAATTTTTTTCTGTTAATACACAAGCATTAATAAATAGTATTATTAGTTTTGTGGAGTGATTTTTTTTGATCCCTTAAAATACATCAGGTATTTTCAAATGTTATTGTGGCCATTGTTTTGAAACAAATACAGAGAAAATTAGTTTCTGTGACAAATATTTAAAAGAATACTATAAGTTGTTTCAATTTTCCATTTATTTGCAGGTGTGGATTTGCTGGAGAAACTGGTCCAAGATGTATAATTCCTAGTGTGATAAAAAGAGCTGGGATGCCTAAGGTATTTAAAAAAAAATATTAGCAAAATAAATGCCATACTATAAAATGTTTTAAAATATGACTTCAAGTAAGATTGATTAAAACAGTACTAAAGGCCAGCCGTGGTGGCTCACGCCTGTAATCCCAACACTTTGGGTGGCTGAGGCGGGTGGATCACCTGAGATCAGGAGTTTGAGACCAGCCTGGACAACATGGTGAAACCCTGTCTCAACTAAAAATACAAAAATTAGCCGGGAGTGGTGGCAGGCACCTCTAATCCCAGCTCCTCAGGGGGCCGAGGCAGGAGAATTGCTTGAACCCGGGAGGCGGAGGTTGCAGTGAGCCAAAATCAAGCCATCGCACTCCAGCCTGGGGGGCAAGAGCAAGACTTCGTCTCAAAAAAAAAAAAAAAAAAAGAAACAAGAAACAGTACTAAATATATACTTTGTGGCTATATTTCCAAGGAAAAGTTTTTCTTTTTAAATCAACTTTATCAAGGTCTAATTTTGCACACCATAAGTATATCATGTTGTACAAGTACCACCACAATCCAGTTTTAGAATGTTTTCATCACCCCAGTAAAATCCCTAATACCCGTTTACAATTAATCCTCATTCCTATCCTCAGCCCATTAGGGTGTACCTTCTGTTTCTATAGATTTGTCTTTTCTGTACATTTTATGTAAATGGAATCATATATCAAGAGAAAAATTTTAACTTCAGTAAAATACTTTTATAAGTCTTATAACCACTGAATTATTTTATTATTTATAATATATCAGATATTTATTCCCTTATTTACAGTTTCAAAACCCAGAGAATTTTGAAAACAAACTTTCAAAAAGTTTCTTGCCACAGCTAATTTGGCAGATTAGAAATTACAACCAGTAGAAAGAATGATTTTGCATGTTATAAAATTCACTTGTTAAAAAATGAGATGTAGCTGTTACCACAGTAACATTATATATGCATTCCAGAAAATACCTTTGTTCTGCAAAATGGTACATTTTTAAAAAACAAAACAAAACAGGCTTATGGGAAAAATAAGCTTGAGGTAGTCCATATAAAACCTGTGTAACTTTGTAATCAGAGGACTAGCAAAAACAATAATTGATGCCTCCACAAAATTTAAATAGGATTGGCAGGCAGCTGAGTGTGGCTGGAGGCTGTCTTAGGGAATATTAAAAATAAAATTGTGGGCTGGGCAGATTACACGCCTGTAATCGCAGCACTTTGGGAGGCCGAGGCGGGCAGATCACGAGGTCAGGAGATCGAGACCATCCTGGCTAACACAGTGAAAACCCATCTCTACTAAAAAAAAAAAAAAAAATTAGCCAGGCATGGTGGCAGGCACTGGTATTCCCAGCTACTTGGGAGGCTGAGGCAGGAGAATGGCGTGAACTCGGGAGGCGAAGCTTGCAGTGAGCCGAGATTGCGCCACTGCACTCCAGCCTGGGCGACAGAGCGAGACTCCATCTCAAAAAAATAAAATAAAATAAAATCGTGGAGGTGGTGCGCACCTGTAGTCCCCAGCTACTTGGGAGGCCGAAGTGGGAGGATCACTTGAGCCCAGGAGGTTGAGGCTGCAGTGAGCCAAGATTGCACCACTGCATTCCACCATGGGCGACAGAGTGAGACCCTGTCTCAAAAATAAACAAATAAAAATAAAAGTCATGGATTGAAAATGTTAGCCAGTGGGTTCTGAGTCAGTGCAGATGGTAGCAAGCTCTGAGCCAGTGGGACTGTTATTAAGTAGCAACTAGGAGGAAATGCAACCCAACAGAGTCATGGATCCACTCTGAGGCACGAATTGCTGGTGTAGGGAGTTATTTACACTTTTCTTATGAATAGATCTGAAAGCATATCTACCTGTGTGATAACTGAGTTGATGACTTTCTTTTTCTTGATGAAAGTTATACTTCCATTATAATTATAGCTTGTCTTGCCTAATATTAACTAATACAACTATAACATTTTTCTGACATTATTTCCTTTTTTAGCAATCGCATATAAGCATATTTGGTTTTATAAAAACACATGTTGGCCAGATGCGGTGGCTCACTCCCAGCACTTTGGGAGGCTGAGGCAGGTGGATCACCTGAGGTCAGGAGTTCCAGACCAGCCTAACCAACAAGGAGAAACCCTATCTCTACTAAATATACAAAATTAGCCGGGCATGGTGGCACATGCCTGTTAATCCCAGCTACTCAGGAGGCTGAGGCAGGAGAATCACTTGAACCCGGGAGGTGGAGGTTGTGGTGAGCTGAGATTGTGCCATTGCACTCCAGTCTGGGCAACAAGAGCGAAACTCCATCTCAAAAAAAACAAAAACAAAAACAAAAAAAAACATGTTATAGCAGAATAGACGAGACCAGCAGTTTATATTTGGCATTTACATACATCAGAAATCTTTTTTTTTTTTTTTTTTGAGGCGGAGTCTTGCTCTGTCGCCCAGGCTGGAGTGCAGTAGCATGATCTGGGCTCACTACAAGCCCCACCTCCCGGGTTCATGCCATTCTCCTGCCTCAGCCTCCCGAGTAGCTGGGACTACAGTTGCCCGCCGCCACGCCCAGCTAATTTTTTGTATTTTTTAGTAGAGACGGGGTTTCACCGTGTTAGCCAGAATGGTCTGTATCTCCTGACCTCGTGATCCGCCCGCCTTGGCTTCCCAAAGTGCTGGGGTTACAGGTGTGAGCCACTGCGCTCGGCCCAGAAATCTTTTTAATTACACTTGATTAAGGAATCATTTCATTGATTTTAAATTTTTCTGCAAATCCTTGGACAAGCCAGAAATATGGTAGATATTGGTGGTTTGATGTTCAAAAATGTGATGGAAGCCGGGTGTGGTCTCTCATGCCTGTAATCCCAGCACTTTGGGAGGCTGAGGTGGCCAGATCACTTGAGGCCAGGAGTTTGAGACTAGCCTGGCCAACTTGGTGAAACCCCATCTCTACTAAAAATACAAATATTAGCCAGGTGTAGTGGCAGGCACCTGTGGTCCCAGCTACTCGGGAGGCTGAGGCAGGAGAATCGCTTGAATCTGGGAGGCGGAGGTGGCAGTGAGCTGAGATCATGCCACTGTGCTGCAGCCTGGGCAACAGAGGGAGACTCCATGTCAAAAAAAACGGGGGCGGGGGATGGAAGTTCCTGTTTACTAATTTTTCATGTCATTTTGCTTTATAACAATTGGCATTACTGTGTTACCAGATAGATTTCTTACTGGATTAGACCCTGTACGTTTTTGTTGCCACTTTCCTTGGTGCTTTGAGCTTTTATCTTTTTTTTTTTTGAGATGGAGTCTCACTCCATCACCCAGGCAGGAGTGCAGTATCATGATCTCTGCTCACTGCCACCTCCTCCTCTCGGGTTCAAGCCATTCTCCTCTCTCAGCCTCCCAAGTAGCTGGAATTACAGGCGCCCTCCACCACACCCAGCTAATTTTTTTTTTTTGTATTTTTAGTAGAGACGGGGTTTCGCCGTGTTGGCCAGCCTGGTCTCAAACTCCTGACCTCAGGTGATCCACCCGCCTTGACCTCCCAAAGTGTTGGGATTACAGGCATGAGCCACTGCGCCCGAACGAGTTTTTATCTTCATTTGAAAAGACAGATACCTAAAAAATTATTTATATTTGATTATATATGGTTTGGAATCTTCTTTAAGCCACATAAAATCAAGAAATTAGGCTGATGGTACTTCTTTTGAAAGAGTAAATGAAGAGAGGTCTGCCAATGATGCATCAGAGTACTGAGAGCTTTCTGAGGATCATAAGTGAAGCCATTGTTATATATTAGCATTGACTTAGCACTCATGGCTTGGTAATATGTGTGTAGGCTGCTTTTGTGCTAATGGTGTTTGTTGTCATTTTTATCACACATATTTATGAACAACCACAACTATGTACCTGGAACTGTATTATTTGAAGAAAGATATATCATAAGCAAGCCAGAAATAGTTCTTGTGCATAGAGCTTATAATCTAGCAGAAAGGGGGACATTTTACAAGTAATTCAGTGTGGCGATGTTGCAAAAGAGAAGATATCAGTGTTTTTGGACTAACAGGGACTGAACCAAGTTGAGTATTTGAGGAAGCCTTTGATGCTTTTTATTCAATGCTGAATTTTTTTTTTTTTTTTTTTTTGAGACAGGTTCTCACTCTGTCACCCAGGCTGGAGTGCAGTGGCACGATCTTGGCTCACTGCAACCTCTGCCTCCCTGCAACCTCCACCTCCTGGGTTCAAGCAGTTCTCCCACTTCAGCCTCCTGAGTAGCTGGGACTACAGGTGCACGCCACCACGCCTAGCTAATTTTTGTATTTTTAGTAGAGATAGGGTTTCACCATGTTGGCCAGGCTGGTCTTGAACTCCTAGCTTCAGGTGATCCACCTGCCTCGGCCTCCCAAAGTGCTGGAAATTTGTTTGTTTGTTTGTTTGTTTGTTTTTTGAGACGGAATCTGGTTCTGTTGCCCAGGCTAGAGAGCAGTGGAGCCATCTCAGCTCACTGCAGCCTCCTCCAGGGTTTTCAAGTGATTCTCCTGCCTCAGTCTCCAGAGTAGCTGGGACTATAGGCACACACCACCACGCCTGGCTAATTTTTGTATTTTAAGTAGAGACAGCGTTTCACCATGTTGGCCAGCCTGGTCTCGAACTCCTGACCTCAAGTGATCCATCCACCTCGGCCTCCCAAAGTGCTGGGATTACAGGCATGAGCCACCACACCTGGCCTCAAAGCTGATTTTTATCATTCAAGCCAAAATGATAAGTCAGATGGAGGAAAAATGCATGTGAGCCATGCTCTTTACTTCCTATGAACACACACTTCCATTACCACAGACTAAAACATTCTGCCATCTTAGACATTCCGATTCTTAAGGATTCCTAATTTAAGAGATTACTCTGTATTTAATTTTTATATTCTCAATACAGATTGCTTTTAATTTATTCCCAGAAAATGTATTAGTAAATAATTACATTTTAATCTTAATTTGAGGTTATTTTATTAATATAAATTAATAAATCATTTTAATTTTTTACAGCCTGTCAGAGTTGTTCAGTATAATATCAATACAGAAGAATTATATTCCTACCTAAAGGAATTCATCCACATACTATATTTCAGGTAAGATACATTTTGTTTTCTAGCTTTTATGATTAGATAGATTTTCCTAATGCCATAGTGATAATTGGTTGTGTTACAGCTGAGGCCAAAAAAAAAAAAAATGGACTTCTATTGCCATTTTTACATGCTTATTTTCAACCTTTTCAAAAATATATTTGAAGACTAGAAAACTGGCAGACATAAAGAGATACTGAAAATGAAATATTCATTAATGAAGTGAACTGATAATTAAATTATTCTACATTCATACAGTGAAATACCATGCAGCTCTTTAAAAAGAGTTCTGCATCTGTATGTAGTAGTACAGGAAGGTGTGTGGGATATATTGATAAGTGAAATAAGCAAGTTAAAGAACCACATCTATGGAATGAGTATTTCTGTTAAAACATACCCCCATACATCCATAAGAATGAAAAAAAATACAAACTTCTATCAGTGATAGTTCTGAGTAGTAGAGATATAAGGTTCTTGTACTTTGCAAGTTTTACGTGTCATAATATTTGGAGCTTTGTGAGCATATATTACTATTGTAACCTAAAAAAAAAGAAAATATCGCCAGGTGCTGTGGCTCACATCTGTAGTACCAGCTACTCAGGAGGTTGAGATCAGGGGATGGCTTGAACCCAGGAGGCTGAGGTTGCAGTGAGGTGAGATTGCCCCTCTGCACTCCAACTTGGGCAACAGAGCCAGATCCTGTCTCAAAAAAAAAAAAAAAATCTATATAATGGCTCAAGTTGGTAATCATAGTAGGCTATAATTTTAGGTTTCTGAGATAAGTAAGTTAATGAATTTCCTAGCACACTGCACGGTACATAGTAAGAGGTCAGAAATGTTATCTTTCTGGGGTAATAAAATGAAGATGTCTTTTTGTGATAAAATATCTTAAGCTAAGGTAGTACAGTTTCACTGTTCTTAAATTGTATGACTTAACAAAATGAATAAAAACTTTTACTTTTAAAACCAAAACTTTCACTTTTCAGGCATCTATTGGTGAATCCCAGAGACCGCCGAGTTGTGATTATCGAATCGGTATTATGTCCTTCTCACTTCAGAGAGACACTCACTCGTGTTCTTTTCAAATATTTTGAGGTACCTGTCTTTATATCAAATAAGTAAATTGCTTTTGAAATAAAAAGAGAAGCAATAAAATTCTTACCAATTTTTAGGGAATCTTTCTTCTCTTTTTTTTTGTTGGTAGGTACTCAAAACTTAAACTAATAAAAGCCCTTATTTTGTCTCATATTGTGTATGGCACACAGTGTAGTTGGGGAACCAGATGACAGAAGATTCTTCAAACTGGCCATTTATTTTCTTCCTTTGTGTGGTTATTTCATGCTTTAGCATTTCATCCAACACTTACATAATTGGATATTTCTTTTTATTACTGTTTATTTATTTTAATATAGGTTTTTCTATTTGGGGACTTTTTTTTATTCAGAATTAAAAGGTATATTCTGTGCTGTGGACTTTGCAATGTATTTCTTCCAGATCTTTCTAGCTTCCATTGTTTAGTTGTACTGTTCTGAATTTTGTCATTTTAGGCTTCAAATTCCTTTAAAATGGAATATTCAGTGCCTCCCTTAGAGTAAGTTGGTAATGCCAGGAATGAGACTTACCTCATAATATAAGTAATATTACCTGTAGCTTTGATTTTATAGGAATCAGGATTATTTTATCACCAAGAATATGTTTTAAGATTAGTATATTTCATAGTAGACCAGAATCTTAATTATTCAAATTTTTAAAAATCTTTGCCTTAAAATTTAGGTTTTATCAGCAAGGGAAAATGTAAGATTATATGTATTAAGTGAATAAGAAATTAAGCACATATAAATGTATTTTCATACATTTACTGAATTCAAAACATACCTAATACCAAAAATCACAATGTCTTTATGAGGTAAAGGCACTTAATATTTCTAAGTTATATTTTTGTAAAGCAGGTACAGGGAATCAGGTTGCATAGCCTCCAGTACCTACTGATGTCATGAGTCCAGGAATTTCATTTGTAGTAAGGAGAACATAAAGCAAAACAAGAAGTCGTGTCAGCTGTTATCTGAATAAAGTAGAATATTCTCTGTATTTATAATTAGAGTTTGTGTTAATATCTTCTATATGACTAGAATACCTACTTTATTTAGATAAGGGGAATACAGCCATTATTTTGTCTGCCATTCGATTATGATGGACTGTCATATTTTGATTGAATATCTAGTATTTGAGATGGCACCAGGTTTGGCAAATTCTTACTGAAAAAAATGTTGCACAGAGCCAACTATTTGTATATTTTGTTCTTTGGTTTAATTTTAACTGCCAGTTACAGTTCAATTAGCCGGACGTGGTGGCATGCACCTGTAGTCCCAGCTACTCAGGAGACTAAGGTGGGAGGATTGCTTGAGCCCAGGAGGTCGAGGCTGCAGTGAGCTGTGATTGCACCACTGCAATCCAGCCTGGGCAATGGAGCAAGACTTTGTCTCTAAGTTAAAAATAAAAATTTAAATAAAAAGAAACAGTAAAAATATATAGTTCATATTACAAACTTTGCAAATAAAAACAATGAAGAATTTTTTTTCTCTATTTTCATCTTAATGGTAAAGGCATCTATTTTTTAAATTTAACATCTTCCTCTATATTTATGTTTCTTGACCTCTTCTTTTTTTCTTTTTTTTTTTTTGAGACAGAGTCTTGCTTTATTGCCCAGGCTGGAGTGCAATGGCGCGATCTCGGCTCACTGCAACCTCCGCCTCCTGGGTTCAAGCAATTCTCCTGCCTCAGTCTCCCTTGTAGCTGAGATTACAGGCAGATGCCACAACACCCAGCTAATTTTTGTATTTTTAGTAGAGACAAGGTTTCACCATGTTGGTTAGGCTGGTTTCGAACTCCTGACCTCGGGTGATCCGCCCGCCTCAGCCTCCCAAAGTGCTGGGATTACAGGCGTGAGCCTCTGTGCCCAGCCTCTAGACCTCTTCTTTTATCCCTTTCAATTTTCCCTTCCAAAAGAGAACAAGAATAAAGAAAAATGCTTCATAATTGTCATTTTGGAATGAAACAGTTGAGCTATTTTTATTACAGTGTATTTTGGTTATTGAGTGAATTTATATAAATCAACAAACTAGTTCTTAATTACTCTCATAAAATGGTTGAGTAGGTATCACCATATAAATTAATATAATGTTCCTGTGAATTTTTTCAAATATATTTGGATATAAGGCAAATACCTTCAAATAATGACACTCATTCCGGTTTTGTTGTATTGATTTTGTTATTTTCTAGGTTCCATCTGTCTTGCTTGCTCCAAGTCATCTAATGGCTCTTCTGACGCTTGGAATTAATTCTGCCATGGTCCTAGATTGTGGATATAGGGAAAGCCTGGTGTTACCCATATCTTTTTTGTCAGCCAGCCACCTTTGCAGTTTTTACTCTACTTTAACTAAAATAATTAGGCTAATTATAAATGATTTGTATTGTACTGAACTATTTTGGGTTACTATGTACAAATATGAATTACAATGTGGAAAAAGTTCACAGGATTATAAGACTTAAGTTTACTTTTTGTAGAAGTTATTATTGTTTGGTCCCAGGATATACTCCAGGAGTATACCTCATGAATATTATGTTCAGTTTTTAAAAGAAAAATCAGGATGTGTCAAGTTGACTAGAATAGTCAAGTTTTAAGAAAAAAATCATACAAAGAGTAATTGGAGAAACTGAAATGAGTATGTTCGATCCAGAAAGATTTCAAAACTTAATGGCAACATGAAATCAGCCTTCAAACAGCTGAAGAGCTCACTGGCCTCTGTAGTCGCAGCTACTCAGGAGGCTGAGACAGGAGAGTGGCGTGAACCCGGGAGGCGGAGCTTGCAGTGAGCCGAGATCATGCCACTGCACTCCAGCCTGGGCGACAGAGCGAGACTCTGTCTCAAAAAAAAAAAAAGAATACGTTTTTTCTTTTCTTTTTTTTTATTTTTTAAATCTCCAGAGGCTTTCGTGAAGGCAGTATGCCTTAATGTTTACAAGCTTGGGTTTTAGAATCAAATACACAATAAGTGCAATGCAAATCTCAGCTAAGCTTTTTACTACTTGGTCAGGTAGCTTAATCTCTTCGGGCCTCAGTTTCTTTATCTATAAATTGGGGATTATAATATTTCCATCTCATAGAAGAGTTGTGTTAGTTGAGTGAGGTAATATATATAAAGTGTTCAGCATAGGATTTGGCACATAGTAATTTTCTCAGTACGTGCTGTGGTTTTTATATCATTGACCATAGGCAAGAACTTACTAATAATTCAAGCTGTCCCAAAATTGAATTACTGACCGTATAAACTAGTACATTTCTTTTCATTATAAATATTTAAGCAGAGTATAGATGAGCATCTCTTAGAATTGTCCTAGTGGACATTGCTTTATTGAAAAGGATGTTGACATGCATGAATGTAAGACTTGCAATTTTGAGATCTACATGTATATTTATTAGAAAAAATATTCATGGAAGGAAATTAAGCATCATTAACTCCTAAGGAATTTAATCAAGCAGTAGTGTTTTTTAGTATAAAGTACTTTGTGTTTAATTCTTAAAACAACCATGCAACATGAGTATTATTATTCTCCTTATATAAATGAGAATATTGACAGTTGGGATGGGTAGTTGACTCCTCTTCTTATAAACATGTAGCCAGGATATAAACCCATGTTTGTTTCCAAAGCTGATGCTCTTACCAGTATACTTAGCAAACCCACAGTAAATATTGTTTACTTCCCTCTCAGCTCCGTCCTGTAGAAATATAATGTGGACCATGTATGCAATTTAGAGTGTTCTAGGCTGGGTGCCGTGGCTCACACATGTAATCCTAGCACCTTGGGAGGCTGAGGTGGGCAGATCACCTGAGGCCAAGAGTTCGAGACCAGCCTGCCCAACTTGTCAAAACCCCATCTCTACGAAAAATACAAAAATTAGCCGGGTGTGGTGGCACATGCCTGTAATCCCAGCTGCTTGGGAGGCTGAGGCACAAGAATCACTTGAACCTGGGAGGTGGAGGTTGCACTGAGCCGAGATCGCACCACTGCACTCCAGCCTGGGCTACAGAGCAAGACCCTGTCTCAGAAAAAAGTTAATAGAGTTTTCTAAGAGCCACATTTTAAAAGGCATGAGAAAAGATGAAATTAATAGTATATTTTATTTAACCCAATGTATTCAAAATATTCCAATATTCCATCAATACAAAAATTATAATGAGGTATTTTAGTGAGGTTTTTTGGTATTAAAACCTTCTAAATTTGGTGTGTAGCTTAGTCTTAGAGCACATCTCAATTCAGACTAGCCATATTTCATGTATTAAGTAGCTGCACAGGCCTAGTGGCTACTTTATCAGATGCCCCAGCTGTATCTAATGAATTGTGTGTGGTCATGTGCTTATGTGTATTTTTATTCTGTTTTCTTTGATGAAGAACATGAAAAAAAACTTACTCTTTGATTTTTCTGTAACTATGTTAAAAATAAGAAATAAAAATTTGTCACTAAAGCATATTTAGAACAGTACTGCAGAAGGTGAGGAAAATATCAAGGAAACCACATTTTATCTCCTAAAATAGTAGTATCCTTGACTACTCTATAGATATATGAAGGAATCCCAGTTCTAAATTGTTGGGGAGCACTACCCCTAGGAGGAAAAGCTCTTCACAAGTAAGTTTCTTGGAATTTAACATATTCATTTCACCTGTGCCACAAAAACAGTTGCTAATCTGTTTGTTGATCAGTGATCAATAGAGGGCTTGTGATACGGACAGTGAATTTTATTCATTCCGCCCTCTATTAGCTTCGAGTATATTCATTTTTTAAGAATAAACCAGTTTTTTAAATTTTTAATTTTTGGGGGTACATAGTAGGTGTATATATTTATGAGGTACCTGGGATGTTTTGATACAGGCATGCAATGAGAAATAAGCACATCATAGAGAATGGGGTATCCATCTCGTCAAGCATTTATCCTTTGAGTTACAAACAATCCAGTTATACTCTTTACATGATTTTAAAATGTACAATTAAGTTATTATTGTCTACAGTCACCCTGTGGTGCTATTAAATAGTAGGTCTTACTGTTTCTATTTTTTTGTACCCATTAATTATCCTCACCTCCCTTGTATCCCTCCACTATCCTCCCTGGCCTCTGGTAGCCATCTTTCTACTCTCTATGTCCATGAGTTACATTGTTTTGCTGTTTAGATCCCACAAATAACTGAGCACATATAATATTGGTCTTTCTATGCATGGCTTATTTCACTTAACATAATGATCTCCAGTTCCATCAATGTTGTTGCAAATGACTGGATCTCATTCTTTTTTATAGCTGAATAGTATTCCATTGTGTATATGTACCACATTTTTTTCTTTTTTTTTTTAACTTTTATTAAGTTTAGAGATACAAGTGCAGGTTTATTACATAGGTAAACTTATGTCATGGGGAAGACCTTTATTATTATTATTATTATTATTGAAATGGAGTCTCGCTCTGTCACCCAGGCTGGAGTGCAGAGGCATGATCTCGGCTCACCGCAACCTCCGCTGCCTGGTTTCAAGCGATTCTCCTACCTCAGCCTCCCGAGTAGCTGGGACTACAGGCGTGCGCCGCCACGCCTGGCTAATTTTGGTATTTTTAGTAGAGATAGAGTTTTGCCATGTTGGCCAGGCTGTTCTCAAACTCCTGACCTCAGGTGATCCACCCGCTTCAGCCTCCCAGAGTGCTGGGATTACAGGCGTGAGCCACCGTGCCTGGCAGGAAGATCATTTTTATTTAAATCATAATAATCGGGCTGGGTGTGGTGGCTCACACCTGTAATCCCAGCACTCTGGGAGGCCAAGGCAGATGGATCACCTGAGGTCAGGAGTTCAAGACCAGCCTGGCCAACATGGCAAAACCCTATCTCTACTAAAAATACAAAACTTAGCCGGGCATGGTGGCGGGCACCTGTAATCCCAGCTACTCGAGAGGCTGAGGCAGGAGAATCACATGAACCTAGGAGGTGAATGTTGCAGTGAACTGGGATTGCGCCACTTCACTCCAGCCTGGGCAACAGAGTAAGACTGTCTCCAAAAAAAAAATCATAATAATCTATTATGTAGTTGAAAGTATCAAATAAGGATATCAGTTTCAATATTTTCATTCCAGTAACTTTTTTTTTTTAATTTCAGAGAGTTGGAAACTCAACTATTGGAACAATGTACTGTTGACACAAGTGTTGCTAAAGAACAGAGCCTTCCCTCAGTGATGGGTAAATTCATTTTAAGTGGTTTAGGAGTGGTTTACACTCTCTTTTTGTTCTTCAACTTGTATTTTAGTCTTTGCTCCATTGCATGATTATTCTCTTTTCTCCCCATGCCACTCTGATGGTACTGCTTCAACTATAAGCTCACCATTGAACTTTTAATCACTAAATTCAATAGTTTGATTTTAGTCATCCTTTCCAGAACTTTTGACATTGTGGATCATCATGTACTCTTGAATGCTTTCTTCTCCTTGGCTTTCAGGATTCTTTTTTTTAGTGGTTGTCTATTATTTCCCCAAATATTCCTCTGGTTTCCTCTGCTCTTGCTTTCTCTACTTGTATTCGACTAGGGATCTAGTGTTTGTTCCTTCTTTTTCTCTACTGGCTTTTTAACTGTGATCTTATCTACTCCCACAACTTCTACATCTGCATGCTGTTGATTCTGAAATGTGTCACTGGGCCTGATCCTTCTTCTGAACTTGATATTCATATTTCCAACTGATTATTAGAGACTGTGCATGTCTCTAGGCACCTCAAACTTAAGATTTCCAAAAGTGAATACATTATGTCTTTCCTCAAATTCATTTCAATTATTAGATAAAGGTAATATTTTCCTTGTCTCCCGTTTTACAAAACTGGAAGTTAGCCTTTCAATTCTTCAGAAATCTCTTTCAGATCTCATTTTTCTTTCTTTCTTTTTTTTTTTTTTTTTAACCTTCCACACCATTGAACACCCGAGAGCAAAGACATTGTTTTAATCTAGGCCCTCATTTCTTAGATTATTACAGAAGTCTACTCTGGATGGATTCGGTCTGTTTCACACTGTTGCCAGGAATAACTTTCCACAAATATTTTTATGTTTTTGAGACAGGATCTCACTCTGTTGCCCAGACTGGAGGGCAGTGGCGCGATCTTGGCTCACTGCAGTCTCCACCTCCTAGGCTCAAGCCATCCTCCATTCTCAGCCTCCTGAGTAGCTGGGACTACAGGCGCAAGCCACCACACCCAGCTAATTTTTGGGGGGTACATTTTGTAGAGATGGGGTTTTGCCATGTCGCCTAGGCTGGTCTCGAACTCCTGAGCTCAAGCAATCCACCAGCCCCCGCCTCCCAAAATGCTGGGATTACAGCCTGAGCCACTGTGCCCAGCCAATTTTTCACAAAATAAATATAAATACATTGCTCTTTTGCTTGAGAATTTTTGTAAGCTCCTACAGGTTAAAATCCAAATTATCTGTTGGATATAAATGTTTCTTCAAAATCTGAGTTTGTTCTACCTCTTATCCTTAGGTCACTAAACTTTATCCTTTGCTCCTTATTAAAGCTACAGTAAATTTCTTACAGTTGTCGAGGCACCGTGAGTCCTAGCACAGCCCTGTGCCTTCATTTATTCTTTTTCTTTCCCTGGGATGTTTTTCTTTGCCTAGTTTGGTTTTTGATCCCTCTGCATGACTCAGCTGGAATGTCATCTTAATGGTGAAGCCTTCCTCATCTTCCCTAAGCAGAATAAATTGCTCCTCTCTGTTAAGCCCTTGGCAGTAATTTATTATAGCACATATGACACATTCTCATTTGCCTCTTAACTCACTTGTTTCCCCCAGGAGACTTTGAGGATCCCTGTCTTATTTATTTTTCAATCTGCAGCACCTAGTATAGTGCTAGGGCATTGAATATATGTTGGAAAGCGAGATTTTTGCGACACTTAGGCATACCTATGTTTTCCTGTTGTTCCCTATTGATAGTTAAGTTAATAGCATTTTTCATTCTGTAGATCCAATTATAGCTTTCAAATTCCAGATAACTTTGTGATGTCTTAGTATATTTTGGTGACAGGTAATTTATAAAAGGTCTTCAAAGATAATAAATTCAGTGTAGCATCCCAAGATGTTCTTTGTAAAGGTCTTTAAACCCAATAATATTTCCATAAAATTATAAACGATACATTCTTGGATATTCTTTTTCTAGTCAACCTTGTACTGATTCTAACCTTTCCTTTTAATACTCACAATCTGAGTCTGTGATAGCCATGCAGTCCTACAAAATTGTGGAATCAAATCATACAAATATTTGCTGAAGCACCCACTTAGTAGGATCAGAAATGCAAATACGGCTGGGCACGGTGGCTCACGCCTGTAATCCCAGCACTTTGGGACGCCAAGGTGAGTGGGTCACTTGAGGTCAAGAGTTCGAGACCAGCCTGACCAATATGGTGAAACCCTGTTTCTACATAAAAAAAAAAATTAGCTGGGCATGGTGGCTAATCCTGTAATCCCAGCTACTCGGGAGGCTGAGGCAGGAGAATCGCTTGAACCTGGGAGGCGGAGATTGCAGTGAGCCGAGATCGAGCCATTGCACTCCAACCTGGGTGACAGAGGGAGACTCCGTCTCAAAAAAAAAAAAAAAGAAAAAGAAATGCAAACAAATTTAAAATGTCTCTTTTCCAGGTTCTTAGCAAAGATTATATGCAAGTCTGAGATATGCTTGAGTATTCTTAAGTGAATTTTGAATGAGCCTCTTTCATTTAGTGTTTAGAACTTAGTTTAAAAAAGAATGAATATATCATAGTAACTCAAAAAGGCTAACCTAAGTACACTGATTGGAAAAATGTACAGTTTAAATTATATACCAATATGTTATGCTTCTTATTTTCCTAACTGAAATGTAAGCATTTTTTTTAGAGCCAGAGCCAGGGAATGCCTCTTGTTTCTAGTCTTTACTTGCAAAATTTAAATAGTTATAATTATTTGCCCCTTATGATTAAGGAGCTCCTTCCCAAAGCAGCATCTACTCTTAGCTAAATTAAACTCTTTATTTCCAGGCCTGCCTTACATTTGCCTAAAGAAAACAGTTTCTCATATTACCAAAGTTCTTTGACATGTTAAAATTTATATAAATGTTCCAAGAGAGAGCATTGAAGTTGTGGAATGCTGTAGGTTTTAGCACTTATTTTTAAATTGCAGGTTCTTACAGTCAAGTTACATTTCTCTCATCTATTTATAATCAGGATTAAATCTTCTGGCATATCTTTATCCTCTTGATTTTAACACTTAAAGATAGGAAATCTTCAAAAATTTTTTATCATGTACTGGCCCCACAGGTAAAATAAAACTTCGAACATGTTATCTTTAGTATGTCTGTTTATTTATACACCATATATGTACTATTGTTACTATATTATGAAACACAAAAGTAAGCCTTTGGAAAGGATGAGATAATAAAGGTAAAATAATAAATAATTCTAAACTTATACTTACTAAAGATAAAAATCTTTTGCAATATAATTAAATATTAAATATGCTTTTTTTTAAAAATTATGGCTTAACATTTTAATGGTGTGGTTTCTAAGTTTACCTAATTTTAATGGCTCTCAGAACTGAAAGTTATAGTTGACAACAAATGTAGATCCAGGTGGAAGAAGGCCATAATTATGCTTATTAAATAATGATTTATTTTTCAGCTATAGATGTCTATCTTCCCTGATATCAATAATTTATTCTTATAAATCAATGAAAATATTTTTACATATTTTACAATGGGTTAAAAATTATTATTATTATTATTTTTTGAGACGGAGTTTCACTCTTTTTGCCCAGGCTGGAGTGCAATGGCATGATCTTGGCTTACCCCAAACTCCTCCCGAGTTCAAGCGATTCTCCTGCCTCATTCTCCTGAGTAGCTGGGATTACAGGCATGCACCACCACACCCAGCTTTTTGTATTTTTAGTAGAGACGAGGTTTCTCCATGTTGGTCAGGCTGGTCTTGAACTCCCGACCTCAGGTGATCGGCCCACCTTGGCCTTCCATAGCGCTGGGATTACAGGCGTGAGCCACTGCGCCTGGCCCCAAAGTTAAAAATTCTTAGTTTCGAAGACTTTAAGTTAGAAAATTTTGTTTCTGAGACAGATTTTTGGCAACAAAATTTTATAACAATGGTAATATATCCAAACCAAAGGCTCCCTGTATTGCATGAAGGTAGATATACTTGGTATCTTTAGCTGAACTTTGAATGAGCCTCTTTCATTTAGTATTTAGAACCTAATTCAAAAAAGAATGAATAAGTACTTTCTCAGTTGTTTTTTAAATGTCACCTTTACCTTGAAGGACAAGATTAAAAGATTGTGTGTGGTACTTTTTAAAAATATGTTAGCACATTACTGACAACTATTTATTATCACCAGAAAGATAAACTTGAAACTTCAATTTTTTGCTTCAATTTCCATGGTTTGTCTTGGCTTTGAATGATGATATTTCTTCCCTAAAACAAAATTAAATTTTTCTGTTAGACTTTTTGAGAAAATTATAGTAGTTGTATTTTTAAAATTTTTTCTAAATTGAAAAATAGAAATGTGAAGGCAATTTAATAGACTGTTTTTAATTATTAAAGTTTTATAATTCTAAATGAAATATTTGTTTTAGGTTCAGTTCCGGAAGGTGTCTTAGAGGACATTAAAGGTAAACTAAGTTCTCATTTTTGTCCCTTTCATCCTTAAGTGTTACTTTGGAGGGCATATGCTTCTAAACATTTACACAGATAGAAAATATATTCATAATGTAATATCCTAAAAGTATTTAATATATAGGTTATGGGATACTCTAAGTACAAATTCCACTTTTTTTTCACACTTAGGGAAGCTGTGGCATAGTGATGATGTGTTACTGAAGCAGCTTCTCAATTGTATACAGAGTATACAGGGTTACCAGGGAACTAGTATTTTGCAGTGTGAAAGAACAGTTAAATTGCTTAAGAAAGCTACTGGTTTGATGTAGTATAATGTTTTTTACTCTAGTTTTCTTTATACATTTTTCTAAGAACTTCCGGAATTGTGACCAAAGTACTACACAGTACATTGTTTTCACCTAAGTGAGATTTATTGCTTCTACTTTGCTAGGGTGAATTTCTATGATAAAGTTCAAATTGGGTTTTCTGGTATTTTTATTCACTAAAATAAAATACATTTAAAATATAATCTTCAATACTTGGCATGTCATTAATGTTAATAATTTAGGATGTTTAATAGATAGACAGTAATGGATTTTAGAGTTAAATGAGAGCTGGAGATAATCTAATACAGTTGGGGCTGTGAAATGTTATTTGTCCAGTGTCACACAAGTAGGTAGGGTTAGAGCTCAGGCTACAAAATAGATCTTGCTTTCCATTATATTACCTATTATTTTTTATGTGTTTTAATTACCTAAATTCTTTTCAATTGTTATAAAATTTCAATCATTTGTAATGCTTATTACAGTAGTTCAAATAATACAGAAATATCTCAGGTAAAATGGTTTCCTTTCCTCTCTTCCATTTCTATCCTCCGTGATATAACAGTTGTTGACCATGTGGAGTGTTTTCTTTTCATATGACCTCCAACCTGTGAAAAGATGTGTAACTCTTCCATTAGTCAGGGAGACATCAGATTGGCAAAAATTTGAAAGACATCTGGTATTAGTGAGATTGTAGGAAAATGGATGTTTATTGTTAGTAGTAAGGATTGCAAACTAACCTTTTTGGAAAGCAATCTGGCATATTTATGAAAATTCAAAGTGTTGTATCCCATCTAAAAAGTGTTATTGCATGAAGTTTGCTAACTTCATTATAAGGAATGTTATGTAGCTGTTAAGAGCTAGAGTATTGTTTTGGAAGAAGGTCCATAATGTTAAGGAAGAAAGCATGTTGTTGAAGGTATGTTCAGTAGAAACCCTTTCTGTTAAAAACAAATATGCAGGGGCTGGGCACGGTGGGTCATGACTGTAATCCCAGCACTTTGGGAGGCCGAGGTGGGCGGATCACGAGGTCAAAAGATCGAGACCATTCTGGCCAACATGGTGAAACCCCGTCTCTACTAAAAAGTACAAAAATTAGCTGGGCGTGGTGGCACTCGCCTGTAGTCCCAGCTACTCAGGAGGCTGAGGCAGGAGAATTGCTTGAACCTGGGAGGCGGAGGTTGCATTGAGCCAAGATCGCGCCACTGCACTCCAGCCTGGCAACAGAGCGAGACTCTGTCTAAAAAAAAAAAAAAAAAAAAAAATATATGCAGGCTGGGTGTAGTGGCTGGCCCCTGTAATCCCAGCACTTTGGGAGGCCAAGGCAGGTGAATCACTAGAGCCCAGGAGTTCAAGACCAGCCTGGACAACGTGATGAACCCTGTCTCTACAAAAAATACAAAAATTAACCAGGTGTGGTGGTACAGACCTATAGTCCCAGCTATTTAGAGGGGCTGAGGTGGGAGGATCACTTGAGCCTGGGATCTCCTGGTGGAGGCTGCAGTGAGGCAAGTTCAGACCACTGCACTCTAGCTTGGGTGACAGAGCAAAACTGTCTCAAAAGAAAACAAAAACAAAAACTAATATGCAGCATACACATATTCATTGTATTGTGTGATCTTGAACTGGGATGCAGAGGTTGCAGTGAGCCAAGATCACGCCATTGGACTCCAGCGTGGATGACAGAGTGAAACTCTGTCTCAAAAAAATAAAAATAAAACTACAAAAAATTAACCAGGCATGGTGGTGCACACCTGTAGTCCCAGCTACTTGGGAGGCTGAGGTAGGAGGATCACTTGAACCCCAGAGGCGGAGGTTGCAGTGGGCTAAGATTGCGCCACTGCACTCCAGCCTGGGCAAGTCAGTCTCGACTCCATCTCAAAAACAAAAAAAAGATCTCAAGGCTAGGTATTTACTTTGCTTAGATAGTCACGAGAACTTGAATAAAATATAAAACATATAAGTAGCTTTAGTGCCTAGCTCACTGTCTAGCATAGTAGCATATTGTGGATTCTCAACACATGTGTTTTGAATTTGTGAATGAAATTCACTACATAATGTATTATGAAAAGAATTGTGTATAATATATATCATATCAATATGCATTATATATATTATACACAATTCTTTTCATAATATATGGCTAACATGCTTTACAAGTAATACAACCAAGTTGTCAGATTTCTTGCATTTAACATCAATTTTGTCTCTACTTTAAAAAAGGTATTCCTTAACTACCTTGAAATAATTTTAAGCAGCTTATTGTAAAAAATACTTTGCAATAGAATTTTTAAAAGAAAAAGTTTTCAAAATGCAAAAAGTAAAGTGATATAGTAGAAAGAAAGTGGTAGTGTTGGGGTGTGCTAATGAGGAACAATCATTACAAAAAGCCCAAAATTAAGGAATGTTAAATTGCAACTAAGAGCAAAATTTGGCATTGTACCAGCCAGGCGCAGTGGCCCATGCCTGTAATCCCAGCACTTTGGGAGGCCAAGGCAGGTGGATCACTTGAGGTCAGGAGTTCGAGACCAGCCTGACCAATATGGCGAAACCCTGTCTCTACTAAAAATACAAAAATTAGCTGGGCATGGTGGCGTGTGCCTGTAATCCCAGCTACTTGGGTGGCTGAGGTATGAGAATCGCATGAACTCAGGAGGCGGAGGTTGCATTGTGCCGAGATCACGCCACTGCACTCCAGTCTGGGCAATAGAGTGAGACTCTGTCAGAAAAAAAAAAAAAAAAAAAAAAATTGGCGTTGTGTTCTGACCAACCAACATTTTTATTAATTTTATTTCTTTTTTTTTCCAATTTCTTTTTGGTAACATCTTTTCACAACAAGTTTCCTTAAAAAGAATCAGACAGAGAGAGGGAGAAAGAAAATCTGGTTTAAAGAAATATGCTATTCAGTTAGAATAGCTACATTTTTATGATGGTAAAATTAATTTTTATTGTGGTCCTCCTTATACAAGAGATATCAAACAACAGTTTCCTCAAAGGTGATTTTTTTTAAATGAGGTTTTATACAAGATGAATGTACAACATGTTTTATGACACCTTAGTCAATGAAAAAGGTTGTTTTTTTGTTTTGTTTTGTTCTGGTTTGTTTTTTTTCTTTGAGATGGAGTTTCACTTTTGTTGCCCAGGCTGGAGTGCAGTGGCGCGATCTCGGCTCACTGCAACCTCCACCTCCCGGGTTCAAGCAATTCTCCTGCCTCCTCCTCCGGAGCAGCTGGGATTACAGGCACCCGCCACCACGCCCGGCTAATTTTTTGTATTTTTAGTAGAGATGGGGTGTCGCCCTGTTGGGCAGGCTGGTCTCGAACTCCTGACCTCAGGTGATCCGCCTGCCTCGGCCTCCCAAAGTGCTGGGATTACAGGCAAGAGCCACTGCACCTGGCCAAAACAGGTTTTTTAATGAACAAATTATTGTTAGCTAACTAAAGATGGGAATAGAGTTTATAAAATCCAAAGGAATAGATGATGAGCATGTTCACTTGAATAGAATTGTTTTAACTGGGGTGTAGGTACACTCTGTTCAATTATAATAACTAGCCATAATAAGGTCTCCTTTTCTTCCTTAAAGCGCGTACTTGCTTTGTAAGTGATCTGAAGCGAGGACTAAAAATCCAAGCAGCAAAATTTAATATTGATGGGAATAATGAGGTAAGTTTAAAAAAAAAAAAGGCATCTTTTTGCAAAGGTTACAACATGTGTGGACTTATGTTTATGATATTTATATTTCAGCGTCCCTCCCCACCCCCAAATGTTGACTATCCATTAGATGGAGAGAAGATTTTACATATCCTTGGATCAATCAGGTTAGATCTTAAATTTTTACGGCAAAGTAGTAAACTAAAATAAACTTTTGGCTTTTAAAAATATTTGTATGAGCCTTTATTTCACTATTGCCATTTTAACAGTTCAGTGTTTATTGTTAAGCCTCATTATTCATGATTAATTTTATTCAGCTTTTTTTTTTTGAGACAAGGTCTTGCTGTGTTGCCCAGGCTGGAGTGCAGTGGCACGATCTCGGCTCACTGTAACCTTCATCTCCTAGGTCCAAGCAATTCTCCTGCCTCAGCCTCCCAAGTAGCTGGGATTACAGGTGCCTGCCACCATGCCTGGCTAATTTTTGTATTTTTTAGTAGAGACAGGTTTCCGCCATGTTAGCCAGGTTGGTCTCAAACTCCTGACCTCAGGTGATCCGCCTACCTTGGCCTCCAGCAGTGCTGAGATTACAGGCATGAGCCACTGTGCCCGGCCTATTCAGCTTTTTAAATTTTTAAAAATAAAAAAAAAATTATCTCCTATTTATCAAGGTAATTGAGAATTAGTTCTCATAAATACAAGAATTAGCCACCACCATGACTGGCTAATTTTTGTATTTTTAGTAGAGATGGGTTTCACCATGTTGGCAAGGCTGGTCTCGAACTCCTGACCTCAGGTGATCCACCCGCCTTGGCCTCCCAAAGTGCTGGGATTACAGGCGTGAGCCACCACGCCTGGCTGGTAGTTCACACTTGCAACCCCAGCACTTTGGGAGGTGGAGGTTGGAGGATATCTTGAGCCCAAAAATTCATGAAACTAACCATTCTTTGAAGTGGGGCAGGAAGTATGACACTTTAAAACAGGGGTTAGCAAAATATTTCAGTAAAGGACCAGACAGTAAATAGCTCAGGCTTGGCCGGGCGCAGTGGCTCATGCCTGTAATCCCAGTACTTTGGGCAGATCACCTGAGGTTGGAAGTTCGAGACCAGCCTGACCAACAAGGAGAAACCGAGTCTCTACTAAAAATACAAAATTAGCCAGCTGTGGTAGCACATGCCCGTAATCCCAGCTACTCAGGAGGCTGAGGCAGGAGAATTGCTTGAACTCAGGAGGCAGAGGTTGTGGTGAGCCGACATCGCACCATTGCACTCCAGCCTGGGCAACAAGAGCAAAACTCCATCTCAAAAAAAAAAAAAAATTGCTCAGGCTTTATGGGTCCATATGGTCTCTGTTGCAACTACTCAACTCTATAGTTGGAATACAAAATTAGCCATAGATAATATTTAAATGAGTGAGCATGACTGTGTTCCGGTAAAACTATATGCAAAAACAGGTGGTGGCTGTATTTCATTCTCAGGCCATAGTTTGCTGACTGCTGCTTTAAAACTTTTTGTTAGAAAGAATGCATTTTTCCAAATATACTCAGTCTTTAGGACTTAGTAATTCACCGTTTATTGATTTGACTATTCTGTCTGATGATCCAATATAAGTTGTTGTTAAGACTTACATAATCATATTAGTAACAATATAACATTTGTTTATAATGCAACTTTATAAAATTTATATTATAAAAGTTTCCTTGTAAAATATAAGGTCAGAAGATACACAAAAAATTATTATGTAATGTATTGAACATCCTATTAGGTTTTGAGTAATGTAGAACTTGAAGTATTAAAAGAATGAACATAAATACACAGAAGTTAAAGGCAGTAGGACAGGGTAGCAAAAGAGTAAGAATGTAGTACTTTTTGCTAGCTATTTTTATATCATTTTAATCTCTTATTTAAGTTATATTTATTAAATTACTTTTTAAAATTTTCTCCTGATTGTTTATTGAATCTCAGTATAAAAGAAGAAGATAACTACTTAAAGAAATACAGAGGCCAGGCATGGTAGTTCACACTTCTTTTTTTTTTTTTCTTGAGACGGAATTTTTGCTCTTTTCCCCCAGGCTGGAGTGCACTGGCGCGGTCTCGGCTCACTGCAGCCTCCTTCTCCTGGGTTCAAGCAATTCTCATGCCTCAACCTCCCAAGTAGCTAGGATTACAGGCGCCCATCACCATGACTGGCTAATGTTTGTATTTTTAGTAGAGATGGGTTTCACCATGTTGGCAAGGCTGGTCTCGAACTCCTGACCTCAGGTGATCCACCCACCTTGGCCTCCCAAAGTGCTGGGATTACAGGCGTGAGCCACCGTGCCTGACTGGTAGTTCACACTTGCAACCCCAGCACTTTGGGAGGTGGAGGTGGGAGGATACCTTGAGCCCAAAAGTTCAAGACCCTGCCTCTACAAAAAAAAATTTTTTTTTAATTAGCCAGGCATAGTGGTACACATCTATAGTCCTAGCCTTTAGGAAGCTGAGGTGGGAGGATCACTTGAGCCCAGGAGTTTGAGGTTACGGTGATCTATGATTGTACCACTGTACTTCAGCCTGGGCAACAGAGTGAGACCCCATCTCTTTTTTTCTCTTATTAAAAAAATTTTTTTGTAGAGATAGAGTCTCACTGTGCTGCCCAGTTGGTCTCAAACTCCACTCAAGCAATCCTCCCACCTTGCCCTCCCAGAGTGTTGGGATTACAGGCATGAGCCACCGCCCTGGGCTCCCCATCTCTATTTTCTTTAAAAAAAAAAAAAAAAAAGGAAATTCAATGAACATGGAATTGTTGGTTCCAAAATAATAGGAAAATGCTAATGTGAATAAAGGAAGCCAGTATGTCTTACTTTCCAAACCCAATTAATTTACGTTTACTAACATGTTTTTTGTGTTTTGTTTTTTTGTGTGTTTTTTGTTTTGTTTTGTTTTGTTTTTTGAGGTGGAGTTTCACTCTTGTTGCCCAGGCTGGAGTGCAATGATGTGGTCTCGGCTCACCACAACCCCCACCTCCCGGGTTCAAGCAATTCTCCTGCCTCAGCCTCCCAAGTAGCTGGGATTACAGGCATGCGCACCATGCCCAGCTAATTTTTGTATTTTTAGTAGAGACGAGGTTTCTCCATGTTAGTCAAGCTGGTCTCGAACTCCCGACCTCAGGTGATCTGCCTGCCTTGGCCTCCCAAAGTGCTGGGATTACAGGTGTGAGCCACCGCACCCAGCCTAACATGTTGTTTCTACCAAAAGGTATAGTTCCATTGAAACCTTCTAATTAGACACAATACTGACCAGTAGTTGGTTGGTGAAGCAAAAAAAGGGTTATTTAAAGGAAAGGACCATTATAAAAAATCGTATACTAAACATTTTATTTTAACTTAAAATTTGTGTGTATTTATGTTTTTCCAAGACCTTTTATTTGAGGCTAAGTCTGCTTATAGAGTGCTGACTTAAAATTATATAAACCAGTAATTCATAATTTATGATTTCCAGCTTTTTTTTTTTTTTTCTTTTTATAAGTACAGTAAGAGCTTAAAGTTACTAGGAATCAGTCTTGGTACAGAATCCATCTAGTTGGCTGGGCGTGGTGGCTCATGCTTGTAATCCCAGCATTTTGGTAGGCCAAGGCGGGCGGATCACTTGAGGTCACGAGTTTGACACCAGCCTGGCCAACATGGTGAAACCCCATCTCCACTAAAAATAAACAGAATCCATCTAGTTATTTTCTTCTAGACTTTTACAGTTGTCTCACCTGTTACAAATATTTTTAAAAATGAACTTGTCTTTCCAAAGCTTTCAACATTCATAGAAAGAACAACTTGTTTTCTACCTTAATATTTCACTGGTTAAGTAATAATTGTTAAGTTATGTAATTTTAATATCAAATCAGCTGACAAAAGATTGGGAAAAAGAAGAGTGACTCTTTGTAAGCATGCAGCTCAACTGGTGGAAGAAGTCTGCAGGCATAGTGGCAAGGGCCTGACCAGCTATGCCCGTTCAGCATACTGCAGGCCTCAGTTAGTATACTTTAGTGGTGAAGTGGAAAAAATTAGCTAGTAGATTGAGTCTCATGAAGAGGATTTTATGTTTTGAAAAGGATTTTTAAAAGCTTTAAAATAGTTATGCATAATATCCCAATTTTATAAAAAATAGAGTTTATACCTGTATATGTATAGTTAATTTTGTATTGCATTGGTTAGGATTGGTTTGGCCACAGTTATACAAACCTGAAAATAGTGGCTTCAACAACTTAGAAGTTTATCTCATTTAAAAGAAGTTCAAGGCTGGGCGCAGTGGCTCACACCTGTAATCCCAGCACCTTGGGATGCCAGTGCTGTTGGATTGCTTGAGCCTGGGATGTAGAGGTTGTGGTGAGCTGAGATTGTGCCATTGCACTCCAGCTTGGGCAACAGGGCAAGACCCTATCTCAAAAAATTTGAAATTAAAAGAAAAGAAGTTCAGAGGTAGATCATCCAGGGACAATATTATCATCTCATATTAGAGACCCAAACATCTTTCCATCTATCATCTCTGAGATATAGCCCTTATCCTTGAGGTCCAGGATGGCTGTTGGAGTTGTAGCTACCACGTTTTTGTTTCAAGCAAGTAGTCCTAAGAAGGGAAAGAAGGAAGTACTTAACTCTTAATTGAAAGTCCAACATAGGCCGGGTGCGGTGGCTCTTGCCTATAATCCCAACACTTTGGGGAGGCTGAGGCGGGCAGATCGCTTGAGGCCAGGAGTTCGAGACCAGCCTGGCCAACATGGCAAAACCCCGTCTCTACTGAAAATATACAAAAAATTAGCTGGGCGTGGTGGCACAGGCCTGTAATCACACCTACTTGGGAGGCTGAGACATGAGAATTGCTTGAACCTGGGAGGCTGATCCGGGATCACACCATTGCACAGAGCGAGACTCTGTCTCAAAAGGGAAAAAAAAAAAGTCCGACATATTACTTTTGCCTACATCTCATTGACTGGTACTTAACTACATCTAGTTGCAAGACAGACTTTTTTTTTTTTTTTTTTTTTTTTTTTTTTTTTTTTTTAAAGAGATGAGGTCTCACTGTGCTGCTCAGGCTGGTCTTGAATTCCTGGCCTCAAGCCATTCCCCTGCTCTGCCTCAGCCTCCTGAAATGCTGGGATTATAGGCATGAGCCATTGCATCTGGCCAAAGGCTGGTAAATACAATGTTTTAACTAGTGGGATGGGGTGGAGGCACAATATATCCAGCTTAAAAATGGAGTTTTATCTTTTTTTATTTTCAAATCCTACAGATAAACAGGCAGTTGTAAAAGATAATACAGAGAGGTCCCATATACCCTTTCAGTTTCTCCCAATGGTTAAACATCTTATATAACTATAATATGATATCAAAACTAGTAAATTGGCATTGGCATAAAATATATGTCAGTTCTGTGTTATTTTATCATGTGTGAGTTCTACAGTCACTACAACAATGGAGATATAGAACTATTGCCAGACAGAAAGAAAAATACTGCTTGATCTCACTTATATGTGGAATCAAAAAAAAAAGTCAAATATCTAGAAACAGAGTAAAACAGTGGTTGTTAGGAGTTGGGAGGGGAAGGAAATGAGGAGAGGGTCAAAGGACACAAACTTGCAGTTATGAGTGATGAATAAACCTAGAGATCTAATGTACAGCATGAGGACTTTAGTTAGTAACACTATTCTATACTGAAAATTTGCTAAGAATAGATTTTGGGGCCGGGCGCAGTGGCTCACGCCTGTAATCCTAGCACTTTGGGAGGCCGAGGTGGGCGGATCACGAGGTCAGGAGATCGAGACCATCCTGGCTAACACGGTGAAACCCCGTCTCTACTAAAAATACAAAAAATTAGCCGGGCGCGGTGGCGGGCACCTGTAGTCCGAGCTATTCAGGTGGCTGAGGCAGGAGAATGGCGTGAATCCAGGAGGCGGAGCTTGCAGTGAGCCGAGATCACGCCACTGCACTCCAGCCGGGGCAACAGAGCAAGACTCTGTATCAAAAAAAAAAAAAAAAAGAATAGATTTTGGGTGCTCTTACTACTTATGGAAGGTGATGGATAAGTTAGTTTGCTTGAATGTAGTAATTACTTCATTATGTGTGTATATATATGTATATATCAAACTATGTTGTGTACCTTAAATATATATATAATTTTTAAAAAAATATGGAACTCTTTCATCACCACAGAGATCTTCCTCATGCTACCAAAAAGAAATAGAGTAATTTTAATTTGAGATTAAACTGGAAAATGGATATTTTATTAAGCAACTAGTGATCCTTGTATTATTTTAAAAAACAAAGAAATGGGGGGTGATTGCTTATAAATCTCTTGTATCACTAGCTAATCTGCTTATTGAATCTTACTAACTTTCATAGAATACTATTTCTTTTCTCTTATTAGGTTTGGGGAGTTATAATTGGACACAAAATAAATGTAAATCTATACATAATAATAGTAACAGCTAATAATTTAGGGAATGCCTCCTATGTGCCAGACCCTGTTCTATTAACTCATTGCATCTTCACCTCAAACCCTGTGAGGCAGGCATTGTTATCCTCTCCATTTACAAATGAGAACACCTTGTATTTTAATAATTATTCTTTGTTAATGTAGTATTGGTACTTAAAAATACTATGTAAATGGAAATAATGGTGTATTCTGTGTAATATTATAATACGTGACACCAACAGAAAGCTCTCTTTTTCAAATCCCATTAGAGATTCAGTTGTGGAAATTCTTTTTGAACAAGATAATGAAGAGCAATCAGTTGCCACTTTAATATTGGATTCCCTTATACAGGTATTTTATCTTGTCAAAAAATTCCCTTTATTACCACAGTCCTTTAAATATAAATTTTAAATGTTATTTTAGGCAACTAGCAATCCTTGTCACATATTATTTTTAATATGTGTCAACAACTAATCTGCTTATTAAATTTTATTAATTTTTACAGAATACGGTCCTTTTTTAACTTTTTAAACTTTCATTTTAAAATTTTATAGTTCATGAGTTTTACTCTGGCACTGAGAAATGGCATCTACAACATTCCAAACCCCAGGATAATGAGTGCCATGGACATGTGCTTTTTTTTTTTTTTGAGACAAAGTCTCGCTCTGTCACCCAGGCTGGAGTGCAGTGGCGCGATCTCAGCTCACTGCAGCCTCTGCCTCCCGGGTTCAAGTGATTCTCCTGCCTCAGCCTCCTGAGGAACTGGGATTACAGGCACCCACCACCTTGCCCAGCTAATTTTTGTATTATTTAGAGACAGGGTTTCGCCATGTTGGCCAGGCTGGTCTTGAACTCCTGACCTTGTGATCCGCCCGCCTCGGCCTCCCAAAGTGCTGGGATTACAAGCGTGAGCCACCGCACCTGGCCTTTTTTTTCTCTTTTTTTGACAGTGTTGCTCTTGTTGCCCAGGCTGGAGTGCAATGGCATGATCTCAGCTCAGCACAACCTCCGCCCCCGGGTTCAAGTGAGTATCCTGCCTCAGCTTCCCGAGTAGCTGGGATTACAGGCATGTGCCACCATGCCTGGCTAATTTTGTATTTTTGGTAGAGATGGGGTTTCTCCATGTTGGTCAGGCTGGTCTTGAACTCCCGACCTCAGGTAATCCACCTGTCTCGGCCTCCCAAAGGGCTGTACAGGCGTGAGCCACCAAACCCAGTGACATGTGCATTCTTTTAAGACCAGGGACCAGATTTTTATTTTGTACCTAGTGTGGCTTGTGGTTCCTTCCAATTCAGGGTTGTATAGTATTCAATTTTAAATTCCACAGGACATATGGTAATAATATGTCTCTTTCGTTTAATGACTATGTAATTATAGGACTTCGCATGAAATACCATTGCCTTGGAAGATATGTTTACCTCTAGGGCTCCATTCATTGAAGGACCTTATCATCGCTAACTCTTAAAGAGAACTGATGTAGAACCATAATTTTTCTAGGAGTGTTATCTTCCCACTTAACAACTGGCACTGTGAATACACCTTAGAAAAATTAAATTTCTACATATTTCACTTATCCCAAAAAAGAGAAGTTATTTCTTCTCATGCTCTTTGCCCTACTTAATCATTGCTACCCTGACAGTGAGAACACTCACATATGCCCTATGGAATGTAAAATTCTATGCTTTTAGACTTTAAACTATTTTAAAATCTTTAAAGTTTATGTATATATTTGGCAGTATGTTTATGGTGGTTATATTTGCTACATGAAAGAAACCTTGCTGTGGCCCTTTTTGCGATACAAACGATCACCTGTTTAATCTGTAGTATAATAATAATATGTATAATAATAGTATATTTATGTATATTTTCTTAAGTTCAATCAAGCATTATTTGTACAGTTCAGAATAAATCCTTCTTTTTTTCTTTTTAATAACAGTGTCCGATAGACACCAGGAAGCAACTAGCAGAGAATTTGGTAGTCATAGGTGGCACTTCTATGTTGCCAGGATTTCTCCACAGATTGCTTGCAGAAATAAGGTATTTGGTAGAAAAACCAAAATATAAAAAAGCACTTGGCACTAAGACATTTCGAATTCATACTCCACCTGCAAAAGCTAATTGTGTGGCCTGGTTGGGAGGTAAGAATTTCACTTTTAAAATATAATGATTATATAGTATTTGGTCTCTGAATGACACTATTAATGGATATATTAGAATAAATAATTCAGGGTTCAGAATTGCCCACTTTATAAATAGAACTAACACTGACTTTTTCTTTTTTTTTTTTTTTTTTTTTTTTTTTGAGACGGAGTCTCACTCTGTCGCCAGGCTGGAGTGCAGTGGTGGTGCGATCTCGGCTCACTGCAGCTTCCGCCTCCCGGGTTCAAGCAATTCTGCTGCCTCAGCCTCCTGACTAGCTGGGACTGCAGGCGTGCACCACCACGCCCAGCTAATTTTTGTATTTTTAGTAGAGACGGGGTTTCACCATGTTGGCCAGGATGGTCTCGATCTCTTGACCTCGTGATCCACCCACCTTGGCCTCCCAAAGTGCTGGGATTACAGGCATGAACCACCATGCCCAGCTGACTTTTTCTTAAATTGTATTAATTTTCAGAATTTTATACCTATTTCTCTTGGCATTTGCACCGTGATATTAAGTAAACGTTCTCATTTAGTTAAAGTCATCCCTCAAAATAGTGAAAGCTATGAATTTATTCCAGTGATGCTACCATTTCTTTCTTTCTTTTTTTTTTTTTTTGAGACGTTTCATCTTTGTTGCCCGTCCAGCTGGAGTGCTATAGCGTGATCCCAGCTCACCGCAACCTCTGCCTCCCAGGCTCAAGCAATCCTCCTGCCTCAGCCTCCCTAGTAGCTGGGATTATAGGCGCCCGCCACCACGCCTGGCTAAGTTTTTTGTATCTTTAGTAGAGACAGGGTTTCTCCATGTTGGTCAGGCTGGTCTCAAACTCCTGACCTCAGGTGATCCGCCCGCCTCTGCCTCCCAAAGTGCTGGGATTACAGGTGTGAGCCACCGCCCCTGGCTTACCATTTCTTAAAATGTTCATTTTAATGTCTTCTAAAGCTAGTGAGCCACATATGAAAATTGGCCTCTTTAATTTATGAGTATATTTGTGACTGAGTTCATTAAATGTTTTAAGTAGTGATGGTTTCACTGAAATAAGCAATTAACCTAATAAGTACAGTTGACCCTTGAACAACATGGGTTTGAATTATGTGGGTCCACTCATATGCTGTTTTTTAGGAAATATGCTAGAAAAATTTTGGAGATTTGCAACAATTTGAAAAAACATAGACAAACCATGTAGCCTAGAAATATCAAAAAAATTAAGAAAAAGATACATCATGAATGTATAAAAATATATATACAGATACTGGGCTGTTTATGTGTTAATCGACTATTCATGTTATTGGTAAGACTTCTCAGTCAACAGTAGACTATTGGTAGTTAAGTTTTCGGGGAGTCAAAAATTATACATGGATTTTCAACTGCTTGGGGGTCCACACCCCTAATCCCTGCATTGTTCAAGGATCAGCTGTAACTACTTTGAAGGGAAAAACAATCATGAATATGTACATTTATACAGGTTCTGATATGTGTTTTATGATGCAGTTAGAGCTAGAAGGTATCAGGATTGTGCATTTAGAGAAAGAGTAGTATGACATTTTAAAATGAATGTTACATTATTTCTTGTAAAATAGAATTTGGTCAAAACGTAGTTTTGATCTAGGACAAATTGATTTAGTAATGGAATTGTTTTTAAAAGACTGCCTTGTGGGTCTTAATAAGGTCTTCAGTATAGTATGTTAGGACATTATGATGATGTTTATTGGGTTTTGCAGTACCATTTTATTTATTGATATGTAACCTTAGTTGTGAGAGAGAAAACTCAGAATCTTATTGATTGTATTTACACAAAGTTGAAAATACTTTCACTCCACTCTATCTCACTTGCTTTTAAATGCAATAATACTTGTTATCATATTCACTATTATCTGCTAAAGGCCATTTCAATTACTTTAACATGGAGTTATGGCTTACCCTGTTATTCAAAATGTAAAATAAAGAATGGCTTAACTGGAATTACTTTGAAGATTGTGGCTATGCATTGCTGAATTTTACCAGTCCACTTTTGTCATATAGTGAAGTAGATGTATGTGTACATAAAGTTTTCTGGTAAAAGTTTTCATCTTAGCTATAAAAAATATTTTTGTCACACAGGGGCTATTTTTGGAGCATTACAAGATATACTTGGGAGCCGTTCTGTTTCAAAGGAATATTATAATCAGACGGGCCGTATACCTGATTGGTGTTCTCTCAATAACCCACCTTTGGAAATGATGTTTGATGTCGGGAAAACTCAACCACCTCTGATGAAGAGAGCATTTTCCACTGAGAAATAGAAGTTTGATTAAAAATCAACCTTGCTTCATATCAAATATTTAACCAATTATAAGCAAATTGTACAAAGTATGTAGGATGTTTTGTTATAGAGGACTATAGTGGAAGTGAAAGCATTCTGTGTTTACTCTTTGCATTAATATATAATTCTTTTGACTTTGTTTCTCTTGTGTAGTGGTAAAATGGTAGCTGGTGCTTATTGAGATTTGCTGTATTTATATCAATAAAGTATAGTAAAGCAGTTTGATTTTGGAAGTTTGTTATGTGGCTTTTTTTTTTTTTTTTTTTTTGAGACGGAGTCTCGCTCTGTCACTTAGGCTGGAGTGCAGTGGCACAATCTCTACTCATTGCAAGCTCCGCCTCCCGGGTTTACGCCATTCTGTCTCAGCCTCCTGAGTAGCTGGGACTATAGGCATACGCCACCCCGCCCGGCTAATTTTTTGTATATTTAGTAGAGACGGGGTTTCACCATGTTAGCCAGGATGGTCTCAATTTCCTGACCTCGTGATCCACCCTCCTCGGCCTCCCAAAGTGTTGGGATTACAGGCGTGAACCACTGTACCAGCCTATGTTGCTTGTCTTTCAAAAAGAACAGTATTTCTCCACAGTTCACATAACCTGTTCTGGGCTCATTAATTGTGTTTCCAGCAGTTACTCCATTTAAAGCATAAATAGTGTTAACCATTACCAGTTATTTCAAATACTAACATGGGTCCATTTAAAAAAAATATTTATTTTGGTACTTGGGTGTCCATATTATAATAATGTTGTTTTTCCAGAAATATATTTGATCTTTGGACTGAGAATGTTTGGTAACATAGTCAAGCATTTGTTAAGCCAAGTGTGGAAATGTTCACTTTTTAACTTTACAGTTTTTTTAATGAGCAATTCTACATTTCTAAGAAAAAAGATACTTCATTTTTATATAAGGTTACAACTGCTTTATAAAAATGTATTCACAATGTCATTAATCTTTGCGTTTGTGCTTTATATCTTCTCAGGGCAGAGGTTCTTGAAATATGTACTCAATCATTTAACTTTTATTTTATTTTTTCATTTGTTTTTAATGAACTACCTCTTGTTGAAATTTTGCTGGCTTCATTCTTTCGGGATACCTGTGTCCTCTAGTCCTACCGCTCTTCCATAGCACTCTTTCCTTAAGCACAGTATCCATAATTGGGGCACTTCTAACTTTTACCTTGTAATCGTTTCAACAGAGGTTTTATCTTCTTTTCTGGAATATAAGCTCTCGTAGAACAAGGCTTGTCTATTTCTTAACTTTGAAACCTCCCAGGAGGATTGCCAGGAATAGGTATACTATTATTTGCCAATTGGATGGATTTACTATTTTATTAACATTATCTCTTTTTTCAGTAAACATGAACTTTACATTTATATTGACCTCATATTTTGGTGAATTTAGATTATTTATGAGAAGTTTTCATCATTGAATAATATCAAAAACAGGATCTGTGACTGAAATAGAGCTTTAAAACTAGCTATAAAGTAGCAGACAACTAGTGGCTGAAGTTAAGGAATGTAGCCCTCTGTTATAGGTTGAATTATGTCCCTCAAAAAGATAGGTTGAAGTCCCAACCCCTGTACCTTGTGAACGTGACCTTATTTGGAAATAGAGTTGCAGATGTAGTCAAATTAACATGCGATCATTAGGGTGGCGCCCCGATCCAGTAAGACTGGCATCTTTATAAGAAGAGGAAGCCGGTTGTGGCGGCCCATCCCTGTAATCCCAGCAGTTTGGGAGGCTGAGGCGGGTGGATCACTTAAGGTCAGGAGTTCAAGACCAGCCTGGCCAACATGGTGAAACCCTATGTTTACCAAAAATACAAAAATTAGCCAGGTGTGGTCCTGTATGCCTGTAATCCCAGCTACTCCAGAGGCTGAGGCAGGAGGATTGCTTGAACCCGGGATGCGGAGGCTGCAGTGATCCAAGATCACGCTACTGCACTCCAGCCTGGGTGACAGAGTGAGACCCTGTCTCAAAAAAACAAAAAAAAACCCTAAGGAAAGCCATGCCTAACATATTCCAGGATTGACAAGGAGACCAATTTGGCTTGTGTAGAGTGAGTAAGGAGAAGAAAAGCAATAGTAGATGGGGGAGTGGGTGGATATCTTGTAAGGATACATCTTACTGAGTAAAACAGGGTGCCCTTGGAGGGTTTTGAGTGGAATGACAAGATCTGGCTTGTTTATACCGGATTATTCTGGATGTTGCATTAAGAATAGAGTTTAGAGAGACAAACTGAAGCAGGAAAATCAGTTATGAAACCATTGCAGTAATCCCAGTGAGATGATGTTTTAAGCCAAGGTGCTAGCAGTAAAGATGAGAAGCCTGATTCTGGATACATGGAAGGTAGACCAACAGGATTTCCTGATAGATCTTATGTGGGTGTTTCAGTTACCTATTGCTATGTAACAAACTTCTAAAAGTTAGTAGCTTAAAACAATATGAATTGTATTTGCTTATGGTTTTGTGGGTCAGAATTCAGGCAAGACTCAGGTGAGCAGTTCTGTTCCACGTAGTATGAGCTGGAGATAGCCACCTGGCTGTATTTAATTGGTGTGCTGGGATGGAAGGTCTAGGACAGCCTTGTTTACAAGTCTCAGTGTCAGTGCTCTCCACATGCCTTCTCTGTCTTCCACATGCTTCTCTCCACATGGCTGGCTTAGGCTCCCTCAGCATGGTGGTCTCAGAATACTGATTTGTTACTTGGCAGCTTGGATCCAAACTCCATTGTGTGAGTTCTCCTCAAGACACTGTTTGCATCATGCTTTCTGTTGTCCTATTAGCCAAAGTTAGTCACATGGCCAAGCTCACAGTCAATATGGGAGGGGAATATTGAAAGACACTTTCACAATGGGGTTGGAGAGATAGGAATCAATAATGTTTCCAATATTTTTCATCCATGCAACTAGAAGGATGGTGTTACCGTTAATGGAGAAAAAAAGGAAAACTACAGGAGAAACAAGTTTTGGGGCAAAGATCAAGAATTAGTTTTTGTACATGTTAAGTATGAGATATCTACTAAACATCCAAATGGATATAGATGTTTGATATTTAAGAGAGAGATCTGGGCTGTCTTAAAAGTTTTGAATCGGCCGGGCACGGTGGCTCAAGCCTGTAATCCCAGCACTTTGGGAGGCCGAGGCAGGTGGATCACTCGAGGTCAGGAGTTCGAGACCAGCCTGACCAATATGGTGAAATCCTGTCTCTACTAAAAATACAAAAATTAGCCGGGTGTGGTGGCGGGTGCCTGTAGTCCTAGCTATTCGGGAGGTTGAGACAGGAGAATTGCTTGAACCCGGGAGGCGGCAGTTGCAGTGAGCCAAGATCATGCCACTGCACTCCAGCCTGGGCGACAGAGTGAGACTCCGTCTCAAAAAAAAAAAAAAAAAAAAAAGTTGTGAATCATCAGCAAGTATCACAATTGAAACTGTGAGATCACCAAGTGCATGAGTGTGGATAGAGAAGGGGACCAAGGACTCACCCATCGATGGAGCACTCCCAAGTGAAGAGATAGGAGAGAAAGGAAGTAGCTGGTGAGATAGGGTAGAAAACAAGAAAGCGTTAGTGTGCTGGAAGCCAAGGGGGAGATGTGGATCCAGCATGGAGTGATAAAATTTGTAACAAATTTCTGATACTCCAAGTAAATTAGGACTTGCAATTAACAATTCGATTTTGTGGAGATGAATGATGACCTTTTCATGTACAGTTTAGTAGACTAGTGGGGTGTGCCGGGAGGGACGGAAAGTCCTGACTAGGGTGGGTTGAGAAGAGCAAGAAGTGCCTGACATCTGGGAACTAATCTAACACAAGTAAGCCTCAATGCTATTACAGATTGATATGACGCTTTCGGCAAACTATGCTTTTCTTCTGTTTTTCACATAACATACACTTCAGACAAGTTGGTTACTGTCCAACTCAAAACACCAAACCTCCCTCTTGCTAAACGAGTGACTTACTTTATCAGTTTCACCTTTATCCCTCCTTTAGTCTGCCATCCTTATAGATAAGATTTCAGATCCTAGAATTGCCCTGGTTTTCTGAGAGCACCCAATTCAGAACCCCTACTTACTTAGACCCTCCCCCAAATTACCCAACAAAAGCCAAGATCCTATAATCACCATCTTACTGAATCACCCCACACTTCTCCCTTGTTGCCATGAGTAATAAACTAAACGTATTTGACAACAGGTGTGGGGGTTTTCTGGTTTTTTTTGTTTGTTGTTTTGTTTTGTTTTGGTCTATGGCTGAAGGGCATTGTCAGGGTTAAGAGATGGGAGGGAGGGGAAACTTGAGCTTAGGCAAAAGGGGATGGGCTTTTGCTACACAGGGGAACAGAGAAATAGAATGGCAGCCTGTGAGGAAACTAGGTCGAAGTTTTTAAGATAAATAACAGCATGTTTGTGTGTTGAACGGAAAAATCAAGAAGGGAGAAAAATGGATCCTTTAGTAGAGAGCTGGGGGATGACACGTGGAGGGTACAGGATCCAGTGCTTTAGGCAGGGTTGGCTTCAGGTAGGAAGGAGCATAAACCGTTCGCCTACGTGGTCTGGCGGGTGAGATCCTGGAATGTGTCTGGCTGTGGTGGTCCGAGTGGGCGAGGACATTCTGCTGACTTCACAGTTCTCAGTGCAAAGGGGAGAAGGCGGAAACCTTTCCTCCCTCACATATCCAATTGCCTATCCTAATTTTCATATCTCAGTTGTTTTGTACGTCTTTAAAGAGCCTTTACTAGAATCTTAATTTCCTAGTATCCATCCCCAAGAAGAATGGAAGAAAACTTGATGTATGCACTGGTGGTATAAATCTCACTACAAAAAGAACTATTTTTCACTATATATTTCTTCAGGGATAGACTCCATATTGAGAATAGGAAAAAGGACAGAGAGAGAGAGAGAGGAAGAGAAACAGAGAAGGATAAATTGGTTCTTTTTCTTCGGAGTCCTCAGGTGCCTCTGAATGTTTTTACATCCGGTCTCTTAAATTTTAGAAGAGCAGCCAAAATGTGGGGCTCATAGGTTTGTTAAGATAACAATTAAAACTGCCCTCTACCACTAACTATCCAAGTATGCACAGTAACACAAAAAACTAGTCTTTAACAGTGGGCATTTGGTTTCCTCTGTGTTTTAAGGAGAACACGGGGAGGACGTGTGATTTCAATTGCGCAAACACAGTTTGTGACCTGTTTCGTTTACAAAAGGTTAACTTTTTACTGGAGAATCTGGTTAATATTGAAAGTGTTTAAATTAATTCTGCTTGAGAACTCTGTAGTTTAAGTGCTTTAGTGAAAGCGTTTAAGTTTCAGGAAAAAAGTTACAACCCGCGCCCAACGTGGGGCTCGAACCCACGACCCTGGGATTAAGAGTCCCATGCTCTACCGACTGAGCTAGCCGGGCGCCTGTTACGTTAGCCTGCTTTTTTACTTCTTGAGGACTGTTTAACTACATGGTTTTATATTCTCCGCGTAGTTTCTTTTCTAAAAAAATTTATAACGTACTATTAGATCGGCACTTCAGAATTATTTTTCAGAGCGTTCTAAATATTTAATTGTACTTAGATTTAAGAATGTTTGTATATGTATCCAAAGATCATTGAAAACTTATGCGAATCTTTATCATTACAGAGTCATTGAATCTTTTTAACAAAGTGTTTAAAAATATTTACCAACCAATATGTTTTGTTTACATAAACACATATCAAGGCCATCCAACTTCCATCAAATGGCATTCCGGATTCCTACATGTTTGGGCTCCGCATTTAGAAACAAAGTCCAATCTCTGAGGGGTTAGTTTCCCTGAACAACCGCGGGGCTTAGCTATTTTCTTTAGCATGGTCTGATGAAGGAGAGTTAAATTCAGAAAAGGGGGGCTTCGAGTCAATTAATATAAGGTCTCTTTAGCGTAATTGTCTGACAATGAGAGATAGGACGTTTGGAGGGTGCTATTATTCTCCTCAAGTGACAGGAGCTGGGAGGAAAGAATTATAGTCTCTGAATCTAATGGTAAAGAATGTGAACTCTAACAGGCAAAGGGTCAGAAACCCGATTTTAATCAAATTACCATAGGAGATACTGGAATAATGTCATATGGAAATACATATACTCTGAAATGATGGTGAACCTTTCTAGATAAGAAATTCTGTCCGGGCGCGGGATGCCTGTAATCCCAACACTTTGGGAGGCCAAGGCAGGTGGATCACGAGGTCAGGAGTTCGAGACCAGCCTGGCCAAAATAGTGACCCCCCCCCACCCCCACCCCCCCGTCCCCAACTACCGTCTCTACTAAAAATACAAAAACTTAGCCGATCATGGTGGCCGGCACCTGTAATCCCAGCTACTCGGGAGGCTGAGGCAGAAGAGTCGCTTGAACCCGGGAGGCGGAGGTTGCAGTGAGCCAATATCACGCCATTGTACTACAGCCTGGGCGACAGTGCGAGACTCCATATCAAAAAAAAAAAAAAAAAAAGAAAAAGAAATTCTTCTAATTTCTGTGATAATGGAGAGGGGTGTGGTGTTTATACTACTACTTAGCAGTGCAAGTTAAAGACCAATTTGTAAACCTGAAAATAACAAAGAATTCTTAGGATAGTATCCCCAAAGCACAGTATTTGGAAGCTAGAAACATTGGGCATCACATTTCCTGAGGTATTCAATTTAAAAATAACATATGTCATAAAATAGTATACATTTAGAGTTGTCTTGCTCTGTCGCCCAGGCTGGAGTGCAGTGGCATGAGGCTCACTACAACCTCCGCCTCCCGGGTTCAAGCAATTCTCCTGCCTCAGCCTCCCAAGTAGCTGGGACTACAGGCACCCGCCATCATGTCTGGCTAATTTTTGTAGAGACGGGATTCACCATGTTGGCCAGGCTGGTCTTGAACTCCTGACCTCAGATGATCCACCCGCCTAGGACTCCCAAAGGACTGGGATTACAGACATGGGCCACCACGCCTGGCCTTTTTTTCTTTTTTCTTTTGAGAGGGAGTCTCGCTGGGCTGGAGTGCAGTGGCGTGATCTCAGCTCACGGCAACCTCTGCCTCCCGGGTTCAAGCAATTCTCCTGCCTCAGCCTCAGCCTCAGCCTCCGGAGTAGCTGGGACTACAGGCATGCAACACCACGCCCAGCTAATTTTTGTATTTTTAGTAGAGACAGGGTTTCACCATGTTGGTCAGGCTGGTCTCAAACTCCTGACATCAGGTGATCCGCCTGCCTTGGCCTCCCAAAGTGCTGGGATTATAGGCGTGAGCCACCGCGCCCGGCCGAAAGAACCCCCAAATTCTTAATTATTAATAAATATTGAGTGCACTAGGCACTCAAATAGTGTTTATCACACACAAGTAATGATGTTAATTAAAAGATTAACTGATACCTAAACAAGTTTTGAGTACTTACGGTTTACCTCCAAGGCCAAACCTTCTGCAACTATTAACCTTTAGCTTTCTTCAACACTTTCTTGGACTATCTTGGTCTAAATCCGAACTCCCCAGGAAAGAACTGCAACTAGAGGCCAGGTGCAGTGGCTCACGCCTGTAATCCCAGCACTTTGGAAGGCCAAGGAGGGTGAATCACCTGAGGTCAGGAGTGTGAGATCAGCCTGGCCAACATGGTGAAACTCGGTCTCTACTAAAAATACAAAAACTAGCCTGGCATGGTGGTGCACACCTGTAATCCCAGCTACGCGGGCAGTTGAGGCAGAAGAATCGCTTGAACCCCGGGGGTCAGAGGTTGCAGTGAGCAGAGATCATGCCACTGCACTCCAGCCTGGGTGACAGAGCAAGATTCAGTCTCAAAAAAAAAAAAAAAAAACCACTTACAACTAGAATGTTTTAACGAGGGTTAGGTAAATTAAGTGGCTAGTCTTCCAAGTCATTCAAGTCCTTTTATCTATCGGTTTGTTCAAGAATAAAAACATCAATTGTAATGCTTCATTAGCAGGAAAAAGCAAAAGTAACTGAAATTCCTTTTTCCCCCTTACTTTCTATACCCAATTCTGCAAGCCCTATGTCTTAGCCCATATTCTGCTGCTATAACAGAATACCACAGACTAGGTAATTCATAAACAAGAAAAGTTTATTTGGCTCATGGTTTTAGAAGTCCAAGAGCATGGCACTGACATCTGGCAAGGGCATTGTGCTGTGTTATCCCATGACAGAGGATCAGAAGAGCAAGCGAATATGTGAGACAGAGAAAGCTGAAATCCAGTGAAACTCACCCCTTTATTAGGAACCCACTTCCAAGATAACTAACCCATTCTGAAAATGTCATTCATCCATAGTGCCCTCATGACCTAATCACCTCTTAAAGGCCCCACATCGCAATACCATTACATTGGCAATTAAATTTCAACACGTGTTTTGAAGGGGACATTCAAACCATAGCTCCCTACACATCTGAAATCCATCTACATATTTCCACCTCCACTGCCACCACTTTAGTCCAAATCACTCTCCATTACTGCTAGCTCACAAAAGTGCAATAACTTTCCAACTAGTATCCCTGCCTCTCTTCTTTCCCTTAGCTATCATTCTTCACACAGAAACAAGAGGTCATTTAATGATTTAAATCAAATCATATAATTCTCTTGCTTTAAAAACTCCTGATAACCTCACAGTAGAAAACCAATAATAAATGTGAAAAGAATGATGGAATTAGAAAATCACCATTTGGCAACCATTGTAATAATCAATTCAAATAAGAATCATCAGATATTAGAATTAATGAGTGAAATGTTGAGGCGTAAACAGGATGTGTACATATTCTCAAAGTATTTCCTCACAAGATACTAATTACAAAGGGAAAAATGAAACATTATCAGGGATAAATCTTCAGCAAGTGATCAAAGTTAACATTACCAGCAATAAAACAACTAACATCATGTCCCTTCTAATGTAATGCTCTGACATGAATGAATACAAGGTCATTTCTGTAGTATTCCTGCCATAAATGCATCACTTGAATCAAATAACAAAAAAATCAAACCTAAATTAAGGAATATTCTACAAAATAAATGGTTTGTATTCTTCAAAAGTGTTCATGCCATGAAAACTGAAGAAATACTAAGCAACTATTTTCCAGACTAAAGCAGATTGGAAACATGACAACTGAATGCAAGGTGTGATCTTGGATTTTCTTTTGCTATGAAGGACATTATTGGGCCATTTACCAAAAAAAAAAAAAAAATGCATAAAGTTGATAGATCATAGTATTGGTAATTTTCTGATTTTCACAATAATACTGTGTCTCTGTGAAATAATGTTCCTGTGTTGGGGGAAAATACACACTGACGTATTAATATTTAGGAGTAAAAAAAATGCTGATGCCCTATTTACAATCGGATTAAAATTCAAACCACTTCAAGATTTGGTCTCCTGTGCACTTGTTCTCTTCCTGTCATTCTTCCCCACTTAATCATTATGAGAGGTCACTCTGACGTGACAGTTCCCAGCGCAAGCCAAGTTTTTTACTGTTCCCTAAACCACTGTCTTTTGTTACCCTATTTTAGTTTAAATATCACTCACTCAGAAAGTCATTCCCTGAGCACACTGCCTAAAGTTAGTACCTCCATTGTCTATTAAAGCACTCTTTCTTCTTACTATTTTGCTTATTTATTGTTACCTATTTATTCCCACTGAATGGAAATTACATTAGAAATGGGGGTATGCTCTGTTCACGGCTTTTTCTTGAACACGTGGAATATACTAGCGCTCAAAAAATATCTTTAATCAGACTTATCTTTAACTCTTACCAAAAAGCGTTATACTCATAGAAAGAGCACTAATACTTCCGTAAAATTCTAAGCTGAATTCAAAGACGATACCCTTTAAGTGAAACTTCACGAGAGCCTGAGCACAAGGAGGTGAAGTGGATGCCATCAAGATTCTGGGTCAGGGTCGGGACGCGGAGGAAGACAGGTTACTTCGCGCCTACTGCTTTTTCTACTTTTTGTGAGAGTATACCAGCATCTCTCCCTTTGGCTTAAAGAAAGAATAAAGTGAGGAGAGAATAATAATATAAAAGATAAATAATAATTCCAAGGAAAGGAATAGAGCAGCTTCTCAGATACCACGACGCCAAGCGGCTCAAAGTACGCGAACCGAAGGAGGAGCCTTTGCTTTCCCCAACCCCGCCTCCATTGCTTCTGCACATGCGCGCCGCCAGCCTCTCGCGGCCCGCTTTTTTCCCACAATACTCCTCGTCCTGGGGGCCGGAGCCGCGGAACGAGCCACAGAGAAAAAGGTTATTGGTTGGCAGTTCAGCCAATGAGCGGGCCTGTTACTAGTTTGCGGCATCCTGTGGTATAGGGGAAGCGCTCCGGGCCTGGAATCCCTACGCGTCCCTTTGGGTTTAGCACGATGAGCTCAATCGGCACTGGGGTGAGTTCGCTGTCTGTCGGTGTAATAGTTTAACCTAAGGATTGGGGTTGAAGGGAACTCGGACAGACCACATGGGGTTCGCGGACCCGGGGTGCTCTGAGACCGCCTTCGGCTGGGTGGGCCATTTGCAGCTGTTTGGAGACCGGTCGTCTTTATCCCCTATATGCTAGGCCTGCGTCTCAGGTGACCGTGACTCCTGAAGCTTTTCAGCGCAGGTGTAGCCGGCTTGGCGTCGCCGCAGTGAGGTTTGGAGCCGCTTTGGATTGCTGAGTCACTTTCTTCAGCCACTTAGGGAAACCGAAAGTGGAAACTCGTGGGGCTTGAAATAGTGTGTTCTCTTGAGAACCACCGAGGCAGTGAGATTTGGGATTCCGGGGTCTGGAGATCGTGCTTTTTGTGGACTGCGTTTGCAGTTCCTAGGGTGCTGCTGATTCACAGGCCTTCTCTGTCTTTAAGTGTGCAGATCATTGACCGCTCAGTTTAAGAGTCACTGGAAATCCTGTCGGAACAGAACTAATAAAAATGGTCTGAAAAACAATCTGATGAATCCTTCAGTTTTTCCTTTCTCGTTTTTCCTATACAAATTACCTAACAGCGCTTGTAGGCATTTATTCCGTAAACGTTTAAATGGTTACTTAGGAACTTAACAGCTTCAGACTTTTCATAGACTGTTGAGGATTTTGCAGTGGGACTTGTTAACTTGTTTGGCTTTCCTTTGTTAAACGTATTGCATATGTGCAGTCAGTTTACTCCTTTTATGTACTTCTCTATATAGAAAATACAGTTTCTAAAAGATTTATTGGTTATTTGCACTAGAGTTATTGAATAATGAGTTTCTCAGTTCCTCAATTTCTACTTCTTAACAAGATTCTCATGCTCAGCCTTAAGTTCAAGTACCGGTGTTCTAAATTTGATAATAGGCAACTTATGTCTGGAATGGTTTAATCCATTCAGTTATGAATGCTAAAGTTCTGCCATACTTTTCTTGGATAAGTAAATGCTCAATATTAAATCTTGTAGCAAACTGACTTTGCAATTATATTAATATTACCTTGAATTAATAGTATTTCATTCTACAAACCTTTTAAAGAATACTTGATAATGTAACCATGTGGGATATTTTAGTAACAATGGTAGGGTTAATGATCTGGGTTTAACAGATCAGGAAACAGACTCAGAAAGTACCACTGCTGAAGGCTTTTCTTCTGTCTTCATTTCTCCCAAGAACTCCAGATACGAATATTTGTTTGTCTGCTTGACATGTCTGTTCACTTGATCGTTTAATAGTCATTTCGTACTGCATGTGAAAGTAGAGCTCTGGGTTTTCTCCTCACCTTGCCATTTTGCATCTACTACAGTCTTCAGCTCAGTGAATGGTCATATGAAAAAATCTGTTATTCATCTTTAATTCCTTTTTTTACTTTACTCCCAGAACCAACGCTTTAGCAAGTTTATTTTTTTATTTTTATTTTGTTTGAGACGGAGTCTTGCTCTGTTGCCAGGCTGGAGTGCAGTGGCACGATCTTGGCTCACTGCAACCTGTGCCTCCCAGGTTCAAGCAATTCTCCTGTCTCAGCCTCCCGAAGAGCTGGGACTACAGGTGCGCACCACCACGCCCAGCTAATTTTTGTATTTTTCGTAGAGATGAGGTTTCACCATGTTGGCCAGGATGGTCTCCATCTCTTGACCTTGTGATCAGCCCGCCTCACCCTCCCAAAGTGCTGGGATTACAGGCATGAGCCATCACGCCTGGCCTAGCAAGTTTATTTTTATTATTTTTATATTTTACTCTACTCTCAAAAAATATTCCCTTCTACCTCTTCTCTCGTCTAAGCTACTACCGCTATCTTTGGAACACCTTATCTTTGCTTCTGTTGTTCTCTCTACAGCTTATTTTCCGCATAAAGCCAGAATGATGTTTTTAAAAATATAGATGATACCACTCCCCCTGCTTAAATTTCTCATTGCATTTAGAATAAAATACAGAGTCCTTTTTCCATCCTGGAAGACACAACATAATCTGGCCCTCAGCTACCTCACTAACACAGTTTACTCTTCTTTCTGCTGCTTACAGTGCTTGGGACACAGTGACCTTATTTCTGTTTCTTGACTGTGCTAGCCTTATTTCTACCCTAAGATCTTTGTGCCAAATGTCAAGAAGACTTTTCCTTCATATCTTAAATGGCTAGCTCCTTGTCATTTAGGTTTGACTCAGCCTAAATATAACTGCCCAGAAGGCCTTCCCTGATGATGTAGTCTGTAGTAGTTCATTGCTTTACTCTTTTATTTTCATCTTAGTGCCTTTTCTGATTTACTGCTGTACCTCTAGCACCTAGATTCATGTCTGATGTGAAACTGAAGGACTTAATGAATGAGTATACCTTTGTATTCCGTATAGTAACATAATAGATACTCATTAACTGCTTGGTGAATGCCGAATGATTTGTTTGAAGTCTTTTAGTTTGTTAATGGCAGAGTTATCGTTACAAATTTAAATGTTCGAACTCCAGTGCTGGTTCTACTGCCCCATATTAATCTTTTTCAAAAATGAGTTTTGTAGTCTGGGTGAAAAGTGTTCTGACTTCACCTGGGACCTGTATCCATTACTCTTCAATAGCTGAAATCGAAGGTATATAGCTTTATCTTAGCTACTGTTGCTGCTCTGACAAGTTTCCCTTTCCTCTCTTGAAAGCAAGGTCTTTGTTGGGATATAACAGGTTCCTGATGTTTCAGCCATTTAGAGGGGAAGAAACTGTATGGTCATTACTGCCAAAGATACAAGCTTACTGTTGCCCTTTTCTCCTTAAGTATGACCTGTCAGCCTCTACATTCTCTCCTGACGGAAGAGTTTTTCAAGTTGAATATGCTATGAAGGCTGTGGAAAATAGTAGGTAAGAAACATTTAACCAGGTATTACATGTCTCCTTTTATTTTATATATTTTTGGCGATTAGGCTTTGTTATGTTACTTTGGTACAAATTAGTATATGTCCCCAAATCTCAATTTATTCATTTCCAGATCTCTTTCTAGGCCAGATGCTTTCCATGAGCCCCAGTCCTATATTTCTCGTTGATTCCAGGATTATCCACTTAGATTTTCCATGTTGCAGAGTGTATAAATCACATTCATTATCATCTTTTTGTTTTCCATTTTCAAATTCTTGATTTGTATCATAGGCTTCCTCAGCCATTAGGTTTGTGACCTTGTTATTTTTTATTTCTCATACATCTTGTGTTTTAAATGTCTTATGCAATTAGTCACATGTTCGATTCAGCAAAGATTTTTTCTATGTCTGTTTCTGTTTTGAGACCTGAGTCTCACTCTGTCACCTAGGCTAGAGTGCAGTGGCACGATCTTGGCTCACTGCAACCTCCGCCTCCTGGGTTCAAGTGATTCTCTTGCCTCAGCCTCCCCAGTAGCTGGGATTACAGGCATGTGCCACCATGCCCGGATAATTTTTGCATTTTTAGTAGAGACGGGGTTTTGCCACGTTGGCCAGGCTGGTCTCAAACCCCTGGCCTCAAGTGATCCGCTCACCTCGGACTCCCAGAGAGTAGCCCCAGTCCTATATTTCTCGTTGATTACAAAGAGCTGGGATTATAGGCGTGAGTCACTGTGGCCAGCCTAAATACGATTTTAAAAAGTCAGATTTATGCAAATATGAGGAAATATCTTTAAAAAATTGAAACCTTAAAAACGAATGTGTTTTTTCCTGAATGAAGAAAAAATGCAGCCGGGCGTGGTGGCTCACGCCTGTAATCCCAGCACTTTGGGAGGCTGAGGCGGGCGGATCACCTGAGGTCAGGAGTTTGAGACCAGCCTGGCCAACATGGTAAAACCCTGTCTCTACTAAAAAATAACAAAATACAAAAATTAGCCGGGTGTGATGGCACACGTCGTAGTTTCAGCTACTTGGGAGGCTGAGGCAGGAGAATCACTTGAACCTGGCAGGTGGACGTTGCAGTGAGCCAAGATTGCACCACTGCACTCCAGCCTAAGCAACAGAGACTCTGTCTCAGAAAAAGCTAGGATTTTAAAAATGAGACGTAGTTTCACTCTTGTTGCCCAGGCTGGAGTGCAATGGCACAATGTTGGCTCACCGCAACCTCTGCCTCCCAGGTTCAAGCAATTCTCTCAGCCTCCCAAGTAGCTGGGATTACAGACATGCACCACCATGGCCCGCTAATTTTGTATTTTTAGTAGAGACAGGGTTTCTCCATGTTGGTCAGGCTGGTCTCGAACTCCTGACCTCAGGTGATCCGCCTGCCTCAGCCTCCCAAAGTGCTGGGATTACAGGCATGAGCCACGGCGCCCGGCCTAAAAGTTCTTCTTTTTAAAGATGTATTAACCTGTCCTTTGATACTACACCCAAAGTGAACAAATGCTAGTTTCTTATTTTAAAAAAAAATGTTTATTTATTTTAAAAAAGAGGCATGGTCTCACTCACTATGTTGCCTCGGCTGGTCTTGAACTTTTGGGCTCAAGTAATCCTCCTGCCTTGGCCTCCCAAAGTGATGGGATTACAGGTGTGAGTCACTGCGCCTGGCTTATTATTCCTTTTTTTTAAAAAAAACTTTTTTTGGGGGCAGGACATAGGATCTCGCTTTGTCACCCAGGCTGGAGTGCAGTGGTGTGATTACAGCTTACTGCAGACTCGACCTCCTGGTCTCGAGCTATTCTCCTCCCTCAGCCCCACAAGGTAGTTGGGACTACAGGCATGTGCCACCACGCCTGGCAAATTTTTTGTAGAGACAGGGTTTCACCATGTGGCCCAGGCTGGTCTCAAACTCCTGAGCCCAAGTGATCCGCCTGCTTAGGCTTCCCAAAGTGCTGGTATTATAGGTGTGAGCCACCGCACCCAGCCGAAGTCTTTGAATTCTTATGAAAATAATTTTGACCTCGAAGACTGCCTGAAAGGATTTCAGAGATTTCCAGATTTTCAAGAATGTTTTAAACAGTGTGGAAGATGTTGAGTTGAGATAATTAAGACAGGCTTCCTGCTGGGCGTGAGCCACGCCTGTAATCCTAGCACTTTGGGAGGCTGAGGCAGGTGTATTGCTTGAGCTCAGGAGTTCGAGACCAGCCTGGGCAACATGGTGAAATCCCGTCTCTACTGAAAATACAAAAAATTAGCCGGGCATGGCAGTGCGCGCCTGTAATCCCAGCTACTTGGGAGGTTGAGACAGGAGAATCACTTGAACCCGGGAGATGGAGGTTGCAGTGAGCCAAGATCACGCCACTGTACTCCAGCTGGGGCAACAGAGCGAGACTCCATCTCCAAAAAAAAAAAAAAAATAGGGACAGAGTTTCAAAATGTTGGCCTGGCTGGTCTTGAACTCCTGGCCTCAGGCAAGCCTTTCACTTGGGCCTTCCAAAGTCCTGAGGTTACATTCTGACCTGTACTGCTTGAGTTCAACTAAGTTTGCAAACCTTTTGGGGAAATTCATTTAAATAGGCAGTAGTGAAGAGGAAATGTATTCTAGCATCCAGGATAACCTCAAAGACATGGAATCAAAAATGAACATGAGGTTTTTGAAGGTTGACAGTGAGGTAACCAGTAGAGTACAGAATTTATAACAGGAAATTGAATATGCTCAGGGGGTTCTGCCAGACCCTTAGGAGTTTAAACTTGCAAGGGGAGCCATGGAAGACACCTAAAGTGTTGGGGAAGGAGTGTCAGAAATTCTTAGAAAATTTGTTGTGTGCATCTGTTGTTCATTTTTCTGGGAGGAAATGCCATAGTTTCATCAGATTTTAAGAGGCCTGTGAATAACACAATTCCCCTGCTTTTTAGATTGTGGATCCCTTTTTAGATTCTGACTATGGCAAAATGAAACACAGCTAGGAATTAGGCTGGTCTTAGATTAAACGGATTAGAGAAGTAGAAAAGATGGTGTAGTAATCTAGGCCTGAAATTATAAGGATCCCAATGCTGGTATAATTATTGTAAAGAAGTGGACATGAAGGAAATTTTGAAGAAAAAAATTAATAGTAAATAGAAGCTCAACATGGAGGATGTAGAGCTTGGTGATGCTATTATCCAAAACAGAGAAGTTGTGCCGGTAGTCCCAGCTACTGAGGCTGAGGTGAGAGGATTACTTGAGCCTCAGACTTCAATTCAATCTTGGGCAGCATGGCAAGACTCCATTTCTTTAAAATTAAAAAAAAGAAGAAAGAGAAAGTTGAGATAATTTTACCAGAAAACTGTACAATCAAGCATTGCTTATTTTGTCTCTATTGTTTCCGATCAGAACTACCTTTATCAAAAAGGAATAGAAGAATAAAGTGTAACACATTTTCATCTTGAAATGGCAACAAGTAATTTCTCCACATTTTACTTGAGGTTGTGTGTGTGTGTGTTTGAGACAGGGTCTCACTCTGTTGCACAGACTGGTGTGCAGTGGTGCAATCTTGGCTCACTGCAGCCACCACCTAACTGGGCTCAAGCAATCTCTCACCTCAGCCTCCCAGGTAGCTGGGACTACAGGCGTGTACCACCATGCCTGGCTAAGCCAGGTTTCGCCATGTTGCCCAGGCTCGTCTTGGACTCCTGGGCTTAAAAGATCCTCCTGCCTCAGCATCCCAAAGTGCTGAGATTACAGGTGTGAGCCACCATGCCTGGTCTTAAGAGGTTATTTTAAGATCTTTTTATTTTAAACAGTTGTAGCAGAACATATATTTTATTTTTATATACGTATTAGAAGCAATATGTTTATTATGGAAAAATTGGAAGAAAGAGATGAGCAAAAGGAAGAATAAATCATAATCCTTCTACCCAGAGCAGTCACTGTTAACTTTTTAGTTTGTATCTAACCTTTTATGTCTGTTATGTACCATTTTTAATGGACATGAATTTATGTCAACATTTGTTTATAACATGATTATCATAAGCCAGACACTGAGCCATATTGTGTTTCGTTAGCATCATTTTTATACTTACATATTAATATATTTTTAGTCAAATGATGTACTAGATTCTGGAGGGAGGGTCACATGATATTTATATGGATTTAATGTATTTATTACACTTTAGTGTGTTTTCTCTTCCTGGTTTTCAAATGTTTTAAGGTATTTGGCATGCCTTAAATGTTACTTATTTTGTTTTTTTGTTAAACTTAAGTTTATGAAGTTTCTTTTATTTTCAGTTAAAAAACTGATTTTCTTCTCCTTGTTTCAGTACAGCTATTGGAATCAGATGCAAAGATGGTGTTGTCTTTGGGGTAGAAAAATTAGTCCTTTCTAAACTTTATGAAGAAGGTTCCAACAAAAGACTTTTTAATGTTGATCGGCATGTTGGAATGGTAAGGTCATGTTTAAAATGTTCCTTTTTGTCTTGTCCAATTTCTTTTGAAGTAACTGATTGGAATAGATCACTGTGCAGTCACAAAAGTAATCAGAGCAAGTTACTGCATTTGTCCAGTTCACTGTCCAGTAGAAAGGCAGCATTCTCATAACCTTATTAGTGATGGGGGAAAAACCAAGTTGCTGAAAGAAGAGCAGGTGAGGGAGAGGGCTGGGGAGTATGCGTAGAAATGAGATCTTGGCAGCACACATTACTAATGAAGGTATATGCTTGAGAGGTGAAGAATCTTTAGCTTTCTGTATCTCTTGTGGGGATCACTGTCAAAGTAAAGATGCCATCAGATAGCGAACACCTTTATATAAGGTGGAACATCAGGAAAGGATGTTTAATGAAAAGGAAAAGTGAACACATCCATAATAGTTTCATAGGGCATCACTGAAATTAAGTTATTCATGCAGCTGGTATCTAAGTTATGAGTGACTAAATTGCAAGCCAAGCCATAGATACATGACTGGTATATACTAAAGTTACCCTACATAGATGGCAGACTTGGCTTAGTGAGAACCACTACTGAAAGAAAAAAAAAAAAAAGAATCAAATGATTCTAACCCTGCCACCTGAAAAGGAAAGGAAGAAAGGAGAATATCTCTATATTAGGTTTTATGCTGGGAGCTCTTTACATAAATTACCTTGTTTAATCTTGACAACCCAGTGAAGGTTATATCAATGTCATTTTCTTTTTTTTTTTTTTTTGGTTTGAGACAGAGTCTGGCTCTGTCACCCAGGCCGGAGTGCAGTGGCGCCATCTCAGCTTATTGCAGCCTCTGCCTCCTGGGTTCAAGCGATTCTCCTACCTCAGCCTCCCAAGTAGCTGGGACTACAGGTGCCCACTACCATGCCCAGCTAATTTTTATATTTTTAGTAAAGGCAGGGTTTCACCATGTTGGCCAGGCTGGTCTCGAACTCCTGACCTCAAGTGATCCATCTGCCCGCCTCAGCCTCCCAAAGTGCTGGGATTATAGGCGTGAGCCACTGCGCCCGGCCTAATGCCATTTTCACAGGTGAAAAAACAGATGCACAGCAAGTAAAGAAAAGCTGGGATTCAAACTTGGGTCTGCATGTTACTCAAGAGCCCTTTCTAAATGAAAAGACACCTTATATGACCCACATCGTTCAGCTGATAGCTTTCTTATATCTAAATGAGATTTAATGTTACACACAAACACAAAAAGTACTGGTAAAGTATAACCAGTAAACCATAAAGCTAATTTTTTTCTTCTTCAAAGATTATTTTATCTCAACAATATGTTTCTCCTGAACAGATTTTTTTATTTTGCTGCAAATGACAGGATTTTATTTTATTTTTTGAGATGGAGTCTCACTCTGTCATCCAGGAAGGAGTGCAATGGCGCGATCTCAGCTCACTGCAACCTCTGCCTCCCGGGTTCAAGCAATTCTCCTGCCTCAGACTCTCAAGTAGCTGGGATTACAGACATACGCCGCCACACCCAGCTAATTTTTGTATTTTTAGTAGAGACGGGGTTTCACCATGTTGGTCAGGCTGGTCTCGGACTCCTGAACTCCAGTGATCTACCCGCCTTGGCCTCCCAAAGTGCTGGGATTATAGGCGTGAGCCAGCGTGCCCAGCCTAGCATTTTATTCTTTTTAAAGGATGAATAGTATTCCATTGTGTATATATACATTTTCTTTTTACTGTTTTTTTGTTGTTGTTGTTGTACAGATTTTTCTCGTCACCCAGGTACTAAGCCTAGGACCCAATAGTTATTTTTTCTGATCCTCTTCCTCCTCCCACCCTCCACCCTCAAGTAGGCCCCATTGTCTGTTGTTCCTGTCTTTGTATCCATGAATTCTCATCATTTAGCTTCCACTTATAAGAGAGAACATGTGGTTTTTGGTTTTCTCTTCTTGTATTAGTTTGCTAAGAATAATGCTGAACAGATTTATTATTGCCAGTGAAACTGATATGTTTTGATGAAACTTGCTACATTGTAACCTAGCTAGTAGGAGGTGATCTTGTATTCTTTTATGTACTAGCAAAAGTTAATATTTTGAAAAAAATTATGCATGCATATATATATGTATGTACACACACACAGAGGTCTTGCTCTGTTGCCCAGGCTTGAGTGCAGTGGCATGATCATAGCTCACTGCAGCCTTGCGCTCCTGGGCTCAAGTGATTCTTCTGCCTCAGCCTCCCAAATAGCTGTGACTACAAGTGTGCCATCACACCTGGCTAATTTTTTAGTTTTTTTAAGAGATATGATCTTGCTGTGTTGCTCAGGCTGGTCTTGAACTCCTGGGCTCAAGCGATCCTCCCGCCTCAGCTTCTTGAGTTGCTGAGATTACAGGCATGAGCCAATGTGCCCTGTCAACATTAGACATTGAAGAGGGCTGGAGAAAATTAAGACTTAATATCCTCCCTCCTTCCACAGTTGTCATCTTCAAGTGATTTGAGAATTATATGACTTTACAGTAAGCTTTCTCTAAAGCAACAGAAGATTCTTTAAGTGATGTAACTTACTGGCATGGGTTACCTTGGGGAAGCTATTCTAAACACGCGTTTCCTTGTCTGCAAAACAAGAGTGATAATAGTACTTGGCACATACAGTTGTTGTGAGGTTAAAAATTATTATGCAAAATGCTTAACATGTAATGAGTGCTCAGTATCTCTTAGTAATTATCATTATTACTATTACTGGGTAGCGTAGGAAAAAAAGGCTATTAAAGATTGTGATACCACTTTTAAATTCTGTAACTGTCCTGGGCTAGAGGGTTTCAAAAACTTGGTTGGTTTATGGTACCTTAAGTGTCTCAGTAGTTTTTCTCATGGCTTCCCTAGGCCGAAAATACCTAATGGTTTCATTTATTAAGTATTTAGATCCAAAGAACTTAGTGTTTACATCCTAAAAACTTAGTAGCCGTTTTTTTTTTTTAAATACACACATAGTGAAAAATATTTTTATTTAAAAATTAAAATGTTTTATTTTAAGCAACCAAAATTTCTAGTATATACACTGCACAACCTCCCAAATTTGGATGTGGCCACTGTCATTTCCTGTTCCACACTGATTTTTGCACAGTACTTACTTTTTTTCACAGCAACCACTAACAGCCAAGCTTCTCAAAGATGTGGTGGCATTGAAAGGAATGTAGTAAAACGATCTAATGTTCAAACGGAACTACTTGGACATTTTTCTCCAAACTTAGAATGTGCCACACTAGGCCAGGTGCAGTGGCTCACACCTGTAATCCCAGCACTTTCGGAGGCCAAGGCGGGCGGATCACCTGAGGTCGAAAGTTCAAGACCAGCCTGACCAACATGGAGAAACCCTGTCTCTACTAAAAACACAAAAATTAGCCGGGCGTGGTGGCGCATGCCTGTACTCCCAGCTACTCGGGAGGCTGAGGCAGGAGAATCCCTTGAACCTGGGAGGTGGAGGTTGCGGTGAGCCGCGATTGCACCACTGTGCTCTAGCCTGGGCAACAAGAGCAAAACTCCATCTCAAAAAAAAAGATATGCCACACTAACATGTGATTTCACTGCAGTGCCTGAGGACCTCTCGGCACATACATAGTAACTGCAATTCTGTTTTTGTTTTTGTTTTTGTTTTGAGACAAAGTCTCATTCTGTTGCTCAGGCTGGAGTGTAGTGGCGTGATCTCGGCTCACTGCAGCCTCCGCCTCCCGAGTTCAAGTGATTCTTGTGGCTCAGCCTTGGGAGTAGGTAGGATTATAGGTGCCCGCCACCAAACCTGACTAATTTTTGTATTTTTAGTAGGGGTTTCACCATGTTGTCCAGGCTGGTTTCAAACTCCTGACCTCAGGTGATCCCCCTGCCTCGGCCTCCCAAAGTGCTGGGATCACAGGCATGAGCCACCGTGCCCGGCCTAGTAACTGCAGTTCTAAGCCGCAAATCTTGAAAGAGGAATGGTTTATCATTGTAGTTTATTCAGCCAATAGGCTGAAAAAAGATTTGCGATTGTGCCTTTTAGAACAAAACAGTTACAGGTTGAGTATCTCTCGTCTAAAATGCTTGGGACCAGCAGTATATCGGATATTTTTCGATTTTGGAATATCTGCATTATATACTCATCAGCTGAGCATCCTTAATCTGAAAATTCAAAATCCAAAAAGCTCTACTGAGCATTTCCTTTTTTTTTTTTTTTTGAGATGGAGTCTCGCTCTGTTGCCCAGGATGGAGTGCAGTGGCGCGATCTCGGCTCACTGCAACTTCCGCCTCCCAGGTTCAAGCAATTCTCTGCCTCGGCCTCCCAAGTAACTGGGATTACAGGTGCCTGCAACCACGCCTGGCTAATTTTTGTATTTTTAGTAGAGACGGCATTTCACCATCTTGGCCAGGCTGGTCTTGAACTCGTGACCTTGTGATCCACCTGCCTCAGCCTCCCAAAGTGCTGGGATTACAGGTGTGAGCCACCAGGTCCGGCCTGAGCATTTCCTTTGAGTGTCATGTTGGCACTCAAAAAGTTTCAGATTCTGAAGCGTTTTAAATTTCAGATTTTTGGATTAGATATCCTCAACCTGTAATAACTTTAGAGAAAAGAACAAATTTGGGCCGGGCACGGCGGCTCACACCCATAATCCCAACATTTTGGGAGGCTGAGGCAGGCTGATCACCTGAGGTCAGGAGTTCAAGACCAGCCTGGCCAACATGACAAAACCAAACCCTGTCTCTACTAAAAATATAAAAATTAGCCAATCCCAGCTACTGGGGAGGCTGAGGCAGGAGAATCCCTTGAACCTGAGAGGCAAAGGTTGAAGTGAGCCCAGATGGTGCCATTGTGCTCCAGCCTAGGTGACACAGTGAGACTCTGTCTCAAAAAAAAAAAAAAAAAAAAATCTGACCAAGACCCATGGTTTTTATTCGTTATAATGAGGTAGTGGTAGTAAATCAGGGGAAGAGGATTTATGATAGAAGTAGTCCTGAATATTGGCCGGGCACGGTGGCTCACGCCTGTAATCCCAGCACTTTAGGAGGCTGAGGCAGGCAGATCACGAGGTCAGGAGATCAAGACCGTCCTGGCTGACATGGTGAAACCCCATCTCTACTAAAAATACAAAAAAATTAGCCGGGCGTGGTGGCAGGCGCCTGTAGTCCCAGCTACTCAGGAGGCTGAGGCAGGAGAATGGCATGAACCCAGGAGGCAGAGTGTGAAGTGAGCGGAGATCATGCCACTGTACTCCAGCCCTGGTGACAGAGCGAGACCCCGTATCAAAAAAAAAAAAGGAAATGTCCTGAATATGAACATTGGACAAAGCAATGAAGTTATACTTACTAAATTTCTAAATTATAATTTCATACTCAAGCATCAAAATGCCTTGTAGAGAGACCTTTAAGCCAAAAAAGTTTATTTTGAATGGTAATACTTGTTAAAAAAATGTTTAATAAGTCTTTATTAATTGCAGACTTTGATTTGTGATAGGAATGTGTTCCTCTAGTAAATTGGTGCTTTTTTTTCAGGCAGTAGCAGGTTTGTTGGCAGATGCTCGTTCTTTAGCAGACATAGCAAGAGAAGAAGCTTCCAACTTCAGATCTAACTTTGGCTACAACATTCCACTAAAAGTAAGTTGATAACATATTGAGGAACCTTTTGGACAGTAATAGAAGTTTATTAATAAGCTCTTCTGCTTCCCTCCATAGCATCTTGCAGACAGAGTGGCCATGTATGTGCATGCATATACACTCTACAGTGCTGTTAGACCTTTTGGCTGCAGGTAAGAAATTTTGTGAATTATTCAAAAGGCAGATCTGTACTATAGATATTTATTATGTTCCCCAGCATCTTAGCCTTTTACATACTTAAAAATAGAAACTCGTCGATAAGTATTAGGGCAATGATTAAATAAAACAGTGTACATAGAAACTACTTGAGGCTGGGTGCCATGGCTCAAGCCTGTAATCCCAGTACTTTGGGAGGTTGAGGTGGGAGGATCCCTCGCGCCCAGGAGTATGAGACCAGCCTGGCCAACGCAGTGAGAACCTATCTCTACAAAAAAAATTTAAAATTTAGCCAGGTGCAGTATCACATGCCTGTAGTCACAGCTACTTAGGAGCTGCTTGAGAGGATCATTTGAGCCCAGGAGTTGAAGGCTGGAATGAGCTGTGGCCATACCACTGTACTCTAGCTGGCGCAATAGAGACTCTGCCTCTTTAAAAAAAAAAAAAAAAAAAAAAAAAAGGTTTCAATAGTGAAAAGGACTATATAGATCTGAAGTGATTATAAAACAAGGAACTGATAACAATGACTTTAATCTGATTATAATAAGCTCTCGGTGTTAGTCCCTGATATTCTTAGGTAATTTTAAAAATTACGTCTCACAATTCCCATTAGGCACGGTTTCTCTTTCTGTTGAAGTGCTGATATTTTATTGTGGGGTAAAGTGGAGATTCAGCTGCATAAAGACCTGGAATAGGTATAAATATTCAAATTTGGCTTCACAGAGAAGACTTGTGACTAGATTTTTCTAAAATGAAAAGACATGTTTGGCTTATGACTTAAAACAGTCAAACATGTTTGGTCAAAATAATACATATACTAACATCTGAGTGCTCAGCTGTAGTCCTACCTTTGAGTTGTTTATCATCAGTCATATTTAATTACTAAGATATTAAAGAAAACTTGAGTTTTATTCTATTGGTAATATTACATTAGGGTTTTGTTTTTACTTTTTGAGACAGTTACTGTCACCTGAGCTGGAGTGCAGTGGTGCCATCATGGCTGACTGCAGCTTTGACCTGGCTCAAGCGATGCTCCTACCTCAGCCTCCCAAGTAGCTGGGACCACAGGCATGGGCCACCATGCCTGGCTAATTAACAAAATTTTTTTTTGTAGAGACGGGGTCTCACCATGCTGCCCAGGCTGACATTAGTCATTCTTAAGCTTCTCAGTTAAATTACATTATGAAACACTTTGTTTTCAGACCATGTAAAATACCTTTCAACTGAGCTCTGAGTTCATCAGTTAACTTCTCTACTCTTTTTAAGGGAGTAAGAATAGTAGAGATAACTTTTTTTCATAACTTTTTTTTTGTTTGTTTTGTTTTGTTTTGAGATGGAGTCTCGCTCTGTCGCCCAGGCTGGAATGCAGTGGCACGATCTCAGGTCACTGCAACCTCTGCCTCCCGGGTTCAAGCTATTCTCCTGCCTCAACCTCCTGAGTAGCAGGGATTACAAGCACCTGCCACCACGCCCGGCTAATTTTTTTATTTTTAGTACAGTCAGGGTTTCGCCATGTTGGCCAGGCTGGTCTCAAACTCCTGACCTCAAGTGATCCACCTCAGCCTCCCAAAGTGCTGGGATTACAGGCGTGAGCCACCGCACTGGGCCAGAGAGAACTTTTTTAGTAAACATCTATTGGGCACTGAGTTAGTCATAAATGTGGAGACACAGGTGTGAAGTCACATTGATAAAATATTAGTGATATGATAAAGGGACAACAATTAGGGAACGGACTCTTTCTGGACAGGAGGCAAGGAAGAGTGTGAGATGTAGGGAGACTTGGTAGTTGCAAGCACAGGAACTGGTATGAAAATACGTGCGCCAGAGAGAGTTAAGTATGCTTGGTGTGTAGAGTATGAGGTTTAGAGATGATACTGATGTAGGAAGGGGTCCAGTCATATAAAAGTCTGTGCTCCATGCTGATTTTCTTCAAAGAAATGTTGAAAGGCTTTAAAATAGTGACAATGAGCTATATATCCTGAAGGATAAGTCTCATATCGGTAGAAAATGGAAGGAAATGACGGTAGGGATGGGAATTGAATAGTTAAAATATTCCGCATATAAGATGATGTGTAAGATGCTGCTGATTTCTTTTCTACTCTAAGGCAAATATAGTTGTCCCTTGGTATTTGTGGGGGATTGGTTTTAGGACCTCCCATGAATACCAAAATCCAAGGTTGCTGAAGTCCCTGATATAAAATGGTTAAGTATTTGCATATAACCTGTGCATATCCTCCTGTATGTTGTCATCTCTAGATTACTTGCAATACCTAACACAGTGTAAATAGCTGTTACACTGTATTGTTTAGGGAATAATGACAAGAAAATCACAGTTGTTCAGTACAGAAGCAATGTTTTTTGAAAGTTTTCTATCTGTGGTTTGTTGAATCCACAGATGCAGAACTCATGGAAACAGTGCCCACTGTATGTCACAATTTCAGAAAATCAGTATTTCATACAATCAGCTAATAGCCTAATTTGTTGAGCACAGAAAAATACACTGAACCAATTCTGATTATTGCAGAGAAATGATTGGCAGGATATTGGGAAATAGAATGAAGGGTGGAAAGAATTTCACATGGATTCAGTATACTCTCCGTCAGGAATTTTGTTCCCTTGATCTTTTTGTGTTTATGCCTTATTTATTGGGCCCTCTCATAGTTGTGGTTTTCATCTATCGTTACTCCTTTCCCTGTACTGCTAGACTTTCCAGGAGACCTTCATCAGAAAGATTAATACTAAACAAACAAAAGCTACATGAATTTTGAATAATCTCATGTAATAGTTTTAATTAATTGAAACCACTGTTTCAAAGTACTTACTGAGTTATATGTGTATTAGTAATTTATCTCAGAAAGAAAATATAACTGCATTTTAAAATAATTTTTTCACAAATACTTTTATGTTATTGCCATGGTTTAAGCTGTTTGTATACTTTCATGCAGTTTCATGTTAGGGTCTTACAGTGTGAATGACGGTGCGCAACTCTACATGATTGACCCATCAGGTGTTTCATACGTGAGTAATTTTGAATCATTTGAAATTCTATTTTAGTTTAATGGTATTTCATTAGCATTTAAGTCTCATTATAAGATTATATGAAATTAAAAAAAAACTCATTCAAGGAAAGTAATTTTTCTTTTTTTTTTTTTTACAACAACCTCTTGTCCAACAGAATTTTTTTTTTTTTCCTTTTTGGGGGAACAGGGTCTCACTGTGGCCCAGGCTGGAGCACAGTGGTGTGATCACAGCTCACTGCAACCTCTGCCTCCCAGGTTCAAACAGTTCTTCTGCCTCAGCCTCCCGGGTAGCTGGGATTACAGGTGTGCACCACCTGGCTAATTTTTTTTATTTTTAGTAGAAACAGGCCTTTGCCATGTTGGCCAGACTGGTCTTGAATTCCAGTCCTCAAGAGATCTACCCACCTGGGTCTCCCAAAGTGCGAGTATTACAGGTGTGAGCCACCAGGCCCAGCCATGTTTTCTTATCATTAATAACTGATACGAGGCAGAGGAAAGATTTTTTTTCAGTATGTTATTTATAGAAACTGTATAGTGCATATAGTATTTTGAATATGTGATTTTCCTTTATTACTATAAACACTGTCTTAAAACTGTATTTAATGTCTTTTTTCCTCATTCTTGCCCAGGCTGGAGTGCAGTGACACAATCATAGCTCACTTCAGCCTCTCAACTCCTGGGCTCAGGCGATCCTCCTACCTAAGCCTCCCAAGTAGCTGGGACTACAGGCTCATGCCACCATGCCTAGCTAATTTTTGTATTTTTTTGGTGTCTATAGAGACAAGGTCTTTCCACGTTCCCAGGGCTGGTCTCAAACTCCTGGCCTTAAGCAGTCCTCCTGCCTTGGACTCCCAAAATGCTGGGACTACAGGCGTGAGCATCGATGTCCAGCCATGTCATCCCTTTTATTTTATTTATTTATAAGATGGAGTGTCACTCTGTCTCCCAGGCTGGAGTGCAGTGGCTCGATCTTGGTTCACTGCAACCTCTTCCGCCTCCTAGGTTCAAGCAATTCTCCTGTCTCAGCCTCCTGATTAGCTGGGATTACAGGCATGTACTACCATGCCTGGTTAATTTTTGTATTTTTAGTACAGATGGGGTTTTGCCATGTTGGCCAGCTGGTCTCCAACTCCTGACCTCAGGTGGTCTGCCCACCCCGGCCTGCCAAAGTGCAAGGATTACAGGCGTGAGCCACAGTGCCGGACCTAATTTTGTTTCAGACAGCGTCTCGCTCTGTCACCCAGACTGGAGTGCAGTGGCGCCAAACCTCCACCTCCCCAGTTCAAGCAATTCTGCCTCAGCCTCCCGAGTAGGCTGGGATTAGAAGCATGCATCACCACACCCGGCTAATTTTTGTATTTTCAGTAGAGACGAGGTTTCACCATGTTAGCCAGGCTGGTCTCGAACTCCTGATCTCAAGTAATCCGCCCACCTTGGTCTCCCAAAATGCTGGGATTATAGGTGTGAGCCACCTTGCCCTGCCTTCCCTTTTAAAGAGAAGGTTTAAATGTGATTTCTAAGAGCTTTCCCTAAATTATTACCATTTTTTTTTTTTTTTGAGACAGAGTCTTGCTCAGTTGCCCAGGCTGGACTGCAGTGGTGCAATCTTGGCTCACTGTAACCTCTGCCTCCCGGATTCAAGGGATTCTTGTGCCTCAGCCTCTCAAGTAGCTGGGATTACAGGCCTGTACCATCACACCTGGCTAATTTTTGTATTTTTAGTAGAGACAGACTTTCACCATGTTGCCCAGGCTGGTCTGGAACTCCTGGCCTCAAGTGATCCACGTGCCTCAGATTCCCAAAGTGCTGGGATTACAAGCACTTTGTGTGAGCCACTGCACCCGGCCTGTTACCGTTTCTTAACTGTTTTCTTATCCTTACATTTTTGTCGTTTTTACTAATTGAAGAAAATGAAGATTCTTAAATATATTTTGCTGTAACAGAAGTATATATGTGTACATCCTTTTTTTTTTTTTTTTTGATGGAGTCTCACTCTGTTGCCCAGGCTGGAGTGCAGTGGCGCGGTCTCAGCTCACTGCAACCTCTGCCTCCCAGATTCAAGCGATTCTCCTGCCTCAGCCTCTGGAGTAGCTGGCATTACAGGCACCTGCCACCACACCTAGCTAATTTTTTTGTATTTTTAGTAGAGACAGGGTTTTACAATGTTGGCCAGGCCGGTCTCCAACTCCTGACCTGAGGTGATCTGCCCACCTTGGCCTTCCATAGTGCTGGGATTACAGGCATGACCCACCACACCCAGCTGTGCATCCTTATCTTTAAAAAAATTTACAAAATAATAAAATTGGGGGTTTAGAGTACTGAACTCATAGGAATTAACTTTATTTCTGTCTCTCAGGAATATATAATTTCATTTTTCATTGTCATAGTGCTAAAATCTTTTCCGTTCCTGTTCCCCAAAATGTCTTAAAGTGTATATGATTACATAATTTACATATTTTTGGATATACCTTTATTAAAAATACAGGTTGTTTTGGAATTGTTTGGTATTTTAGTATTTTTGAGCCCTTTGGCATTCATCAGAATGTGTTTGACTATATTTTTCTATACTTGCTTTTAAAAGTCATTTAGCATCCTTTCACTAGGTTATAGAAACATTAGTAGTCATTAATTACATATGATAGTGTACTAATTCAGTGATTATATATATTTTTTTCTAAATAGGGTTATTGGGGCTGTGCCATCGGCAAAGCCAGGCAAGCTGCAAAGACGGAAATAGAGAAGCTTCAGGTAATAATTAATGCTTGAATTTTTACTATGTCGTCATCCTAATGCAGTGAAATTTTATCACCACAGACATTTCAGTCTAAGGCAGGGATGTCCAATCATTTGGCTTCCCTGGGCCACACATAAAATACACCAACACTAATGATAGCTGATGAGCTTAAAAAAAAATCTCATCATGTGTTAAGAAAGTTTACGAATTTGTGTTTGGCCCCATGTGGCCTGTGGCTGGGGAAGCTCGGTGTAAGGATATAGTGTGGTTTGATGTTGAGAGTTTATGAAGCTGCTAAGTCACTGAATGGGAAAGCTGGTAACATATTATCTGTAGAGTTGTGTTATACATCCCTTTATAGATTCTGAATAACTGCTATAAAGCCTCAATCTAGAAAAACACAACTTTTGATATGATTTCACAAAATCCTTGAAACCTATTTATGAATCTCTGTGAGCTCTAGTTTGAAAATTTTGTTTAAAATTTTGAGTTAATAAAAAGTTATATTTTTCCTATATTCTTTCTTTGGAACACAGCTTTTATGTCTGGCTGTGCTCCACCGGTTCTCTTAGCTTTGCTCCTAGCCAGGTAAGGCATAAAGCCTACACTCTTACGACTACCCACTTTTTCTTTCACAAAATTCAGCTATTAGTGTGAAAAAGTTTTCTTAAAAACTTGGTTTTCCTTTTAGCCATGCGTTGATCAACTTAAAGACTTCATGGATACTGTTTCAATATTATTGATTACCTGTCAGAAACTTGCCTAAAAAGCAGGCATACCATTTATCAGTGTTTTGGTAAACTGAAGTGAGATACAATTTCACATACATTTAATGTTAATGCTGTACTAGAACCCTGCTCAACTAATTACTCATTCAACTTATTTAAGACCAGCTTCTAGAAAATACTTATTAGTGCTTGGCATTTATACAATGCTAAGTTCTAGAACCCCCTATAAAACCTAATTTGTTTCGTATTTTAGTAAAGCTGACAAAAGGATCTTAGAGGTCATTTAGCCCAAGCTCAACTGCAGATTAAACACACTGCATAGGACCACAGAATCAGCTGGTTCTGAACAGTATCCAGACCTTATGAGTCTTAGACCTATGTTCTTTTCCATTGCACACTTACTAGTATGATGCTAGGTTCCTATCTTCTACTCTTTTCCTTTTGTTTTCATCTCTCCATACTATTATATGGAAATTTGAAAATTAGAATATTTATGTCAGTTGAGGGGGATTACCCCTGTAATCCTACCAGTTTGGTAGGCCAAGTTGGGAGGACTGCTTGAGCCCAGTAGTTCCAAGACCAGGCTGGGCAAAAGAGTAAGACCCTATCTCCCAAAACAAAATGTTAGCGAGGTGAGGTGGTGCGTGCCTGTAGTCCCAGCTACTTGGGAGGCTGAGGCAGGAGGACTGTTTGAGCCCCAGCCAGGAGTTGGGGGCTACAGTGAGCTATGATCACGCCACTGCACTCCAGCCAGGGCAACAGAGCGACACCTTATCTCAAAAAAATAAAGGAAATTAGAATATTTAGAGCAGTTACTATCTGTCTTTCTGTAGTTAAATCCTAGCAAGGAATGGGAAAAACAATAAATCCCAGAGAAAAATCAAGAAAAAAAAATCACTTTAATTGAGGAACACTTTCAGTTTGTGACAAAATTATGCTGTGAATCAGGTGTTGCAAATTATGGCCCACTGCCTGCTTTTGTGTAAGTTTTATTGGAACACAGCTACATTCAGTCCATGGCTGCTTTTAGAATACAACAGTAGACTTTAACATTTGGAACAGGGAACAGAAACCAGAGCCATACAGCTAATAAACTTGAAAATATTTACAAGTTGATGCTTTACAAAATCCATCTGCTGACCCCTGCTCTGTACCATTGTTCTCTTCTGATGGTCTGTTTACTAAAAAATAAAAACTTCACAAACATGTAAAAAATAGATTTGCCATTTAAAATGTGCTTTTCAAGTTTGACTTTTTAGGATGCAATTAATTCACTAAATACAGAACTTAACTAAGGACAAAAATTTAAAGATCAGCATTCTTTCCCTTCCCATCACGCTCAACTTAACATGAAGAACTGTAAACATCCTAAGCTTACAACAAACCTATCTAGTTAGACTTCAGTTAACCACTTACACATCCCCCTCCCCCATGAACTATTTGGAAAAAGCTGCAGGCGTAATATTGGATCCCTAAATACTTTATTCTCCTTATACCATTATCAGACCCAAGTATCATCTAATAGTCCATAATCAAACTGCCTAAGCAGTTTCTACACTGTCTTTTTAACTATTTCAAACTATCAAGGTTCGCATTTTCTTCCTTAGAACTTTTAGTCTTTTTCTTCCCCAAAATATTTGAGTCCATGCCAGTTGCCTTTAGTTGTACCCAAATAATGGTTTGTCTATTTCCTAAAAGTAGTACTCTTAAATTTAAATTTAGTGTTATTTTTGTTGTCATTGTTCCTTCTTCCTCATGTGGTTGTGCAGGCAGAGCTTGAGCATCCAGATTTCAAAATTAAAAAATAAAAGATAATCTAGTTTAATATATAGTAGTTGAATCACCTTAAGTCTAGACTGCTGTATGAGCACCCATTATCTTTCACTATATTCCATCATCCCCCAACATATCCACAGTAGATGAAGGGCAGTTTGCTCAAACATTGTTTTGATCCTGTCATGTCTGTTCAGAAATGCCTGTCTATTCAGAAACCCACGTCTAATAACAAAATCTTGGACTGGTTACTATCAAAACCCAACAACATACAGACTCCTCAGCTAGGCCCTAGGGATATTTTTCTACCTTGATTTCCAAATGTTCATTGAAAGAATGCTTAATTCTAATTTGGAAAAAAGTTTTTGGCTTCCCACTTCTGCTTTACACGTTCATCTTTCTTGAAATCAAATCCAATCCAATCTATATTCTAAGAACCTGCTCAAATCTTGGTTCTTCAAAGCTTTCCCTGGTATTTTGCATTTTTGCTTTGAATAGTTCCACGAAGGATAACTTCTTACTCCTTCCTTCATCTTTCTGTATCTTGCATATAGTAAATATTAATGACTTGTTTGCATTTTGTTATCCTAACTTGGCTATAAAGAAAATCAGATGTCTTCACCAGTCGTTCAAACTTCAGGTCTGCCTACAGATTCATAGATGGCTGTGGATTTTTATAATTTTGTCACAAAGTTAGTGGTAACTACAGGTTATCTCAGAATATCTTTTTTGGCGTATAAATTTTTTTCTTTTCCTTTTTTAGACAGTCTCTCTCTCTGTCGCCCAGGCTAGAGTGCAGTGGCGTGATCCCGGCTCACTACAACCTCTGCCTCCTGGGTTCAAGAGATTCTTAGGCCTCAGCCTCCCGAGTAGCTAGGGTTACAGGCGCGCACCACCTCCATGCCCAGCTCTTTTGTATTTTTAAGTAGAGACAGGGTTTCACCATGTTGGTCAGGCTGGTCTCGAACTTCTGACTTCAGGCAATCCGGCCGCCTCGGCCTCCCAAAGTGCTGGGATTACAGGCACAAGCCACTGCACCCAGCCTGGAGTATAAATTTCAAAACATTAAAATATGAATCAGGAAACTTCGATTCTGGTCTTTTTCAGACTTTAGGTTATTTTCCTTGGTTTTATATCTGAGTATAAAAGTGAAAATAGTTATTACACAAGTGGAAAATGTTCTTCTGATGAACAGTATACATTTTATTTTCTATAGATGAAAGAAATGACCTGCCGTGATATCGTTAAAGAAGTTGCAAAAATGTAAGTTGAAATTTTTCTTACCATCCACAAAAATATTTCATTTGACCTTTGCATATATATATTACATTAATCCTAAGAAGCTGTTTTCCTGTAAAATAACTTAGTGTATAATTTTTAGAAGGTAAATTTAACATTCTAAGAAGCCTCACGAAGGAAGAAAATGTTTTTAAGCAATATTTTTTAGTAGTAATGAATAGGATGGGAAAAATAGCTTGACAAAATAAACTCCTGTTACAGGTTAAGGACATATACCATTAGGGTCTTAATTTGTTAGCTCCCAACTTCTCAAATCTCTTAAGTCCTAATAATAGTAATCTTAAGATTGCCTCTATTGTAAGAATGCTTACAAACTTTATAGGTTACAACTAATTATTTCAATACATGATCCATGAAGCTGGCTCATTTATATAATCTGCTATTTATTTGGGAAAGATATGTTTCACTTTTTCAGGTTTATTATAAAAGTTCCTATAACAAGGTAAGAAGAGCAGTATTACAAAACATTTCAACAACCAGCTTAAGAAACCCTGAATAGTTTATTACAGGTATATAAAGTAGAATACTATTAATATGTAACAGGTATTTGGACAGTAAACAATAAAAAAGTCAATTAACCTGGGTAGTGATGTTTCTAAAATTTTGTGATTCTCTAGATCAAAGAGTGTAGACATTTGGTATTACAAAAAGATTCCAACAAAATACGTTGTGTAGCCAGCTTTTTAGATTCAAAAGTTATGGATAATCGTAATTCATAACAACTCTAAGTATTCCACATTAGAACTACATAAACAAGGTCTAGTCAATCACCTGTCTGTATGGTAGTGTATCAGGTTTTACATCTAACAATACGTGGAAGAAAAAAATTCCAATGGGCTCTATTGTTTAATAAACATACTATTTACATCACACTCAGAGTCTCTTATTAACCGGTCCATCATTACTGCTACTGCCTTTACCCCTCTTGCCACCTCCTCCCCTCCGCCCTCCTAGTTTCAGTTGTGAAGCAAGCAGAAGCCATTCTATGATTGTCAGTTAATAATGGCAACACTAGGAACCAACATGCAGCAGAGCTGCTAAGAAAGGAAGTCAGATATCTTCCTTGAATTGTATAGTATGTTATCATGATATACTCTGTTTCCTTCACCGAACCAATCCTTTGAAGTCCTTCTGGAAATCAGTTCTTACCATCTTTTATATTTAGGTATAATGGTAGTCATCTGTTAAGTGTTCCATGTTAGGAAAGCCATCCCTTCATCATTTAAGAAAATGGAGCAGCATGTTATCTTTTACTTAGTTGTAGAAAATCAAGATCCTCTCATATTATAGCAAGGTTTTAGAAGACCCTCCAAAAAGTAAGGTATGTAACTCAGTGCATAGTATTAGATAAAGCTATACTCTGCTACTGTACTTAATTTGATACTTTTTTTTTTTTGAGATGGAGTCTCACTCTGTCGTCCAGACTGGAGGGCAGTGGCACGATCTTGGCTCACTGCAACCTCCGCCTCCCGTGTTCAAGCAATTCTCCTGCATCAGCCTCTCAAGTAGCTGGGATTACAGGCGCCCACCACCACACCTGGCTAATTTTTGTATTTTTAGTAGAGACAGGCTTTACCATCTTGGCCAGGCTGGTCTTGAACTCCTGACCTTGTGATCCACCCACCTTGGCCTCCCAAAGTGCTGGGATTACAGATGTGAACCACCGCACCTGGCCTCTTGATACTTTTTATGTTACTTTAATATGTTGCATGACAGTGCCTCCTTCTTTGCTGTAATTTGTAAGGTACTACAATGTGAAGGCCAGGTTATGTGGCATATATGCCATTATAAAATGGACAAGGAGCTTAAAAAGACTACTGCCAAGAAGCTATAGGTTGAAGAGACCACTAATAATTGCAAGCACATAAATTAGTTTTTTTTTTTTTATTTTTTTGAAACAGAGTCTCACTCTGTTGCCCAGGCTGGAGTGCAGTGTCGTGATCTCAGCTCACTGCAGCCCCTACCTCCTGGGTTCAAGCAAGTCTCCTGCCTCAGTTTCCCGAGTAGTTGGGACTACAGGCCTATGGCCACCTCACCTGGCTAATTTTTGTATTTTTAGTAGAGACGTGGGTTCACCATGTTGGCCAGGATGGTCTCGAACTCCTGACCTCATGATCCACCCGCCTCTGCCTCCCCAAAGTGCTAGGATTACAGGCACGAGCCACCATGTCCAGCCAATTAGTTGGTTTTAAATATATTTAAGTTAATGGACAAAATATTCTAAAAGGGCACAGTTAATGACGCCTCTTCCTAGTGAATCCGTGTTCTTTATGAGGTATCTTTTATAGTTGTATCTTTTTTTTTTTCTGAGATGGAGTCTCGCTCTACTGTAGCCCAGGATGGAGTGCAGTAGTGTGATCTTGGCTCACTGCAACCCCTGCCTCCCGGGTTCAAGGAATTCTCCTGCCTTAGCCTCCTGAGTAGCTGAGATTACAGGCGCCCACCACCACACCTGGCTGATTTTTGTTTCTTAGTAGAGACAGGGTTTCACCATGTTGGCCAGGCTAGTCTCGAACTGACCTCAAGTGATCCATCCGCCTTGGTCTCCCAAAGTGTTGGGATTACAGGTGTGAGCCACTGTGCCCAGCCAAGTTATATCTCTAAAGCAATGTGCAAAAATAAACTGAACTTGGGTTGATTAGGTATATTCAACATTTGTCGGGAGAGTAGATGTTTCATTTTATTTCAGTCCCTGTGTAATTTGTCTTCTCTAATGTTAAATACTATGTAGAATGTGTCTGTGTAATTTTATAGATACTTTTATTATGGATGGACATTCTAATTTGTACTGACTTTGGGTCTGTGAACTACTTCAATGTTTGGAGGTTACCAAAATCTTACCTTTCCCTTTTCTATTCTAGAATTTACATAGTACATGACGAAGTTAAGGATAAAGCTTTTGAACTAGAACTCAGCTGGGTTGGTGAATGTAAGTTATTTTTGTACATTTATTTGCCTTAGGAATGATCTGTACCACAGCTAATTTACAACTGAGTGTCCTTTCTAATATAATGAAAGCTAAAGCAAATTTACTAGGTTGTCTAATGAAGGGAAAGTTCTGCTTAATAATTGACTTAAGTTGTGAACACGTTATTTTTTGAAACATCCATTTCATGGTTTTAAGATACTATGCTATAAATTAATGCTCAGGATTTATAAATAGCATAATTTACTTTCATTTCCATAAGAACTTAATATGTAGGCACATATAATCTCATGTAGAAGCAGCACACAAAAATATTCGAGTATTACTCATAGTACAACTTTGCAACCTTAGGTGAGTCAGATATGTGGATTGGGTAGATCCTATGGTATACTGCAAGTTACAATATGGTACTCAATTTAAAATTCATTTACACATGTGGCTTAATTTACAGTAACTAATGGAAGACATGAAATTGTTCCAAAAGATATAAGAGAAGAAGCAGAGAAATATGCTAAGGTAAGCCACAGCACAAAAACTTCTCTTGGCCAGGTACAGTCAGGGAATCACTTAGCCCAGGAGTTTGAGACCAGCCTGAGCAGCACAGCAAGACCCCCATCCCTAATTTAAAAAAAAAAAAATTCTCTAACCAAAATTATGTGTTGAATAATATAAATAGACTGGGGTGGTTTCTATGAAATAACACTGAGAGTTCAGTTGAACTAAAGATAGAAATTTTCTAGGTTATCTCTAGTGGGTAAAGTTGCCTTGGTTCCAAAAAAAAAAAACTTGGGAGGTTTAGACTGCAAAGAGTTTTTTAGGACTTTTAATACTTTAAATATTTGTTCTTTTTTTTTTTTTTTTTTTTGAGACGGAGTCTTGCTCTGTCACCCAGGCTGGAGGGCAGTGGCACCATCTCTGCTCACTGCAACCTCTGCCTCCAGGGTTCAAGCGATCCTCCTGCCTCCGCCTCCCAAGTAGCTGGGATTACAGGAACATGCCACCATACCTGGCTACTTTTGTATTTTTGGCTTCACCAATAATACAGAGACGGGTTTTCACCAGGCTAGTTTCAAACTCTTGAACTCACGTGATCTGCCTACTTTGGCCCCCGTAAAGTGCTGGGATTACAGGCATGAACACTGCACCAGGCCTCTTAAGTATATATTCTATCAAAGATACAGTCATTGCATGTTAGAGCAACATTTGCTTAATTAACTTTGCTTGGGTATCTTATTCTGAAACTGTTCATTCAGTTACAAGTAGAGGAATTTAACCACTTAATTCAGGTTGTTGTAGCTTAACTTGCCCACAGGTGTGGGATATAACAATTTTAAAAATCAATTTTAAACACCTGTTTTCTCTTAACAGGAATCTCTGAAGGAAGAAGATGAATCAGATGATGATAATATGTAACATTTACTCCAGCATCTATTGTATTTTAAATTTCTACTCCAGTCCAATGTAACTATTTAGCCCTGGATTATACATACTGTCCAATTTTCATTAAATTTTTGTCTTATAACTATTGAAGTTTGGTTAATATCTGCTTTACAAAATTGGTGGGGGTAAATGAGGACATTTACTCAGTATTAAAATATAGATTTATGACTACTGAAAAATTCCCTGGTTAAAATGCTGCAGAATTAATTCCAAGACTGTAGATTAATTCAAAGCCCCATCTTCATCACTCAACTAGAATTTACAGATCATATTCTCCTGGGCTTTTGTACAAAAAGCACCTACCAACTTAGTGGACAAATAACTGATACGGTTTCCCACTTTCATATGAAGTAACTGGTGGTCATCAGTCACTGTTAATCTTTAGATGTGATACAGATGACAGATGTTTCAGTTTTGGATAATTTTTCAAAAACTGACCCTTCTCAAAAAAGACCCTTCAATACATGAGTCAAGGATGTTTTTGCTTTTTTCCTTTATTGTGGTGAGGGGCGGATTTAAGGATCAATAAAGTCCCTATTCTGTCACTAAAAAAATTTCTTGATCTCTAAAGATTAAAATAAAAATACCAACATCAGACAGCTTTCATGTTAAAAATCAGAATTTATGTTAAAGTGCTCTGTAAACAGAACTGTTACTAAGTGGAATAAACAGTACTGTGGCCGATAAGAATAACTTGAAGCTGAAAAGCAGTACTCACAGCAGGAACAATTTGAACTCAGGCCATGTATACACACCCTCTAGTGGACTCATGCCAGTGTCACTCCATTGAAGTGTTGTGCTTTCCTAAGAAGGTAATCTAGCCACTGAATTTGGGTGCAGGGTATCGCTGGACTTTGAGCATTTGTGTAGTTTAAATAGCAAATCATTATACCTGAGTATTAATAGCTAACTACTACACAAACAACTCAAAACCAGTAATGTCATGTCATTACCATGGCTTCTTTTATGTAACATTATCTGCTACATTTTACCACTCAAAATATATTTAAAATATGTATTTTAAAATATATTAGAGCATATGGCTCAAGCAATCCTCCCACCTCAGCCTCCCAAGTAGCTGGGACCACAGGCAAGCACCACCATGCTTGGCTAACTTTTAAAAATTTTTTGTAGAGACCGCATCTCACTATGTTGCCCAGGCTGGTCTTGAACTCCTGGACTTGAGCAATCTGTTCACCTCAGCCTCCTAAAATGCTGAAATTACAGGCATGAGCCACCGGGCCTGGCCACAACTCATATATTTAACTGTGAATGACACAAGTGTTGGTCTTAGAAAAATACAGGAACAATACTAAATTGGATCCATTTACAGACAGGTAAATTGACTATCCCTAAGCCAATCTATGGTCATTCCTATACTTTCCCAAAGTTCCAAAGTATGAATGTCACATGAATGTTGAATTCTTCTTTGAATGTATCTATTCTTAAAATTTACACCAGCATAGTTAAAACCCTCTTTGAAAGACACTGGTTCTAAAGAGACCCAAATATGAGCAGCTAAGCTACTATAGATGCCATAATATAAGCAGATATACCTAGTTCTTCAACTCTTATGAAAGAAAGAACATCGAGTGACGTGCTTTTCTTTTTTTGAGATGGAGTCTCGCTCTGTTGCTTAAGCTGAAGTGCAGTGACATGATCTCGACTCACTGCAACCTCTGCCTCACGGGTTGAAGAGAGTCTCCTGCCTCAGCCTCCCAAGTAGCTGGGACTACAGGCACCTGCCACCATGCCTGACTAATGTTTGCATTTTTAGTAGAAATGGGGTTTCACTATATTAGCCAGGCTGGTCTCGAACTCCTGACCTTGTGATCTGCCCGCCTTGGCCTCCCAAAGTGCTGGGATTACAGGCGTGAGCCACCATGCCCGGCCACCAAGTGATTTTCATACACACTGAACAGGATTAACAAATGTAGGTTCAATTGTAAGGATACTTTGTAACCACTGATGAGATATGACTAGCCTCTTTAGGAAAAAAAGCTGGTAAATTTTACTTTGATAAACGTAAAATTTATTTTAAGCAAAGACTGAGTACCTTATTACCATAAATCATCTTGATGCTGGTACCTAAAAAAAAAAAAAAAAAAAAAAAAGTTTAAAAGTTTTGCTTTAGAGATTCCAAAGAATATATTTAGACTTATAAAAGCACTTATCTGATAAGATTCTATTTGCTTTTCTTTATTCATAGAGACCTAAAAAATAAGAAAGTCAACTTCTAGGTTACCAATGTTTAACAGGTCTCAACATCAGAATATTCTTCATTTCACAGGAAAAGTAGCAAATTAAGACTACAAATATTCTCAGTTTGTAAAAATATCCACCTATCAAAGGAACTTCAAAACATGAAATGCAACTATTGTAACCCCAACCAAGTATAGCTTTTTTTTGTTGTTCCCACTGACCATATGTATCTATTATGGCTGAACTATAATAAAGTATATACCACCACCTCCCCCACTCCCCCCCGCACAAGACTGAGAGTTGTTTAAAAAAAAAAAAAATCCTTTCCTTGTATTTCAACTGGTGAGCACAAATAACTATTCACATGCTAAAGGTACACACATTGAAATCATACTAACTGCTGGATAAGGTATACTATTTGAAAATCACTGATTCAGAAATGTGTCAATCGAAGGCTTCTAAACTAAGATGAACATGGAGGCTGGGTGTGGTGGCTCACACCTGTAATCTCAACACTTTGGGAAGCTGAGGCAGGAGGATCGCTTGAACCCAGGAGTTCAAGACCAGCCTAAGCAACGTAGTGAGAGACCTTTTCTCTACAAAAAATAAGAAAGTCAGCCAGGCATGATGGCATGCGCCTGTAGTCCCAGCTACTCAAGAGGCTGAGGTGGGAGGATATCTTGAGCCCAGGAGTTCAGGGCTGTAGTGAGCTATGATGGCACCACTACACTCCGGCTTGGGTGACAGAGCAAGATTCTGTCTCAAAGAGAAAGAAGAAAAAAAAAAAAAAGCATGGTTTATCACCTGAACAGATCTGGAAAACTGAATCTTTGAAAATACATAAGTGTGGGGGGACCAATTATTTTATGAACTACAGTAGTGGGATTTTTTTTTTCTTAAAAGAAGTTAGGACTTCCTCTCTACCCCAGTTTAACCACAACAATTTAATAAAACTAGTACTGTAGCTCAAAACAGGACATTAGTTTATAAGCTCATAGATTTCAATCTAGCTTTGTCATTTAGTAACTGTGTGACTTGGGCAAGTTACTTAATTTTCTCATCTATAAAATAAGGATTATGTACCATTTTAAATGGCAACAAAACTGGAATTATTCAGATACACATCTAAATTTGTCCAAGGTTTTAATGTTGGAAAATTATTAAATGAGAAAAAGAACTAAAACAGGAAGTGTTATCAGAAAAGACTGTATTGCTAAGATACCACTTCTCTCCAAAATCATTTATTAGATTCGATGTAAACTTAGTCAAATTCCCAAGTGGCTTTTTGGGGGAAAGTGGTAGAAATCAATAAGCTGTTTCTAAAATTTATATGGAAAAAGTGAAAGAATTAGAAGAGCCAAAACAATTTTGAAAAGCACAAGTGAGAAGACCCACATTACCTAATTTCAAGACTAACTATAAAGTTCATAATGTAGACATAATATAAAATGGAGTTTAAAAACAGACCCACAAATAGTCAACTGACAAAAGTAAAAAAGCAAATTACTAGAGAAAGGATAGTGTTTTTTCAACAAATGGTGCTGGAACAACTGAACATTCATATGCAGGAAGAAAAAAAACCCCAAACAAAAACCTCAAACCATATCTTATACTACCTATATATAAAAAGTAGCTCAAAAGTGATCATGGACCAAAATGTACCTCAACCTGTAAAGCTTCAAAGAAAACAGAAGACATGTGTGACTGGTTTAAGAAAGAGTTCTCAGATACTACACCAAAAGCATGATCCATAAAAGAAAAACAATTGACAAGCTTTATCAAAATTAAAAGCAGCTGTTCTCCTTCCTAAAAACACTATTAAGGGACTGACAAGACAGGAAAAACTCTGGGGGAAAATATTTGCAAATCACATGTCTGACAAAGGACTTGTGTCCAGAATATATGAAGAACTCTCGAAATTGAACAATATGAAAACTCAACTTTTAAAAATGGGCAAAACAATAGGACCATTTACTAAAGAAGACACACTAATGACAAATATGTAAGGAAAGATATTCATTAGGAAAAGGCAAAATCACGATGAGATACCACTCTACATCTATTATAATGTGTATAATTAAAACTATACATTCTGACCACACTAGCACTGGTGAGTACGTAGACTAATGAATGCTTTATTGCTGGTGGGAAAGGAAAATGGTACAGATGCTTTGGAAAACAGTTTAGCAGCTTCTTATGAAGTTTAACACTTAGAGTATAACCCAGCACTCCTATTCCTAGGTGTTTACCTAAGTGAAATGAAAACTTCAGCTACATGATTCATGCATACTATATGATTCCAACTGTATGACATTTTTGAAAAGGCCAAACTATATGATCAGAAAAACAAAGCAGTGGTTCTCAGGGTGGGGGTGGGGGGTTGAGCATGGTAAGAAGTTTAGTTAAATTAGCAAAAAACAACTTCCTGTAGTGATGGAAATGTTCTGTATCTTGATTGTATTTAGCTGTAAGACTGTTTAAATTTGTTAATATTAATGGAATCATACGTATAAAGAGTAAATTTTACTGTATTATATCACAATAAACCAAGACTTAAGAAAAACTGCCTAGTATATAGAAAATGTTGAAACGCATGTTATCCTTCACTTCAGTTGAGCATCTGGGCACCACACTAGCATGTGTGCCACCTGGGATCCTTTTTATTACACTGCAATAATCACACTGGCTAAACCTATTCTTTAAACTTGTAACACTACCTAATTTTAACAGTTTGAGGAAAGCATTCCATTTTAATCCAAAAAATATACCTCTTCCCCCTGCCCCCCAGACAGAATTTTGCTCTTCTTGCCCAGGCTGGAGTGCAGTGGCACGATCTTGGCTTACTGCAACTTCGTCCTCCTGGGTTCAAGAGATTCTTCTGCCTCAGTCTCCCGAGTAGCTGGGATTACGGGCGCTAATTTTTCTATTTTTACTAGAGACGGGGTTTCATCATGTTGGCTAGGCTAGTCTCAAACTCTGACCTTGTGATCCGCCCGCCTCGACCTCCCGAAGTGCTAGGGAGCCACCGCGCCTGGTCTTTTTTTTTTTCTTTTTTTTTTTTTTTTGAGACCGAGTTTCACTGTTGTTGCCCAGGCTGGAGTGCAATGACACAATCTCAGCTCACTGCAACCTCTGCCTCCCGGGTTCCAGCAATCTCCTGCCTCAGCTTCCAAAGCAGCTGGGATTGCAGGCACACACCGCCACACTTGGCTAATTTTGTATTTTTAGTAGAGACGGGATTTCACCATGTTGGTCAGGCTGGTTTCGAACTCCTGACTGCAGGTGATCCACCCACCTAGGCCTCCCAAAGTGCTGGGATTACAGGCATGAGCCACTGCACCCAGCATACCTCAATCATAATAAACATTAATTGCTTATTAGAACTGTTAAAGGACACATGAAATAGAAAACGTGATTCTTGCCCTTTACAAAATATTCTGAGAAGCCGTTTCCTTATAAAACCACTAAATTATATCTTACCCTCCTTTAAACTGGGGTGAATTTTAAAGATACCTTTTCGCATGTTGCTGCTTAAACTAAACCACCACCACCAAAAAAAAAAGTAAGAAAAAAAAACCAAAAGACCTCAGTGTAGTGGTGTCCAACTATGGTCCCAGCTACTCATGAGGCTGAGGTGAGAGGATTGCTTGAGCAGTGCTGCATTGTGCTGTGAAAGTGCCTGTGAATAGCCACTACACTCCAGCCTGGACAACATAGCGAGACCTTGCCTGTATAAAGTTTAAAAAAAAAAAAAAAAAAGATAACAAGGCCAGGCGTGGCGGCTCACGCCTGCAATGCCAGCACTTTGGGAGGCTGAGCTAGGTAGATCACGAGGTCAAGAGTTAGACACCAACCTGACCGACAAGGTGAAACCCCGTCTCTACTAAAAATACAAAAATCAGCCGGGTGTGGAGGCAGGTACCTGTAATCCCAGCTACTCAGGAGGCCGAGACAGGAGAACTGCTTCAATCTAAGTGGAGCTTGCAGTGAGGCAAGATCGTGCCACTGCACTCCAGCCTGGGCGACAGAATGAGACTCCATCTGAACAACAATAACAAAGAAAATAACAAAGAGGGCAAAGAAGAAAGCCATCCATATTCCCACAACCTGGAATAACTATTTTAGGAATTTTTTTTTTTTTGCTTGCTTCCATGGTGTTTTTTTTTTTTTTCCGGAGACAGGGTCTCACTCTGTTGCCAGGCTGGAGTACAATGGCAGGATCAAAGATCACTGCAGCCTCAATCTTCCGTGCTTAAACTATCCTCCCACCTCAGCCTCCCGAGTAGCTCGAATCACAGGCATGTACCACCACGCCTGGCTAATTTTTTAAAATTTTTGAAGAAACACGCTGTATCTATATTGTCCAGGCTGGTCTCAAGTCATGACAAGTGATCCTCCCACCTCGGCCTCCCAAAGTGTTGCGATTATGGGTGTGAGCCACTGCCCAGCCTCCATTGTTTTTGCAATGTAGGTACTTAAATTATGTGGTATGTTCATATGTACCTATGTATTTATTGTCCCTCATATAAATATTAAAACATTACAAATAAAAGTAATATTCCTTCTTTGACCACTCAACCCCTTCAAGAGGTACTCTATTATAAAGTGTATCCTTCCAGTCCATATATCTCTTTGAAATAAATACTAGTATAATGTGATTAACATATAAAGATAGTTGATGAGCAGGATTCCTTACTCATGTATCTTGGGTTTGTCTTTGAAGTGTATCATTTGGACTTATATTTCATTTCTACTACATGGAATCACAAAGTTTTGAGAAAAATTCATGTAAATAAAGAGTTGAACTATTAAGATCCATGTGGAAATGGGAGTTAATTTTTTTTCAGGAAAAGTCAATGGGATTCAAGATTAATATAATATAAGGGAATTATTCTTAAGATAGCACCGAAGAAAATTCTGATAATTTAGAGAAAAGGAAATGGTATAGGAAAATTACAGGTATAAAGATAATAATATATGATATTTAGTAGGTCTGATTGGTTTGGGTGTCAGTAGCAACCAAGTGATAGCAGTAAAAATTCAAGGCAAACATTTGGATGCCTACGATGTATCACATCACCAAGGAAGACTAAAATTTAAAAAGTTCAGATATAGTTCTTTCCCCAGTGAGAAAAGCAGATACTAAAAATCACTGGCAAGGTCTATTAAACGTGTATACAAGCTGGGCACAGTGGCTACCGCCTGTAATCCCAACACTTTGGGAGGCCGACGTGGGCAGATCACTTGTGGTCAGCAGTTTGAGACCAGCCTGGCCAACAGAGTGAAACCCCATCTCTGCTAAAAATATAAAAATTAGCCGGGCATGGTGGCAGGCGCCTGTAGTCCCAGCTACTTGGGAGGCTGAGGCAGTTGAATTGCTTGACCTTGGGAGGCAGAGGTTGCAGTGAGCCAAGATGGTGCTGCTGCACTCCAGTGTAGGTAACAGAGTGAGACCCTGCCTCAAAAAAAAAGTAAAAAAGAGATGTGTATACATATACTTGTATGTCTACACTGAACTATAAACATGTGCTTTGGGGAGGAGAGAACATAAATTCTGACAAATATGGAAGGGAATTTGGGAACATTTCCTGGACACCTAGTGGAAGACCCCTCCAATGAGTGAATTCAGGAGAAAAAGCTTATCAATAATTATGAGTAAAAAACTTCTGAGATTCCAGTAATTAAAACAAAGTAGATTATGTAAAAATATGAAGGACAGAATTTACATGATAGTGGGAATGCATGCAACAGACAACTTTCTCAAAGTGTGGTTCGAAGATCACCTAAGTCAGAATTCTACAGATTTGAACTCACTAGGTAGGAAGAGGGACCCAGGAATCTGTATTTTCAATAAGTATCTGAGGTAATTCTTATTAACACTCTAAAATTTGAGAATCACTGATTTGGAAACAGGTTACTAAAAGGAGAATAGGGTAAGAGAAAAGGTTACTTTTAAAGTGATGACACTTAGGGCAGGGTGTGATGGCTCACGCCTGTAATCCCAGCACTTTGGAAGGCCAAGATGGGTTGGTCACCTGAGGTCAGGAGTTCAAGACCAGCCTGGCCAACATGATGAAACCCCGTCTCTACTAAAAATATAAAAATTAGCCAGGCGTGATGGCAGGCGCCTGTAATCCCAGCTACTCAGGAGGCTGAGGCAGGAGAATCACTTGAACCTGGGAAGCGGAGGATGCAGTGAGCCGAGACCACGCCACTGCACTCCAGCCTGTGCAACAGAGCAAGACTCCAACTCAAAAAAAAAAAAGGAAGAGATGACATTTAGAAAGCAAAATGGGGGATGAAGCAGTAAGGGATGATGGGTGTCTAGGAAAACTTTTTTTCATGATTGTGTAAGGAATGTATGTCTCGGAAATAGCAGCATACATACACCTAGATGAAAAAAAGAGTGGGGGGTGGGGGGAAGGGGAGGGAAGAATCTGGCAGAAAATTTATAGGGATGGTTCCAAATATTTTAGAATTCAACATCAGCTCCCAAGGAAGACAACATACAGATGTTAAGAGAACATTTCCAACATGTGAGTGAACGAAGAGCCAGGGTGCCAATAAAGAAGAAATTCTGTAACTGTTCACTAATGGTCAGGGATTGAAAAGCATCTTTCATATTTTACTGACAGGTCAAAAAAGAGAAAATTAGCTCTGACTTAATGCAGACCAGGTCAATTTGGTCAAAGAGAATTTTATAGACGAGCTTTGGTTCCACCATTGCAAAACAATATTCCGTTACCAGCAGTATTAGTAGGATTCAGGATTACACTGAAAGCATATTCTACTCACACATTCTATTAACAACTAATTGGAATTTCATTTCATAGGATAAAAACTGACAGAAAATTCATCATTTATAACTAGGTGTTCTATTTACTATTTTAGCTGCAAAAGATTTTTAAAATGGTTTTACTGCAACTTCCCCCCAAAACATTTTCAACATTTAAAATGTAGCCCAGTTCTAATTACCATCTAACCTTTGACCTGTCTCTTCTATAAGTGAAGCAAATGTGTCTAAATACAGTTCTTACATATTTCTGGAATAAAAACCTACTAGAAATGAACATAGATCCTTCCTTCATAGGCAATATAATAATTCATTCACAACCTCAAACACATTTGACATGGAAAGCCTAAAGGCAAGCCACAAAGTAGGCAAGTCATACACTAAATAGTTCTGACAGCAAAAGGTTTCTCTTCCTTCCTGGCAACCCTCTCTTTCATGATAAGCAGCCAAATGAATCTTTCTGACAAATGACATCATATATAGACAAGACATGCCATTCTCCCCCACCACCCGCCCTAGATATCTGGACGGCTTCCAAACTGAATTTCAGGAGAAGCTAGCCTAGCATAAAATCCATTCTTTTCCCTAAATGGAAATCTGACAAAACAGGAAGTACACAGCAGCACAGAGAAGCAAGTTTTGTGTCTTAAGTATTTACTGGTAACAGACTAGTTCTTCGTGACTAATAAAATGCAGAACTTCAAATCTGAGAGGAAAACAGCAAGTCTGCCTTGGGTTACCATGGCCTCGGCAATTCTAAGGCCTTAAAAGCAGTATCACATGATACACAGAGGAATAAGAAACAAGAAGGTGGTGCTTTTTTTTTTTTTTTTTTGGTTATGTTCCTTCATACAAAAATTCCCCTCCCTGTCCCATCTGACCAAGATCTAGGCCACCAAAATTATACAAACACTGGAAGAAGCTTTATGATTGCATATATAGACTAAGAAACTAAGATTTTTTGAGAAACAGTAGGAATTCTGGTTTGATTTGAGGGAAATAATTGGGGATTTATTTTTATTTTTTTGCTTGCCATAGGATTTGAGGTAACCCTAAATGTAAATAAATACAAATCCCTAAGATCCCTAAGTGGGCTATTTGAACTGGCAGACTCAGTAACATATTAAACCTATCAAACACGCCAACAAAAAGAAAAAAAAAAAAAGAACATGATTTCATCCTCCATGCCTTTTTTCCCACTCAACCCACTGCTGTTAGGAATTTTTCAGGTAATGATTAATTTGTATCTAACGTCTAAGCTATTACACATAAGTGTAGTAGTATATCTAAGTGCCCAGCAAATGTTAAAGTACCAAATTTAAAACGTTATCTAGTTGATTCCTCACCCTGTCCAAAGAAGGTTGAGACAGACCTACAGTTAAGTCATGAAACCACTTCTGTGGATCACATCAGACTTTTTTTTTTTTTCTGAGATGGCATCTTGCTCTGTACCCAGGCTGGAGTGCAGTGGCATGATCTCGGCTCACTGCAACCTCCACATCCTGGGTTCAAGCGACTCTTCTGCCTCAGCCTCCCAAGTGGCTGGGACTACACATGCGCGCCACCACGCCTGGCTAACTTTTGTATTTTTAGTAGAGACAGAGTTTCACCATATTGGCCAGGTTGGTCTCAAACTTCTGACCTTATGATCCACCCGTCTTGGCCTCCCAAAATGCTGGGATTACAGGCGTGAGCCACCGCACCCAGCCCATCTGATTTTTTATACAAATGAACTACAGAAGAAAATATTGAATCACACGGTAGTACTTTTGTGTGTGGGCAGTATAGACATACATAAAACTGAAATGTCACCATAATGACATTAATGAAATGTCACCATAATGAAATTAATCAGTGTGGCTATTACTTGAAATATCTGTTTTACCAACCAATGAAAGCAATCAGAACTCTTGTTAAATAAAACAGTGAGATAGAGGGGGCATTAAAGTTTCTGTCAGAATTTGATTCTAGGAACATCAGCCAATTCCTCAAATGCTAAAATTATCAAGTAAATGTCTAAGACTTCTGATTCTCAGAGTTTGTTAAAAAAAAGTTAACCTTGCAAAGAACAGGTGGATATTAGAAGCTTAGAATTCTTGTTTTAAAAATACGGTGCTAGACTGCAACCCTAAAATATTAAGAGCTGTAAATACCTAGCCCAATGACCCTCATTCTCTAAAAGCAAAAGCAGTGATGTATCCCAGGTCACAGCCAATGAGTAATAGGCTTATGAGTAGAACACATAACATCCAGTTTTCAAATCCAGTGTTTCAGTATTAAAGTGCTTATTCAATCCAACGTCCTGTTGAATTATTGTAAAAATTCTGAGAATTCTGGAGCTAAGCACACACAATACTGCTTTAACTCCATGAAGGCCTATGAGCCTGATATTTTATCTCCCCAATTCCTGCCATTCTCATTTTGTCCAAATCATGATGCCACACCCTTAGCAATATCACAGCAAGCAAGGATCAAGTGTCCTCATGAAATATCTCATCCAGTTCCTATTCTTAGGCTATACCCAGTTTCACACCTAAAGGCATTATGGTATTGTGATTAAAAAAGAAAAATACTTGGAGGGTGACACTATGGGTTCAATAATTTATTGAGCCACGTGGCTTATCTATCCCACTACTGGCAGGTGACGAACCCTTAGCCCTGGATGAACTTTTCCCACATTTGTACCACTGATAATTATTAGGAAGATCTGTGAAAAATGAGGTAACAACAAGCAGAAAAACCATTCTCTGGTGGTTATTTAGAGATACAATCTTTTTTTAAAAAAGTGATTTCATTTTAAGTGACTGGCCAGGACATTCTTGAATGTACAAACACTGACAAAACACATTTTTACTGGCATGCATTTGTCCATTAAACATAACCTTTTAGCTTGTGATACCTTTTATAAATTTTCATTACACAAATGAATGCCTACTAAGTCCCAAGGCCTATGATAGGTTCTAAACCTACAAGGAAGAAAAAGGTACAGTTTTCTGCCTGTAAAGATTGCACAACACAGTAAGAGAGACATATGTAAATAAAAGGCTAAAGTGCAATACAAAAAGTGGTAAAGAATCATGTAAGAGGAAACATGAAATTCACATGATGATTACCTATATAGTTCTACCTATTGAACTATCAGAAAACTTCACTTAAAAGGTAGCATTTGAATACAAGGAGATGGGATAACAATCAAATTGGTGAGAACAGTATGAACATAAGTAAATGAGAAAACATATGGCTTGTACAAGAGAACCATGATAGTTCAATGTGACTGCAGCATATGATGCTTGAAGGGAAGTAGTAAAAAATAAGGTTGGAGAGAGGTGGATATGACCTTTAGTAGGGTCTCAGAATCAAGACAAGAGAGTCTAGATGCTTAATGTCTGTATATCAATGCAATAAATGTATACATTTAAAACTCACTTGGAATGATATGCACGTAAGAGTATTACATATGTTACCACCACCACCTCATACCCAAGTACTTCCTAGATACTTGGCACCATTCTAAACATTTTACATGTATTTACCATGTAATACTAATTCCAACCTTGTCAAGCCAGTTCTATTATTATCCCCATGTTACAGATGAGGCAAGGAGAATAAGAAATTTGCTCTAAATCACCCCTCCTCACAAAAATCCTGGCTATACCTACACATTCTAAAGCTAGAAGTATCTTCTTTGCTACCCCAGCATAATTTTTAAAGCTATCATTCTTATGGGGGCACAGGAAAAACCTACAAAGTAACCTAAATGACTTAAGAATCCTTAAAAAAATAAAAGGTGTCAAGTGAGAGCCAGACGGGCACTGGGTGACTCTGTGCCTCGCTGAGGAAAAATAACTAAACAGGGGTAAAGGAGATCCTAAGAAGCCAAGAGACAGAATGTCATCATATGCATTTTTTGTGCAAAGTTGTCGGGAGGAGCATAAGCACCACCACTCAGATGCTTCAGTAAACTTCTCAAAGAGTTTTCTAAGAAGTGCTCAGGGAAATGGAAGACCATGTCTGCTAAAGAGAAAGGAAAATTTGAAAATATGGCAAAGGCGGACAAGGTCCATTATGAAAGAGAAATGAAAACCTATATTCCTCCTAAACAGGAGACAAAAAAGAAGTTCAAGGATCCCAATGCACCCAAGAGGCCTCCCTTCAGCCTGAGTACTGCCCAAAAATCAAAGGGAGAACATCCTGGCCAGTCTACTGGTGATGTTGCAAAGAAACTGGGAGAGATGCGGACTAACAGTGCTGCAGATGACAAATGGCCTTATGAAAAGAAGGCTGCAAAGCTGAAGGAAAAATACAGAAAGGATACTGCTGTATATCGAGCTAAAGGAAAGCCTGATGCAGCGAAAAAGGGAGATGTCAAGGCTGAAAAAAGCAAGAAAAGGAAGAATGAGAAAGATGAAGAGGATGAGGAAGAGGATGAGGAGGAAGATGAAGAGGATGACGATAATGAATATGCTGATAATGAATGCACTGGTTTTAGTGGTTTTGTCTATAAAACATTTAACTCCCCTGTACACAACTCACTCTTTTTAAAGTAAAAAATTGAAATGTAAGGCTGTGTAAAATGTTTTAAACTGTACAGTGTCTTTTTTTGTATAGTTAACACACTACCAAATGTGTCTTTAGATAGTCCTGTCCTGGTGGTATTTTCAGTAGCCACTAACCTTGCCTGGTACAGTATGGGGGTTGTAAATTGCCATGGAAATTTAAAGCAGGTTCTTGTTGGTGCACAGCACAAATTAGTTATATACGGGGATGGTAGTTTTTTCATCTTCAGTCGTCTCTGATGTGGCTTATACGAAATAATTGTTCTCTTAACTGAATACCACTCTGCAATTGCAAAAAAAAAAAAAGTTGCAGCTGTTTTGTTAACACTGTGAATGCTTCTAAGTAAATACTTTTATTAGAAAAAAATAAGGTGTCAAAAGAGATAAAAAGTGAAGCAATAAAAACATACACATAACCACACATTCATTAAAAACTCAGAATGTTGTAAACTGATGCACAAATGTTAGGTTTTTAAATATACTGATTTTTTCCTGAATCTGAACACAGGTATCTTTTTAACTCAAAGCTAGCACTACAATGGAAAAACTTTTAAGTACATATTTAAATCAAATCAAAGACTGTCTTGATAAATATAAAAAAATAGCTCAAATTTCATAAGCTCACATACCATCCCAAAAGGAAAACTCCAAAAAAGTTAGGTTTCATAAAAGCAGACTAAAAAGTGGAATCAACAAGAAAAAGTATGTATATTTAATATTGTGATTGGTATGTAATTGATAATGTAAAAGACTGGCTTTTTTCTAAAACAAAATCAGGAAAGAGAGCAGCAAATAAAACATTTTTTTTTTTTTTTGAGACGGGTCTTGCTCTGTTGCCCAGGCTGGAATGCAGTGGTGCCATCTCGGCTCACTGCAACTTCCGCCTCCTGGGTTCAAGCAATTCTCCTGCCTCAGCCTCCCAAACAGCTGGGATTACAGCTGCCTGAAACCACACCCAGCTAAGTTTTATATTTTTAGTAGAGATGGGGTTTCACCATGTTGGCCAGGCTGGTCTTGAACTCCTGACCTCAGGTGATCTGCCTGCCTCGGCCTCCCAAAGTGCTGGGATTACAGGTGTGGGCCACCACACCCGGCTTTTTTTTTTTGAGATGGGAGTTTCGCTCTTGTTGGCCAGGCTGGAGTACAATGGTGCAATCTTGGCTCACCGTGACCTTCGCCTCCCGGATTCAAGCGGTTCTCCTGCCTCAGCCTCCAGAGTAGCTGGGATTACAGGCATGCGCCACCACGCCAGGCTAATTTTGTATTTTTAGTAGAGATGCGGTTTCTCCATGTTGGTCAGGCTGGTCTCAAACTCCCAATCTCACGCCCGCCTCAGCCTCCCAAAGTGCTGTGCCTGGGCAATAAAACATTTTTTTAAAAGTCTTGGGAAAAAAGGCAGTGGAGGTGGGGTGGGAGGGTGATGATGGTAGCAGATCCATAGGAGGCTAACTGGTGAAATCCAGCTCCTTCTCCAGGGTTAGCTCAAAAGTCCACCTACTGCATGTTTTGACGTAATTATTAAAAGTAATTTCTTATACTGAACATTTTGTTGAAATAAAAATGATTTATAAAAACAAGACACAACACCTTTACCTGGATTTCAGATAAAGAATCTTGGCTAAACATTCATGTTCCATAAAAATATCTGTTCCCTCTAGACATTATTTTAAAAATAAACTAAAACAGAATACACAAAAATTAGTACACTCTGGAAGAGGGGAAAAAGAAAGATATTTCACTCTATTCCATTTGAGCCCTTTTAAAACATACATATATGAAGGGACTTCAAAAAATTTGTGGAAAAACAATTAAATGATAAAAAACATAAAGTTTACTTCTCAACGTAAGTTCCACCAAATCAAGACACTTTTGTAAGCAATAATACCAGTCATTCAGTCCATTCCTAAAGAACTGAGGGTCCTGGGAATTTAGCTATGTCAATGCAGTCTTTTTTACATTAACAGAAGAAAAATGGGTGCCCTTAAAAAAAATTGGTAAGATTAGGAATCGAAGTCAGAAGGAGCCAAATCAGGGCTGCAAGGTAGATGCCTCATATTTTCCCATCAAAATTCTTACAAAACTGCCCTAGTTTGATGAAGGGCCTTGGCTGCATTGTTGGGGTAGAGTACGTTTTGGTGAAGCTCTCTCAGGCGTTTTTCTGCTAAAGCTTTGGCTAATTTTTTTCAACAAAATACTCTCATAAGCAGATGTTATCGTTCTTTGGCCCTCCAGAAAGTCAACAAGCAAAACGATTTGAGCATTCCAAAAACCTGTTTTGCCTTGACCTTTGCTCTTGACCAGCCTGCTTTTGCTTTGACTGGACCACTTCCACCTCTTGGTAGCCATTGCTTTGACTGTGCTTTGTCTTCAAAAGTGTACTAGTAAAGCCATGTTCTATCTCTTGTTACAATTTTTCAAAGAAATCCTTTAGGGTCTTGATCACACTTGTTTAAATTTCCATTGAAAGCTTTGCTCTTGTCTTCAGCTGATCTGGGTGTACAGTTGTGGCATCCAATGAGTGGAAAGTTTGCTCAAATTTAATTTTCCATCAAAATTGTGTAAGCTGAACCAATTGAGATGTTGGCATAAACAAGATTAACTTTTCCCTTGCAAATCGATGTGACTGGTCTGCTGCTGCAGGCTTCATCTAAAACTTTGCTTCGTCTTAAACTAGTTATGCATTTGTAAACTGCTACTGATTTCTTTGGGGCATTGTCCCCATAAACTATTTGTAAAGTATCAATGATTTCACCATTCTTCCACATCACAACTTTCACCATCAATTTGATGTTTGTCCTTGCTACAATTTTAGCAGAATTGATTTTGCCTTGATAGGGACTCTTTGCAAACTGATGTCCTATCCTTCTTAGTGCCTCAAACTAGATCCTGTTCAGACATGTTATAACAAGTTAGTATGAGTTTATTTTGGTGCAAGAAAATTTATGTTCTCACAAAACTATATTTTTTTCAATAATGAAAAACAAATCTCTCCTTAATTTGAGAAGCATCTGGTTTTCCTGAACTTATTTTTTCTTAATTCAAGTTGAACTAAAGTATCAGTTACACTTAAGTCTAATAGAATGGAATTAAAAGTCACAATGTAGAAACAATGTAGGGTTTGGGACAATGCCTTGTCCCAATTAGGGAACCCGCAAAGATTTTGACAAAATGAAGAATAAATGCTTACTGGACATTTCAAGCTCTAACTAGCATGTTTAAAACAGATTTCATCATCTTTACCAACCAGTGGCTTTTCTTGACTTGCCAAATCAGTGAATGGTACTGCTCGTTCCCTCTTTCTTAAATCTTGAGTATGTTTCATTTTCTTTCTTCTTCACCTCTATAATCAGAGATCAAATGCTGTCAAGTTTTCCTCCCCCCACCAAAACAATTCCTTGCTCACCTATTCCTTTCTCTCTCCAGTTCCTACTCTAGTTTCATCTCATGCTGATACCACTTCAACAGTATCTTGTCTCCCTACTTCCAATTCCTGTGTCATTTCTTCAGTTACAATGGGCATTGTTTCTAAATAATTTTCCAACACTGTATTTTGTTTATGACATGCCTTTCTGTGCCTATTCAAAAACTCTCAGCAAAAGTAACTAAAATTAAAAGGGAAATCTGTATGGAAAAATATGTGCAGCAAGTTACCACTATAATAAACTCAATCAATTAAGAAATAAAACATCAAGATTCTAATACATAATTAGAAATGTGAATAGACAACCTGTAAAAGAATCAGTAAGTGAAATCACAGAACAAGGTCCCATTTCACTAATTCACAACAAAAACACTATAAAGAAAAAAAGAGCTCAATGTATTTTGCACCTATTAAATTAGTAAAAATGAAAATTATAGACTATTTAATGCCACTAGCTAAACTCACAGGGAGGGTGATAGTGTAAATTATAACCAGCTTGAAAAACAACACAGCAATGTTTCAGGAGTCATAAAAATGTTCATACAACGACTCTTTAAATGTACTCCTAAAAGAACAGTCCAAAAGAGAAAATACTGTATGCATGCAGAAGATACCTGAAGCACAATACTGAAGCACTATGAAACTTACAGTCATGCAATAGAAAAATGAAAAGGATAAAAAAGCTTGATGGAATATTTTCAGACATTAAAATCATTATAGAGACTGTCCATTACACTGAATGCTTGTTATAATGTTAAAGGAGCAAAGAAAACCAAAAACTACCCTAAGACTAAAGAAAATACATACAAACAAGGAGGAAGGAAATTTTAAAAATCTCTTAGAGTGGCATTAAAAGTGATTTCTTTTTTCTTTTGAGACAGTCTCACTCTGTTGCCCAGGCTGGAGTGCAGTGGTCCAATCCTGGCTCACTGCAACCTCCACCTCCCAGGTTCTCCTGCCTCAGCCTCCCGAGTAGCTAGGATTACAGTCACGTGCCACCACGCCAGGCTAAATTTCGTAGTTTTAGTAGAAATGAGGTTTCACAATGTTGGCCAGGCTGGTCTCAAACTCCTGGCCTCAAGCCATCTGCCCACCTTGGCCTTCCAAAGTGCTGGGATTACAGGTGTGAGCCACCATGCATGGCTGCATTTTATTTTGTTTAGTTCCATTATAATTTGTAAAACTTGAAATAAGACAAGACAAAAATAATGGTCAATTTCTGCTTACTCCCAATCTTCCAAGACCCTCTAGAACCCTGTAACACCCCATTGGACTCTGATGTGCAGCTAACCCTAGAAACAGGGGTAGGTTGGCCACACAATTTTCCCTAATCTTCAGCCAATCATCCTTTCTGACCTGGTTTACCCTCTGTCCCAAATACATATTTCCTTGTATTCTTGCTCACAACCTTTCATCCAATTAGAATGTCTTCTCTCCTTCTAATTTTACACATTATATCTCACTATCCTTGAAAAGCCTTTAATAACCATTATAAATTTCTTTCTGCTCTGCTTTCTAAAGCAATTTGTCTCTTTTAAAAGAACCACTAGATCTGATTGTATACAGAACTTTGACAAATCTATTATCAGGAGCCATGTAAGTCTATAAATAAGGTTATATAGATTGCTTAAATATTTTGAAATAACTACTTAGATTAACTTTCCACATGTGTAATTACATTCTCCCTTTTATTGACCTTAAGCTTCTGGAGCACAGATCCTTGTAGGAAAGCCATTATGTAACTCATATTTGCTTGAATCTGAATCCTAAAATACGCTGTCATTCCAGTTTGAATTATACGAACCATTATCTATGACTCCATGTGGCCATAAAATCAGCAGATAAATCTGACACGGTGCCGGGCGCAGTGGCTCATCCCTGTAATCCCAGCACTTTGGGAGACGAGGCGGGTGAATCACGAGGTCAGGAGTTCGAGAGCAGCCGGGCCAATATGGTGAAACCCATCTCTACTAAAAGCACAAAAATTAGCCGGGCGTGGTGGCATGCACCTGTAGTCCCAAGCTACCCAGGAGGCTGAGGCAGGAGAATCGCTTGAACCTGGGAGGCAGAGGTTGCGGTGAGCCAAGATCATGCCACTGCACTCCTGCCTGGAGGACAGAGCGAGACTCCGTCTCAAAAAATAAATAAATAAATAAAAATTGAATAGGGCAAAAGACAACATAGAAATTTCAAAGTCTGCTTTGGTTACAAATAAGTAAATTATGTAACTTTCCATAAAATAACTAAATCTTTAGGAAAGCTGCTACATTCAACACAGCAATCATTTCCACTTCTCAATATATACTCGTGTACAGAAACAACTGCACAGTTGAACAAATTCTATGTTTTTTTTTTTTTTGAGACGAGTCTCACTCTTGCTGCCCAGGCTAGAGTGCAGTGGCACGATCTAAGCTCACTGTAACCTCCGCCTCCCGGGTTCAAGTGATTCTCCTGCCTCAGCCTCCCAGGTAGCTGGGGTTACAGGTATGTGTTACCACGCCCGGCTAATTTTGTATTTTTAGTACAGACAGGGTTTCACCTTGTTGGTCAGGCTGGTCTCGAACTCCTGACATTAGGTGATCCACCCACCTCTGCCTCCCAAAATGCTGGGATTTCAGGCGTTTTAGCCACCATGCCCGGTTATCATTTTTCAAAAGATACACAGATACACACACACACACACACACGAGCAACATGACCAGTCTTGATTACCTAAGAGTAACTAAGTAAAATTACTTACCACAAACAGATCGCAGATCCAGGTTTCTCAAACTGGAGCATCTGCTTAATTTTCCCATAAAATCAGTCTTATTCTAAAAGACAAAAGACTTGTTAAAAATTTTGAGTATGTGATAGCTCAGACGTTCAGAATACAGACTGTTGATGAAAAAAAAAACCACACACACAAATTTGCTTCCTTCCTAAACACTCTCATTGATAAGACTGGTAAAAAAAAAAATCACACACATGTTCATGGTGTTCTGTGATAAAAATATCAAGTCCTTAAAACTGGAAACCACACGAATGGGCACACAAATCCGTAAGAATGTGCTAACTTTGAGATTTCCAACTAAAATACCACATTGGGAAGATAATTATGTATTATCGTTCAAACTCTTATCAAAGAAATAAAACATTCTTCAATATAGCCTTATGTCACAGAAACATTAAAAAGTTGGTAATTATGATTCCTATTAGTTTGGGCTCATTTAACTAACAGGTTACAAAAATACAATTACCTCATAATTTCATTCATTTATACCCAAAACATTGCCTGGTAATTACTAATATTCATCTATAGTTACCATTAAGATATTATAAAATACTTAAAAAGGGATTGGAGAATAAAAAGAGGTCTGAAGAAACTAACACTCCGATACATTCTTTACTTTTTTAATTTTTAAATGGAATGCTTCTTATGTCATCCTTGCACAGGGGCCATGCTAATCTCCGTATGGTTCCAATTTTAGTAGGTGAGCTGCCAAAGCGAGCATGACACATTCTTAATGGTCCTCTAAATCTACATTTTATTAGCAATTACAAATCAATTTGGTATTAAGCTAAGTATCTGGAATATTTTAAAATTTTAAGGTTAAGACAGCATCTGTGAAACATTAATTTTCAAGAAAGAATTATTGTTATGTTGAAAAAACAAGCCTGAGCAACTAACAAAACCCCATCTCTACCAAAAAAAAAAAAAAGTTTTAGCGGGGCCTGATGGCACACACCTGTAGTCCCAACTGTTCAGGAGGCATGAGTTTGAGGCTGCAATGAGCTATGATCATGCCATTGCATTCCAGCCTGGGTGACAGAGTAAGATCCTGTCTCAAAAACAAAACAAACCCGAACAACAACAACAAAAAACCTAAGAAAACGAAAGATGTTAAGTTGGCTTATTTCACATTTTGTATACAAACGTGCATACAGATTTAGAAGAAGTATCTGCAACAGAGCACCTATCAGGTGGGGGAACCTAACAGTGATTAAATAAAACAGTTGCTGCTTTCTGGGAACAGAGTTTCAAATTTGGGAAGAGTCAAACAAATGCAAAGAGGCACACGTACAGGGGGTCTTATCAGGCTACAAAAGCACTGAGAGAATGAATACACACAAGAAGGGGAAACTTTAGAGAAGACTACAGGGAAACACGAAGTAGTTAAACACAACTAACCTTGAAAATAATTTGTTAGTATTCCTAAACATCACTTTTGTGTAGCAAAATGTTTCACTGTACAAATGCTCACCTAAAGTGAAAAAAAAAAAAAAAGTGGAAAAAAAAAATCACTCCTAGGGTCCAAGAAAAATTCTCATATATTTTATGGTATGTGTAACTTAAAGACTGCGATTATTTTTTTTTTTTTTGAGACAGTTTTGCTCCTGTTGCCTAGGGTGAAGTGCAATTCCACGATCTCAGCTTACCGCAACCTCCATCTTCCAGGTTTAAGCGATTCTCCTGCCTCAGCCTCCCAATTAGCTGGAATTACAGGCATGCGCCACCACGCCCGGCTAATTCTGTATTTTTAGTAGAGACGGGGTTTCTCCATGTTGGTCAGGCTGGTCTTGAACTCTCGACCTCAGGTGATCCACCCGCCTCGGCCTCCCAAGGTGCTGAGATTACAGGCATGAGCCACCACGCCCAGCCGATTATTTCTACTTGAAGAAAGAGAGGTCCAGGATAAAATGTTCAGAAATGAAGCTAAAGACAGACCAGAAATTTTTTGGGGGGGGCGGGGCAGTAATAAAAAGGACAACAAATCTAAGTGCAGTTAAGAAAAAAAAGCTTTCTAATGGACTATACAAGCATCCCTAGCCTTAAATACATAATCTATTCATATATATATACATACACATATACACACACACACACACACCTATATATTTGAGATGAAGTCTGTCACCCAGGCTGGAGTTCAGTGGCACAATCATGGTTCACTGGAGCCTTGATCTCCTGGACTCAGGTGATCATCCCACCTCAGCCTCTTGATTAGCGGGGAACACAGGTGCACGCCACCACGCTGGCTGATTTCTTGCACTGTTTGTAGAGATGAGGTTTCACCATGTTGTCCCAAACTCCTGGGCTCAAGCCATCTGCTCACCTCGGTCTCCCAAAGTGCTGGGATTACAGGCTTCAGCCACCACACCAGGCCTTCAGCCTTATATTTCCACTTCTGGGAGTTTATTCCAAAAATAATCAGGGATGTGAAAGAAGATTTAGATGCCCAGAAATTTCAGCATCTAAAATTCATCATTTACGTTCATGCAAAAATAACTGCGGTTTCAGACCATGAATTTTATATCATTATAACTAGGCTCAAACACATCTTTATTAATCAAAATAGAAACCATTACAATCAACACATTTTTAAGTTGTTTATTCCTGTAGTGTAGAAATCCATGCTTTAGGATTCGACGAACTCTTGGAAAGCATTTTCTGCATCCTGCTAGTTGTGGAAGTGTTTTCCCTGCAAAAAGGTGTCGCAATGCTTGAAGAAGTCGTAGTCAATGGAGAGAGGTCAGGTGAATATGGCGGATGAGGCAAAATGTCACAGCCCAATTTGTTCAACTTTTGAAGCATTGGTTGTGCAACATGTGGAAGGGCATTGTGAAGAATTGGGCCTCTTTCTGTTGACCAATGCTGACTGCAAGCGTTGCAGTTTTTGGTGCATCTCATCGATTTGCTGACCATACTTCTCAGATGTAATGGTTTCGCCAGGATTCAGAATGCTATAGTGGATCAGACCAGCAGCAGACCACAAAACAGTGACCATGACCTTTTTTTGGTGCAAGTTTGGCTTTGGTAAGTGCTTTGGAGAATCTTCTCAGTCCATCTACTGAGCTGGCCATCACCAGTTGTTGTATAAAATCCACTTTTTCTCGCACATCACAATCTGACCAAGAAATGGTTTGTTGTTGCAAAAAATAAGGGATAAGGACACTTCAAAACAATGACTTTTTTTTTCGGTCAGTTCATGAGGCACCCACTTATCGAGCTTTTTCACTTTTTAATTTGCTTCAAATGCTGAAGGACTGTAGAATGGTCCACATTGAGTTCTTCGGCAACATCTCAAGTAGCCTTAAGAGGATCAGCTTTGCTGATTGCTCTTAACCGGTAGTTATCAACTTCTGGCGACCAGCCACTACGCTCCTGATTTTCAAGACTTTCCTTCCCTTTGCAAAATTTCTTGAAACTGCCAGGCACAGCGGCTCAAGCCTGTAATCCCAGCACTTTGGGAGGCCAAGGCGGGCGGATCACGAGGTCAGGAGTTCGAGACCAGCCTGGGCCAAGATGGTGAAACTCCATCTCTACTAAAAATACAAAAATTAGCTGAGCATGGTGGTGCGTGCCTGTAATCCCAGCTACTGGGGAGGCTGAGGCAGAATGGCTTGAACCCAGGAGGCAGAGGTTGCAGTGAGCCAAGATCATGCCACTGCACTCTAGCCTGAAAGAGCAAGATTCCATCTCAAACAACAACAACAAAAAAACTTCTTGAATCACCACTGCACTGTAAGTTAACAGTTCCTGAACCATATGCATTGCTGATATGGTGTCTCTGTTGTTTTACAACCCATTTTTAACTCAAAAACGAAAACTGCTCGAATTTGCTTTTTTGTCTAACATCATTTTCATTGTCTAAAATACACATGAAGGCTGGGCACGTGGCTCATGCCCGTAATCCCACCACTTTACGAGGCCGAGGCAGGCAGATCATGAGGTCAGGAGATCGAGACCACCATGGCTAACATGGTGAAGCCCCTTGGCTCTATTAAAAATACAAAAAATTAGCTGGTGTGGTGGCACGCGCCTGTAGTCCCAGCTACTCGGGAGGCTGAGGCAGAAGAATTGCTTGAACCTGGGAGGCAGAGGTTGTAGTGAGCCGAGATGGTGCCACTGACTTCAGCCTGGCGACAGAGCGTGACTCTGTCTCAAAAATAAAATAAAATAAACATGAAATAAACAGAGAGTAATAAGTCATTACCAAAAGAACAAAGCGAGAAATGCCCATTAAAATGATGTATAACATAACCACATTTATTTAACAACGTAGTCCAACATCAAATGGCAAATTCCAATAATGCAAAAACCACGATTACTTTTGCAACGACCTTCTTAGACACAATATTTTGCAAAACATGTACAAGGATATTCACTGACATATTACTGCCATTATAGAAAAATAAACACGTTACATAAATTATGATATATTTATCCCACAAAACACTATGAAGACATAAAAGATGCTTTACGATAAGATATTTCCAATATTCCCAATGTTTTCTATAAAGAATAGACGGTAATGAACAACACTAGAATATTTGGTAAAACAAAACCAACAAAAAAGACAAAGCCTTTTGTATAATATATAACTATAGTGTAAACCGTAACTACCTTTTGGAGGAGGGAAGACATTTTTGTATTCTTCTTTGGGCTTTTTAATAATTTCCAAATGTCCATGCATTATTTGGATTCAATAATAACAGTTTAAACTTTGATCGTAGAATTATGGATGCTTACCCCCTAGAAAATTCAGTAATATATTGTTTTATAAGGTCTTTTAAAAAACTGCTTCACTCCTACGAGATTGCGCCACTGCACTCCAGCCTCGATGACAGAGAGAGACTCTGTCTCCAAAAAAAAAAAAAAAAAAAAAAAAAAAGCCTCACTCCTAAACACTCCCATTTACAAGATCTTTTCTATATAAGAACTTTTTAAATAGGCGGGTGGGGGGGAGGAAATCACAAAAATACGCATAATGTTTTATAACAAAAACATGAGGTATATCAAAGTCCAGAAATGAGAACCACGTAAATGGGTAAACAAGTCCATAAGGATGTCCTAATTTTGGGATTTCATTCTAAAATATTACACTAGAAAGCTAATTATACAGACTCATTTGAATCTGACCAAACAAAACATCTTTTAACTACCCTTCCTCCCATTCTGGTATTTCTTTACTAATCCATAGAAAGTTTTTCCAGGTAGTCCCCCGCAATTCTAAGGATTTTTAGACTTTATGACTCACCTCAGTAATCACTGAGATGTTCTGTTTTCTTCAGCACAACTGCCAAAAAACCCAGTAATTGTTAAGTCACACAATCATTTTCTAGTTATGGGCGCCACCAATATAGCAGTAGGGTTTAAAACAGAGGTATTGAGGGTAACTATTAGGATCTATCCAGTGTGACTAGGTCACTCACTAGAAATGCCAACATGCATTTCACGTTTTTATGAATACTTTTGAGCAAAATTACTGTTACGAATAAAAAACTGATTCTGCTCGGCTGTTTTCTTACTGAGAAAATTTAGTCCACGTGGATTACTGACGATATGTCACATTTTAAAAATTACTCCATTCTATAAAACTAGTCAATTTTATACTCCAATTCCGCTATTTAAAAATGTGTGTTTCGTTTAACAGAATATAAGATGTTAACAGAAAAAGATCAACGTCTATCTTATCGGGGACGTCCTTTTGTCTAAGATGTTTTCAGTCCCTGCAAAACCACTGTTTGCTTTCAAAAAGTAGCATAAGCCTCGTGCAGAGTGACAGACCCTTGTCTAAGGTCACAGAAGAAGCGTCTGCGCTGGCAAGTAAATTCCTCAGCATCCAGAAAGCCAGCGCTTTCTCCAGTTTCCTCATAGCTTTATCCCGTGAGGAGCACGCGGAAACCTCTACCCATGCAGGATGTTTCTAAGAACCACTTCTTCCCTGTCTTAACTAAGAAGGCTCCCACAGCTGGTGCCAATCAGGTGGAGAACATGGCAAGTCCCCGAAATGCACTTCCAAAGACAGGAAAGATTGCAGTGGGACAGAACCCAGAAAATCTCTCACATTCTCGAAAACCCGAAAGAGAACCTCCAAGAAAGACGTTTGCCTCTCCTCCACCTCTTTATCTCGGCGGGAGAGGAAGCCTCGCCCCCATTCATCCCGCCCCTTCTCCCCACCCCGCCGCAGGGAGAAGTTTACCATGGCTGCCTGCGGCCCCTTCACTTCCGGTGCCGGTGCCGCTAGGGCTGCGCCATCCCCCCAGTCAATCGGACAACCATAGCCTCCAACTGACCTTTCTGACAGCTCTGAGACTCCTCCGGCCACGACTAGGTGCTGTCCTGGAGGAAACGGTGGAGGACGGCCGCACAAAAACCAATCTACCTGATGAAAACTCCGTTCCCTTCTCGCCAGAAACATAAAATGCGATGGAGCTACGGCCACCGCTGCCGAGACAAAATGGCGCCGACAAGCTGGTTTAGCGCAAGCGCCTTGGACAGACCCTGCCCCGCCCCCGTGCAAGCCCCTGGCTGCAATTCTGGGTTCCGTTTCCATGGGACACTCCGCCGCCAATCCTCGTGTCGAACTGCTCTTCCTGACCCCTCAATTCACCAATCAGTGCCCAGTCAAGCACATCCGGAGTCGTCTCTACCAATCATTTCTCAGGACTTGCTTACTCAATAACCAACTCTCCAATAAAGTTGGTTTTCGGAAAAAGCCAATCATAAGTGGAAGATGTCCTACCTGCTGTTTTTCTCACCAATCCATGAAGTTTCACAGCTACATCCAATGAGGACGGCAGGTAGCGAGGTCCTATCCGAAGCTCTTCGGCGTCATGAGCAGCCAATAGGAGTTCGTGTAGAAGCGAGTCTGCTCAACAGCTTGTTATTTGGTGGATTGTGGCAGTAAATCGGGGCGAGTGGGGAACCCGGCGCAGGAACTGCAGCCGCGGCTGGGAGTGGTGCTGCCCGGACGGGGGCCCACGGAGGTCAGAGGGGAGGAGGACTCTGGAGCTGACAGCGCGCACTTCACCCGCAGTTGGTAGGTGGGGAGAGGGGAATCCGGGGATACTGAATGGACGAAGTGGCAGTAGCAGCAGCTGCTGCTGCCCGAGGTCCCGGTGCAGTTGGAAGCTTTGGAGGTGGGGAGAGGGATGCTAGGCAAGTGGCACGGCGAGCGCAAGGGAAGGGGCCAGCCATTGACCAGCGGCAGCAACTGCAGGAACCGCCGCCGCAGTTGCAGCCGCCTCCTCGTCCGCTTCCTCGGGTTCCCGGGAAAATGGCTGTGGGGCTGGCCGCGCCGCTAAGTTTGCTTCCGCGCGGTGAAGAGCGGGCTGCTTGGGGGAGCCGTCCCCCAACTCCGCGGCGCGTCCACCTCTGCGGAGTCCGTGGCAGGACTCGAGGGGCTACGAGCTGATACCTCTCTGGGCTGTACAAAAAGTTGAGGCGGGCGCTGGGAGGAGGCAGCGGCTGCTGCGGTGCGGCTCCCCTCCCCTCCCACACCCTGTCCGGGCCACCTCCCCTCCTCCTCCCCTCCGCCCCCCGCCCCCTCCCCCACGCGGGTCCCCCGGGGCTCTGGCGGCTCCCGGCTGAAGGCCGCGGCCCCTGCCCCTTTGGGTGAAGGAGCGCTTCTCCTTTCTGACATGGTGCAGAGCGAAGGAAGGAGAGCAATGGCGCCGTGACACTCCGCTGCCGCCACCGCGGGCCCGGGGCGGGCCGAGGGGGCCGAGCGGCGGAGGCGGGGCGCGGGCCGAAGTCGGGGTATCCGGGGGACCGCGGAGCGGAGGCTCGGCGGTCGTCTCCGCGGGGGACCTGGGGAAGCCCGAAGGGAGCTCTGGCCTTTTCCGGAGCTATCTGTCCTGGAGCTCCGAGTTGAGCATTCCGGGTCAAAGTGGCCAGCGAGGCGGGGGCGCGGTGGGCCGCTGGCGAGCTCCGGGGCGGAACGGGCTGCCCTTTGGCGCTCGTGGGGTTCTCGCTGCCCCCTCAGCTCCTGCGTCCTGGCTGCCCTCGTAAGGGGTCTTGTCCCTTGGCTGGTGAGGATTCTGCCCCTCCCCGCTGGCGTTTGTTTACTTTCTTTCCCTTGGTCGCTCCCCGCAGTTGACTGATTATGTCTGTGCCTGTCTTTCCCCCTCCCCATAGTTCTAGCGACTGCGAAGATAGCTCGCTGAGCTGGAACCCCACAGATCACCAACAAAAATGAAGGTAAGTGGAGTCAACTCTGCCCCGATCCTCGCGCCCTGAACACTGCCAATCCTAAGGCTAGTGCCGTGGAATGTCATTTGTTTTGCTACTCAAAATTGATGTTCCTACTGATCAGCAGTTTCGGCATAGGAGGATGTGTTGAATGGGTGAAAAATGATCTGTGTGTCTAAATGCGGAGTTTAGGCCCTCTCTGTAGCAGTACTTTGGAAAGGCTGGTGCAGCCTTTCAATTGTTGTCCATTCGGATAGTATTTTTAAACACTTCCTGTGTTGGCAGCAACCTTTGCAGAAGTAAAGCTTTTGTCCTGCTTTGGTTCTTTGGGGGATTTTTTGTAAATTTTTTTTCTTCCCGTGTGCCAATGCGATTTTCTAAAAGAAAGAATACGTGGATTAAGTAATGAAGGTATCATTTCTTCTGTGTGTAAAATGAACTTATGTGGCTAAAATATTTGAAGTTGAAGTATAATAATAGTTTTAGTTAAATCTTTCCAATAAGTATTTTAAAACATATACTAAAAAGATACATATTCTACTGAGGATGACTGCAAATATCAGTATGTGGATGGTTAAAGGGAAAGGATCTCATATAGCGTTCTTGAATGCTGTGGCCATTGAATGTTTCAGGTCAGATTTTTGTTTGCCAAAAGCATTCCTATTCAATTTGTATTTTTTGTAAATGCACTTACTTTAAAAGGTACCCAATTCCTGTCTTATTTACTGTTTCAGCATATTAAGCTCTGAAATATAGCATTTTCCCAAACTTTCTCGTGGTTTTCTATTTTCTCGAAGTAAATGACATATTTAACCTTCTTTAATATTACTTGGGAAAACTTATTAGAAAACAAAAAATCATTTTCTACTTCAAAACGTATCTCCAAAGTGTACACTGTTAACTTTGCACTTAACAATGTTAAGTTGAACTTGTATGGATACACTTTAACTTCCGGAAAAAAAAAAAAAAGGTAAAATGACAGATTGAGATAGCAATCATCCTGTTACTGTAAAAATTAAAATGAGTGGTAGAGTGACATTTCTTACATCTTTCTATGTATCATTCTGGTCGTGTCCATTTGCTGAAAGTAGATGTTTCTTAGTAACGCTTATTTTTTTATACTAAGAAGATTAGTGTGGTAAACTAGGTATACCTACAAGTCTGGAGCCATCAGTTCATATCTGCATTCATCGGCTGAATTCAGACTTAAAACCTTTCAAGTGCAGCTTTTAGCAAATGAATTTTCCAAATGATACTTTCCTTATGAAAAGATGTTACCTTTATGTGGCTATGTCAATAAACAATTATGTATTGTTAGTGTTAATATTAGTAGCAATATTTCTTTTAATTTGAAAAATTTCAGGAAGCTATAAATGAATAACTTAGTTTTATGATATGTGTAATATGAAATATTTTTTCTGTTTTTTTCTTATCTTTCTGCTTATATAATAGTAGAATTTTTGAAAAATTTTGTATCGAGACAAAACATTATTAATCACTGATAATTTTGAATTACAACTTTAAAACATTTTATCATATCAGGACATCAGTCTATAAAATGAAAGGTTGCTAATCAAGTATTTAGGGTATTTTTCAAATTTTCAATGATATTAATAAGCAAGTCATTTTAATATTCTTAATGCTTCAAACACAACCTTTTAATGAGACTTGAGGTTGGAGTAGGGAGGCATAGTAATGACATTCACAGTTTTATGTTCCTTTCACCAGGCGGCAGATGAGCCTGCCTACCTGACAGTGGGAACCGATGTCAGTGCCAAGTACCGAGGTGCCTTCTGTGAGGCAAAGATTAAGACTGTGAAAAGGCTGGTGAAAGTTAAGGTAATATTTGTTTTTATGCAATAGTTTTATTAACTCTAGATTGAAGAAATTTGGGGAGAGAGAGACTGCAAATCAGCATTTTATTGAGTCATTATATGAAAACCCTTTATATACCAAACTTAAAGGAAAAGCACATCAAAAATAAAGAAATAAAAAACTCAAAAGGAGAAATTATTCCAAAATGCTACCATCAAAATACCATGCTCATGATATTTCCTGTCATTTGGCTCTTAACTATTTGTGGTAGCATACTTGGACTGTAATCTATTTTCTCCCCTCATTTAATGTTCAGGTAGAGACAATTTTAGTGTTTAGGACAATACAAATACAACAGGAATTATGTTTTCAAGACAGTGTAAAAAAGCATTTAAAAAGTTTATTTTGTGACTGGGCGTAGTGTCTCATGCCTGTAATCCAAGCACTTTGGGAGGCCGAAGTGGGCAGATCACTTGAGGCCAGGAGTTCAAGAGCAGCCTGGCCAACGTGGCGAAACCCTGTCTCTACTAAAATTGCAAAAATTAGACCCGGCGCGGTGACTCACGCCTGTAATCCCAGCACTTTGGGAGGCTGAGGTGGGTGGATCACCTGAGGTCAGGAGTTCGAGACCAGCCTGACCAACATGGTGAAATCCTGTCTCTACTAAAAATACAAAAATTAGCTGGGTGTGGTGGCAGGCACCTGTAATCCCAGCTGCTCAGGAGGCTGAGGCAGGAGAATTGCTTGAACCCGGGAGGCGGAGGTTGCAGTGAGCCAAGATCATGCCGTTGCACTCCAGCCTGGGTAACAGAGCTAGACTCCATCTCCAAAAAATAAAAAAATTAACCTGGCATGGTGGTGCACACCTGTAGTCCCAGCTACTCGGGAGGCTGAGGCAGGAGAATCGCTTGAACCCAGGAGGTGGAGATTGCAGTGAGCCGAAATCACACCACTGCACTCCAGCCTGGGTGACAGAGGGAGACTAAAAATATATATGTATATTTTTGGCTGTGTGAAGTGGCTCACACCTGCAGTCCCAGCACTTGGGAAGCCTGAATGGGGGGATTGCTTGAGCCAAGGAATTCAAGACCAGCCTGGGCAACATAGTGAGATCTTGTCTGTCCAGAAAAAAAGATAAAAAGTATTAGCCAGGTGTGGTGGCAGGCACCTGTGGTCCCAGCTACTCTGGAGGCAGAGGTGGGAGAATTGCTTGAGCCTGGGAGGTCAAGGCTGCAGTGAGCTGTGATTGTGCCACTGCACTCCAGGCCGGATGACAGGGCAAGACCCTGTCTCAAAAAAAAAATTTTTTTTTAAGATGCTTTTACTCTGAAATAACTTTTTTTTTTGGTGGTTCCTGCCAGTAATTTTCTTATATGAATATATTTTTAATAGTCTTCGTTACTTTATACTTAGATACCTCCTATGCTTATTATAAACATTTTTAACATTATAGAGGTATATCATATAGTTAATGAAGTCCTCCTTAAAAAATTTTATTTAAGTTGATGAATAATAATTTTACATATTCATGGGCTACATAGTCATGTTTTGATACATATAATGTATGGTGATTAAATCAAGATAATTTGCATATCTATCATCTCAAACATTTTTCATTTCTTTGTGTTGGGAATATTCAGTATCCTCCTCTTAGCCATTTGAAACAATGTGATATAGCATTGTTAACTACAGTCATCCTGCTGCGGTATAGAACACTGTGAAAGTCCTCCTTGATACGACTCCAAAGAGATTTGATGTGGTCTTCCAGATTTTTTTTACTGTGCCAGTCATAAAATTATTGTCATTGGTATTGGATCATGCTGTATTGCAGTTTGCTTTATTCACTTATATATCTGATGTTTTCCTACCAGAATTAAGCACCATAAAAGGAGGAAACGTCTGACTTGTTCTATGCCCAACACATAGAGTAGTGCCTGATACATAGTGGACCCTCAAAATTTGTTGAATGAATCAGTGAACTAGAGCAGTGATTCCTAAAGGGTCCCTCCAGACCAGCAGCATCAGCCTTACTTGGGAACTTGTTCCAAATGCAAATTTTCCCCACCCCAGATCTACTTCATCAGAAACTCTGGGGGTAAGATCCAGTAATTGTGTTTTAATAAGCCCTTTAAATATTTCTGATGCATGTTAAAAGTTTAAGAATCAGGTTGGGCACGGTGGGTCATTAATCCCAGCACTTTGGGAAGCCAGAGTGGGCAGATAACTTGAGGCTAGAAGTTTGAGACCCACCTGGCCAAAATGTTGAAACCCTGTCTCTAGTAAAAATACAAAAAATTAGCCAGACATGGTGGTGCAAACCTGTAATCCCAGCTACTTGGGAGGCTGAGGCACGAGAATTGCTTGAGCTGGGGAAGCGAAGGTTGAGACCCTGCCTAAAAAAAAAAAAAAGTTTGAGAAACATTGACTAGAGGAGTGTGATTTGTAGGTTAAATAGATGTATCTATGATTATTATAAAATTTATGTTTCAGTTTTCTTGATGAACCTTCAAGTATTAGGATAGGATGTCAATTGACATTCATTTCTTTTTGTTTCATACAGTGTTTTTATCATGTCAGCTATATAGGATTTGATTACTCTATATTTATTTGGGATTCTTTAACAATTCAAATTTGGTATTGTGGCTCTTATTTACTTAAAATTAATACAATGATTGTTTTAGGAGGTCTTACCATACATTACCTAGATTTTGAATTTATTTGGACCATCTATTATTTGGACCATAGTAACCAGCCATCTGTTACGGATGGTTACTTTATGTCTTTAGATGTGTAGTAGAAGGGAGCACTTGTTTGTATCAGTGCATATTACGATTATTGCTTAGCTTCACTTTATAAAGGATCAGAGTTCTGGTTTTAATTTGTTTACCTTTCATATAGGCAATACAGTTTGATACTGTTGTTTTTCTTTGTGTACTTGGTGGCAATCAGAACCTTTTGTGACTTGATAAAAAGCAATAAAGGCAGTTTTTTTTTACAGTAATCATTAAAGATTATTATATAGTTCATTTAGTAAACAGTTATTAAGTGCTGATAATATGCATTGACACTTGCTAACTGTTGGGGATATAGCAATGAAGGGAAGACTCAGCCCTCAAGGAGCTCACAGTTAATAAGAGAATGTAATAAGTATTACATTAGCAGGGGTCACCACATGGTGCTAAGAAAGCATAAATTAAAGACATTATTGTTATAGTGTTACTATAAATGTATTTGTTTTAAAAGTAATATGCAAATTATTGTGCAAAATGTTTTTCAGGTACTCCTGAAACAGGATAATACCACACAATTGGTACAAGATGACCAAGTAAAGGGTCCTTTAAGAGTATGTATGTTGTACGGTTTAAAATCTGAAATAATCATAGATTTATACCATATTTACTGAATTTACATTTCTACATAGACTTAACATTTTATGAGAACGTTAATCAGAAAACAATACATATGAAGGGTTTAAATATAATTAGTATAAATTGTGATATTGCAATGGCTGTATTCTGTTTTAGATACTAAACATCTTCTAGAAGGGTAATTTAATATATATAAACATGTTAAGTTTTTCACCTACCTTTCTGTTTTGAATTCTTGAACTGGATACCTGGCTTTGTTTTTCACATTGTTGCTGTATCTGAGGTGATGTTTAGCCTTCTAAGTTGAGTATCATAACCATCAATCTTTGGTTGTTCTAATTTACCAAGTAAACTATGTTCACTTCCTAATTCAATTTAATGAATACCTAGATTATGTTTTCCATGCATTTCTGGCCATTTGTTTATGTAATAAATCTGTTATATCAGAGTACCACTTTGGTTAATATCTGATATACAAAGGTCTGGAAACTGAAAGAAGGTCAACTGGTCCATCCCTATCTCTCCAGGTGAACCTTTATCTAAAAGGTACCTTAAATACAAATGCTGAATCCAATATTCACTATTTCTGTGAAAGAAAATGGATGCTATTTTGGTTGTCTTATAATTTTACAGTTCTTCGATTTAATTTTCTTGAAGGCAATGTGATATAGTGGAAAAGCTCTAAAGTAAGATTTAAGAGACTGGGCTGTCATGCTGGACTCTGCATATTATTTTCTCTTTCTGAACGGCAATTTTCAGTGTGTAAAGTAGGGGTAATAATAGCTACCTAACTTTTGTCAAAGTGTTTTGGAGCTCAAATTGCATAATAAATAGATAAGTACTATGAATGATAAAGATCTCAGACAGTGTAAGATAGAATTATCATAAGTATGGTGTTTATTTTTCTTAGCTAGATTATATAGTTGGTGGGAGTGATTTGGTTTATTTGTTTAAATTTGGTAAGGAAATTGGGATTTCACATTTTAGGTTGGAGCTATTGTTGAAACAAGGACATCTGATGGATCTTTTCAGGAAGCTATTATCAGCAAGTTGACAGATGCTAGTTGGTATACCGTGGGTAAGTAATTAAGTAATTTAACACAGATTTGATTTGGAGGTTGCATGTATCTGTGTTTTGTGGATACACTGAATCATTGTGTTGGTGGAGAAATATATATTATTTCCTGTCAGTTTACTGGATATAGCTGACTAAAATTCTAAGAATGCCCTGTAGGTAACAAAAATAATTATCTCTTACAGTAAGTTGGCCACTTTTGTCTATTTCATCCAAAAATGTACTTCTATTTTAGGTTACTTTGATGTTTCTTTTCAAGAAAGTTAGATCACATGATTGTGATCACTTTTTCTATAATTACAATTAAAATTGCATAGTTGCGATCGTTACTGTATTGCTACATATTTTATACAAGGGTAATGTAGATGTTGCCAGACAATTTACAGATTTAAAAAATCCTGACCATGGTAGATTCAAGAATAGGTGATTGTTAACTTAGTTTTTGATTTTTGATACAGTGTGGGTGCTCATATTAACAGCTTTCAAGGTCGGGCATGTTGGCTCATGCCTGTAATCCTAGCATTTTGGAAAGCTGAGGCGGGTGGATCACTTGAGGTCAGAAGTTCGAGACCAGCCTGGCCAACATGGTGAAACCCCGTCTCTACTGAAAATACACAAATTAGCCTGGTATTAGTGGTGCATGCCTGTAATCCCAGCTACTCTGGAGGCTGAGGCAGGAGAATCGCTTGAACCTGGGAGGCGGAGGTTGCAATGAGCCCAGATCATGCCACTGCACTCCAGCCTGGGCGACAGAGTGAGATTTGGTCTCAAAAAGAAAACAGCTTTTAAGAAAAATATAGATGCTCCTAATATGAATGCATGAATGCATTCTTAACATTCCATGCATAAGCTTATACTGGCTTTAGATAACTTTATTGTATTAATAGTGAGAAGCAACAAGTGTCATAATACTTGTAAGTTAAAACCTTAAAGTAGTACTTAAATAGTTGCTGTCATTATGTTGATGAGAATAGCATTAAGTAACATTTCCAAATCTCCTCTCAGTACTTTCAAACTGCACAATCCTGTGGATAACATCCAATCTATAGCATTGTTGGTTTTTATACTTATTTCTTGGTTTAAGTGGTATAATTATTTTGTGGTTTTCTTGTAGAAATAAAAGAATGACCATTTAGGTTTACTTTTAGTTTACTTGATTTGTTGCTTTGGGTAAAAATCATTCACATCCAGTTGATGCTCAGTGTTGTGAAGAACTATGCTTTGGTTAAAAATTTCTCTGTCTTACCCTGTACCTTCTATTAGTAGTACCAATTTGCTGTGTGTAAGTACTTTTTTCAAACCTCTTTGATGCTTCTTGGACTTACTAGAATTTAGTGTTGGTTCACAGTGGTGCTATTATTCTGAACTACATATTTTTAGGAAGCTTAGTTGTGGCTACTGATAGTTGTTAAATTTTAAAAACTAAGTGGCCAGATGCAGTGGCTCTAACCTGTAATCCCAGCACTTTAGGGGGGCGAGGTGGGCGGATCACCTGAGGTCAAGAGTTCAAGACCAGCCTGGCCAACATGGCGAAACCTTGTCTCTACTAAAAATACAAAAATTAGCTGGGTGTGGTGGTGGGCGTCTGTAATCCCAGCTACTCAGTAGGCTGAGGCAGGAGAATCGCTTGAATCTGGGAGGCGGAGGTTGCAGTAAGCCTAGATTGTGCCATTGCACTCCAGCCTGGGCAACAAGAGCAAAACTGCGTCTCAAAACAAATAAAAACTAAGCTTAATGTTAACTCTTAGAGATTAAGTAAATACATCTTTGCTTTATCAAACTAAGACCTGATAAAAATTACAGGTGTGTGTAGAATCACCGGAAAATATATGATGCATATTCAGATATTTATATTGCACCTTATATTTTAACTCACTATAAAGGTTGTACTCACTTTGAAGCTTTACTGATAAAATGCGCATGCTCTATAGAAGGATTACTTTTCAGGTTTTCTCATTTTGGGTTTCTTTATCCCAGAGTAGTTATTCAATTATGAATAGCAACCTTTGTCCTCTACATGAGTAGCGTTTTAGTGTTTCTAAAAACTAGTCACTGCTAAGCATTCTCTATGGTGATTTTCTGTGTTGGATAATTACAGAAGAAATTGTATAATTCTTGTTCTCAAAGAGCTTTAGAATCTTAATTGCATATAATTGAGGTATCAAGCATTAGTGGACATAAGAATCACTTGGTGCTTGCTTAGAAAAATGAGGATTTGAGGACCCCAAGCCTCTCCAATTAGTAGGCCTGGGGATGGCAGTACAAGAATGTTTTAATAAGCATGTCAGTGATTCTGATGCAGGTAGTTCACACTTATAAAAACAGGGAAAAACAGATTTATTTGGGAGAAAAATTCAAAATATTAAAGATTTTTGCACTTACGTGCATGAAGGAAATTCATAAAAAGATTTTGAAAGGCACTGTTCCATTCAGAAAACTCAAGATAGCACTGCTCTAAAGAACGTTTAGATATTGAAGGAAGTGGATCACATAAAGAATGATCAGAGTATAATGACCTGAGTTACCAGTTGGTTTAAAAAAAACAGTACAATGAAATGTAAAACCTCTTGGGTCATGAACATCCTGTATTTTTCTTTCAGTGAGTACCTACTACCTACCTATTAGGTGTAATTGCTCTTTTCTGGAATTTTTTTTGATTTCTAGTTCCTAGCAAAGTATTACATGGGTATAGTCAGAAAATTATTCAGAGTGTTTATGACGTGTGTTACCTTTTTTGGTTTCATGAGATACCAGAAATTATGTCAGATTATTAAAAATAAAACAAGAGGATACCACATTGCTGGTTTGGATCAAATAGGAGTTATGATCATTAGTGATCTAAAGTTATCATTAGAGTCAGTGATATTAACTTCTTCTTGCATAATACAGGTATCAATTTCCCTTCTGTTAAACATGATTAACCAATTTTGAAAGAGATTATGGATATAGTATGACTCAGTTTTTAAAAAATCTGGTAATATCTTACCCTCTAATGGTTTATTTCTTGTTTGTTTGTTCGTTTTAGAGACAGGATCTTGCTCTGTTGCCCAGGCTTTTGTTCAGTAGCACTATTGTAGCTTCCTGCAGCCCTGAATTCCTGGGCTCAAGCAGTCTTACCGCCTTAGCCTCCCAAAGTGTTGGGATTACAGGCATGAGCCACTGCTCTCAGCTTCCCCTTTAATGTTGAATAGTAAACAGCACCAACTCAAGGGGATTTTTTTGTTTCTGTTTTTTGAGCAATAGAAATATTTCCTCTTCCTACCATTCCTACCATAGTTTACTCATTGATAGTTGTTATCCTTGCCATTAAAGATAAGGAATCTGTAATATGTGGAAGTGTGTTATCTGTTCAGTCATTCAAAAGGTGTTAAAATTGGGATTAGAATTCATACCTCTATCCAGCCCAAATCTCTAGTTATGTTTTTTAAAAAAGGAATTAATATGTCCAGTTAAATGTTACCACTAACTCCTGGTAAATACAACTGTCAGTAAGACATTTTGAAGGTACTCTCTGTTTTGCCTTTTTGTAATATAAAAACATATACTTGAAAAGTAAGGAAAAGTTAAAGGATAGAAATTTCAGTAATTCTAGTAATTAACTTTGAAAATGTACACACACAGATCATTTATCAAGTTTAGCACTAAAATCTATCATCTGTATTAATGTTTTTGTAACAAGAAGTGCTTAAGATTCAGATTATTTTGTACCTTGTAGTTACTGTTTTGAACATCGGTTATATCAGATTTTGTGTAAGTTCTAGTTAATATTGAGTAGAGGAGGTTTAGATTCAACTGGTGAATTAATTAAATTTTGTAGAATGTCCTGCAGGTTTATAAGGTTTTTAATGTAGTCAGACTCGCTTATGACAAATGTTATAATCAAAATCAACCACAAAATGTTTTCAAACCCAGGTGGCTCTTCTACTGACTAGAAGATAATTCATTAAGAAATAAAGTAGTAAACAAAAAAAAGTGTTTAATCCTATCATAGGCTTTAACTCATTTTTTAAATGGCCTTCCCTAAGACTTAGTATTCCCATGATATTTTCTTAATGTAATTATGTATTTGAGTGTTAATTTCTTAAATTTTCAGATTCCTGGAGTTTTTTTTTGTTTTTTTTTGTTTTTTTGTTTTTACCTTAGCTGCTGAGGGACTTCTATAGTTATCACAGTTGATTCTATGAATAACAGAACTATTGAAGCTAAAGCAATCTTGATCAAGAAGAACAAAACTGGAGACATACCACCTGATTTCAAAATATACTACAAAGCTATAGTAATCAAAATATCATGATACTGGCACAAAAATAGACACATAGATCAGTGGAACAGAATAGATACCCCAGAAATAAATCCACCTATTTATGGTCATTTGATCTTTGACTAGGGTGCCAGGAGCACATACTGGGGAAAGGACAGTCTCTTCGTAAATGGTGTTGGGAAAACTGGATATCTACATGCAGAAGAATGGAAGTAGACCCTCATCTCACTCGATATACAAAAACTAACTGGATCAAAGTGGATCAAAGACTTAAGACTTGAAATTGTCAAACCACTAGAAGAAAACATAGGGGAAGAGGCTTTATGACACTGGCCCGGGCATTGATTTTTTTTTTTTTTTTTAATGACCCCAGAAGCACAGGCAGAAAAGCAAAACTAGACACCTGGGATTACATCAAACTAAATAGCTTCCACACAGCAAAAGAAACAATCCAGAGAGTGAAAAGACAACCTTCATAATTGGAAAAAATATTTGCAAACTCTGTATTTAATACGGGGTTCATATCCAGAATTTATAAGGAACTTAAACAACTCGATAGCAAGAAAACAACCCAATTTTTAAAATGGGCAAAAGGCTGGGCACGGTGGCTCACGCCTGTAATCCCAGCACTTTGGGAGGCCGAGACAGGTGGTTCACTTGAGGTCAGAAGTTCGAGACCAGCCTGGCCAACATGGTGAAACCCCATCTCTACTAAAAATACAAAAATTAGCTGGGTGTGGTGGTACATGCCTGTAATCCCAGCTACTTGGGAGGCTGAGGCAGGAGAAATGCTTGAACCCTGGAGGCGGAGGCTGCAGTGAGCCAAGATCATGCCACTGCACTCCAGCCTGGGCGACAGAGCAAGACTCCAATCTAAAAAAAAATAAATGAAAATAATAGGCAAAGGACCTGAATAGAAATTTCTCAAAAGCAGACGTACAAATGGCCCACAGGTATGTAAAGAACTGTTCAACATCAGTAATCATCAGGGAAATGCAAATTCAAACTACAAAGAGATTTTACCTCACACCTGCTAGAATGGCTATTATCAAGAAGATAAAAGGTTACAAGCACTGGCAAGGATATGGAGAAAAGGGAATCCTTGCCCGCCATTGGTGGGAAAGTAAATTAGTATAGCCATCATGGAAAATAGCATAGAAGTTCCTCAAAAAATTAAAAATAGAACTACCATATGATCCAGCAATCCCACTCCTGGGTATATAACCAAAGAATTAAACTAGTATGTCAGAGATGTATCTGTATTCCCATGTTTATTGCAGCACTATTCACAATAGCCAAGATATGGGATAAATTTAAGTCTCTATGAGCAGATGAATGTATAAAGAAAATGTGATATATATACATAATGGAATACTATTCAACTTTTAAAAAGAAGGAAATCCTGACATTTCTTACAACATGGTTGAATCCAGGGGACATTATGCCAAGTGAAATAAGCCAGGCACAGGAAGACAAATACCATATGATCTCACTTAAAAAGTCAAACTCTTATTAGAGAGTAGAGTGTTGGTTATCAGGGGTGGGGGCAGCTTGGTTGGGGTGGGCGGGGGGTGAGGGATTAGGTAAATGTCGGTTAAATGATACAAAATTTCAGTTAGAAGGAATAAGTTCAAGAGCTCCATTGTACAACATGATGGTTTTAGCCAATAACAATGTATTGCATACTTGAAAATTGCTAAGAGAGTAGATTTTGAGTGTTCTCACCACACACAAAAAAATAAGCCTGTGAAGTGATCCACATGTTAATTAGCTTGCTTAGCCATTCCACAATGTATACATATTTCAAAACATGTTGTATAAGATAAATACATACTATTAATGTTAAATTTTTTTTTTTTTTTTTGAGATGGAGTCTCGCTTTGTTGCCCAGGCTGGAGAGCAGTGGCGCGATCTTGGCTCACTGTAAGCTCCACCTCCCAGGTTCAAATGATTCTCCTGCCTCAGTTTCCCAAGTAGCTGGGATTACAGGCATATACCATCACCCTGGCTAATTTTTATATTTTTAGTAGAGACGGGGTTTCGCCATGTTAGCCAGGCCAGTCTCGAACTCCTGAGCTCAAGTGATCCACCTGCCTCTGCCTTCCAAAGTGCTGGGATTACAGGCATGAGCCTCCGTGCCCGGTGAAATAAATAATTTTTTTTTAAAAAAACTACTGGCCTTACCTAGGGCATCCGTATGTTTTAAATTTTAAAATGTTTGCTTCATTATGTGAAGAATTCTATAATTTTGTTAATCATAACTGCTGTACATGGATATAACAATAATGATACTTAATTTTCCAAAGTCAGAATTCATGACTTCTTTCTCAGACTTCATTTTATACTTCTGTTTCATGCCTATTATGTCTTTTGATATCCCCTTAACTAAATTGTAGCTCATCAGTTAACTTTCTGATTCTGTTTCTTTACCTATAAAAGGAGGATAATGGTTCCTACTTTGTAGAGGCTGTTGTGAGGATTAGGACATGGTAGAAGCTTAATAAGTGATAGCCAATTATATTTATAGACAGATAAAATTAATTTACTGTTATTATTTTACTATCTTTCAGTATCAGTGCTGTGATAACAGGGAAATGGGTCTTTGTATTTAGTAGTTGATCAGATCCTTTTATTTGAATTCTAGCTGATTAGGGTTAGGATTTGTGTGTTTGTTTGCATTGGCATTACTTTGTCTAATGTGTTTAGTATGGTTGGTGTTACTGTGAAAGTCTCAGCTTTGTCATTTTCCTCTTAATAGATTTTAATATTTTAATCCCTATTAGGATTCTCTAGAGAGAACCAATAAGATATAGATAGATGATAGATAGACAGATTGATACAAGAGGGGATTTCTGAGAGCAGTGGTCCCCAGCCTTTTTAGCACCAGGGACCGGTTTCGTGAGAGACAATTTTTCCATGGATGGAAGTGCTGGGGGATGGTTTCGGGATGAAACTCTTCCTCTTTAGATCATCAGGCATTAGCATCTCATAAGGAATGCACAACCTATTGGTAGATCCCTCGCTTGTGCAGTTCACAGGCATTTGCGCTCCTATGAGAATCTAATGCCACTGCTGATCTGATAGGAGGTGGAGCTCAGGTGGTAATGCTTGCTTGCCCACCGCTAACCTGCTGTCCGGTCCGGTTACCAACAGGCCATGGACTGGTACAGGTTTGTGACCTGGGGGTTGCAGACCCCAGTATTAGAGAAATTTGCTCATCATACTATGAGGACTGAGAATGACCATGACAGGTTCTCTGTAAGCTGGAGACCTGAGATGCCAATAGCTAGGCTCTATCCAAGTCAGAAAGCCTTAGAACCAGGGAAGCTGAGGATATAATTCTTAGTCCCAGGCCAAAGCCTTGAGAAGATCTGAGGGACTGCTGGTATAAGGTGCAGAGTCCCATAGCCAAAGAGCCTGGAGTTCTGATGTCCAAGGGCAGAAGGAGAAGAGTGTCCCAGCTCCAGGAGAGAGAGGAAATCCCTTTCTCTCATTTTTTGTTCTGTCTGGGCCTCCGGCCAATTGGATGGTACTTGCCCACAGTGAGAGTGAATCTTCCCCACCTGGTTCACTGGCACATGTGCCAGTTTCCTCTGGCACACCCAGAAGTAATTGCTTTACCACTTCTCTAGGTATTCCTTAATTCAGTCAAGTTCACATCTAAAATTAACTGTCAAAATACCTAACATAGTAACAGAGATACCACTTTTGGTTATATGTATGTTCTGCTAGACTCAATGAACAATCTATTCAAAAGCCATTTTTGGAAAATATAAGACATTTCATAGAATTATTAAATCCTTGTAGTCTGACTTTTTTTCCTCTTAGCATGCTATAGAAGACTGAACTAAAAAGAAGCTAGACTTGCTATATACAACATTAATTATTTCACTCTTACAAAAATTATACTCTTCAGTGCCTACAAATGTTATGTTCTTTTAGATGAGAGCTCTAAGATGGAAGTTAAGAGAGGAACTTTCTTTTAGATGGAGCTTCTTCATGGTTTTGATCATCAGGGATGTCATGATTGATAAGTTCATAATGTTGTTGGTTTTATAAAAAACATAGAAATATAGAATCAGGGTCTCACTTTGTTGCCCAGGCTGGACTGCAGTGGCAATTATAGCTCCCTGCATCCCTGAACTCTTGGGATCATGTGATCCTCCTACCTCAGCCATTCAAGTAGTTAGGACTACAAGCACCTGCCACCATACCCAGCTAATTTTTAATTTTTTTTTTGTAAAGACGGGGTCTCGCTGTGTTAGCCAGGCTGGTCTCCAACTCCTGGACTCAAGGGATTCTCCTGCCTTGGCTTCCCAAAGCACCAGGATTACAGGTGTGAGCCATCACACCCCTGCCCCCCATTGTTGGGTTTTCTATTTCTCTTTCAGAAAATCTTGCAAAATTACAAATTTATAAAGTACCCAACATACATTTGTATAATTTTGTGAATTAAAAAAATCTTAGTCTGGGTTCAGTGGCTCACACCTGTAATCCCAGCACTTTGGAAGGCCAAGGTGGGTGGAACACTTGAGGCCAGGAGTTTGAGACCAACCTGGTCAACATGGTGAAACCCCGTCTCTACTAAAAATACAGAAGTTAGCCGGGCCTGGTGACGTGCACCTGTAATCCCAGCTACTTGGGAGGCTGAGGCACGAGAATCACTTGAATCTGGGAGGCCGAGGTTGCAGTGAGCCAAGATCATGCCACTACACTCCAGCCTGGGTGACAGAATGAGACTCTGTCTCTAAATAAATAAATAAATCTTAAATTATTTCTTTTTGTTCACTTAAGGTTGGGAGGGTTCCTATATAAAACTGTAAAATAGTTGTTTGTATCATAATCCCCTTTTGAGCAATCTCTTTTTTTAAAAAAAAATTTCTATCCATGATAAGGTATATTTAAGTGAAATGAATTTTTCCTTCCAAAAATCTGATTTTATTTCAAAGTGATTATTGAAATTTTTGAATTGTTGAAATTCAAAAATTGCTGAAATATTTTGTTTAAAATGTTGAAATTGTTGAAATTTTTCATCAGAACATTTTGGTTTAGGGCTGCCATTGATTAATGATAAAACATTATAGAAAATATTTTGTTATATAAATTTTGGAGTGTTGGTCTTACATTCACATTTTCCTTTTTCATACCTCCATTTAAATGTGTGTGTGTGTCTAGTATCGTCATCTTTGGTATTGTAGGCATTAAGAAAAGTTGAAAACCTTTCAGGTTTTATTCTTTTTGAAATCTTATACTTACAGATACTAATACTAACAAGAATTATATTGTTTGGTTTGTGATAATTTAATGATTTAAAAACTTTAAGAGAACAGTGGTTAATTTTTTAGACTTGACACTATATGAATCATAGTTTTTATATCAAATATTTAGCACCCTATTACTCAAGTGCAGATCAGTGATGTAATCATTGGAGGATGTTGTGTTTTAACCTGTCATTGTGCCTGCAGCTAGTCATTAATTTCTGGATCATTGACTGTGTATAGCACAGCTGCTTTTTTAGAATCATGGTTCTTTGAGTATGTGCTTCGGGAGTTTTTAATTTTTTCCACATTGTCTCCTGCATGTAAAAGAATCTAAGCTAGGTATCTGTAGTCTAAGAGGGAGAACTGATTGAAGTAAATAAATATTTAACATGTTGAAAGCTTTTATATAATTTTCTTTCAAAAAACTTATTCATTAAAGGTAAGCGTAGGATTTGAAGGCAAAGTGTTTGCTAATAAAACAACCTTTTCAGAAAATAATTCAGGATTATAATTTCATAGGTAACCAATTAAAAAATTCTAAGATATCAAATGAATGTAATGTAGAATTTCTTTTTGTTAACACTGACTTATTCTGTTAGAATGGAAAAAAGTATCTAGAATTGTGAAAATTAGTACTAAATCTTGATAATTGTTTTTGGGTACATATGTATGCTTTCTTGTTAAGTGAATATGGATGTTAAGTGTCTGAAGTAAAGATTATATCTTATTTTATTCATAACCTGGGGCAATGAGGTACCTTCTGAGAGCATTTTCTTTTTAATAAACTATAAATGTTGGATGCTAAAATCAGAATACAGTCTCAAAAGTTAAACCTATACAATTATCAAAATAATATATTGTTAGTGATTAGGAGAATATTAGGGATAAATTGTAAAATTCCTTACCCCATTTCCTTGAAATGTTTAAATATAGTCAAGTAGTACGATTTTGTTTGTTTGTTTGTTTTAGACGAAGTTTTGCTCTTGTTGTCCAGGCTGGAGTGCAATGGCGCAATCTCTGCTCACTGCAACCTCTGCCTGCCGGGTTCAAGAGATTCTCCTGCCTCAGCCTCCCGAGTAGCTGAGATTACAGGCGTGTGCCACCATGCCTGGCTAATTTTGTATTTTTAGTGGAGACAGGGTTTCTCCATGTTGGTCAGGCAGGTCTCGAACTCCCGACCTCAGGTGGTCCGCCCGCCTCGGCCTCCCAAAGTGCTGAGATTACAGGCGGGAGTCACCGCGCCCGGCCAAGTAGTATGATTTTTTAAAATATGTACTAAAGGCCAGGCGCGGTGCTCACGCCTGTAATCCCAGCACTTTGGGAGGCTGAGGCAGGTGAATCACAAGGTCGGGAGATGGAGACCATCCTGGCTAACATGGTGAAACCCCATCTCTACTAAAAATACAAAAATATTAGCCGGGCGTGGTGACGTGTGCCTGTAGTCCCAGCTACTGGGGAGGCTGAGGCGGGAGAATGGCGTGAACCCGGGAGGCGGAGCTTGCAGTGAGCTGAGATCGCGCCACTGCACTCCAGCCTGGGGGACAGAGTGAGACTCAGTCTCAAAAAAAAAAAAAAAAGTAGTAAAAGCAAAAAATTTGAGAAAGCATCTATGTAATTATGATTTTTTTTAAAGTTTCTTTCTTTCTTTCTTCTTTTTTATTTTTTTTTTTTGGGACGGAGTCTTGCTCTGTCGTAGAGGCTGGAGTGCAGTGGTGCAATCTCGGCTCACTGCAAGCTCCGCCTCCTGGGTTCACGCCATTCTCCCGCCTCAGCCTCCCGAGTAGCTGGGACTACAGGCGCCCGCCACCACGTCTGGCTAATTTTTTTTGTATTTTTAGTAGAGACGGGGTTTCACCGTGTTAGCCAGGATGGTCTCGATTTCCTGACCTGACCTCGTGATCCGCCCACCTCGCCTCCCAAAGTGCTGGGATTACAGACGTGAGCCACCGCGCCTGGCCTAAAGTTTCTTTTTAAAAAAACCTTTATATTTGTCTTTTTTTTTTTTTTTTTTTTTTTTGAGACAGAATCTTGGTTTTGCTGTCACCCAGTGGCACAATCATGGCTCACTAACCATGGTTGAGCCTTGGTTTTTCGCGGCTCAAGCAATCGTTCCACCATGGCCTCTCCAGTAGCTGGGACCACAGGCATGAGCCACCACGCCTGCCCTACAAACTTTTATCTTTCTGTTTCCTTATTTCAACCTTTATTTCTAAACTTCTCAGCTGGGTACAGTGGTTGATGCCTGTAATCCGAGCACTTTCGGAGGCTTAGGCGGGAGGATAATTTGAGGCCAGGAGTTTGAGACCAACCTGGGTAAAATAGCAAAATCCTGTCTTTATTAAAAAAAAAAAAAGTTTTTTTAAACAGACTACTTACATCCTTTTCTAACAAAAGAAAGAACTTGTATCTTATGACTTTAGAATTTGGCAGCTGGTACATGTGTAGTAGGTTATCATGCAAATAAATAGAAGCAGTAGAATAATTCAATAGCAATACCAGGAGTCAGTTTCTGGAAGTTAGGGGTACTCTAATATTAAACTTTTGTGGAAAAATCCATAATACTTTTTTTAATCAGGTTTTTGTTCATTCTTCTAGGATTGCAGTTAATTTAATATTTATGCTTTGACTAGGTTGCTAATGAGTTAAGAAGGTGGTTCTGTAGTGATAGAAATCAAAAAAGCAGATGGAAATACTTAAGCAGTCGTGGGCAGCCATTTAACCTGTGTTTTTGGTATCTGTAGAATGAAAAATATGGCATGGTATGCTCATTGTAAAGGTTTTGAAAAATGACTAAAATAATGGTTCTTACAAATATTAAGCTCTAATTAATAGCAATAATAGCATTCTGTGCTTTTAAGTTTTTATTTCATTAGTGTGCATAAATTCTCTGTTATCTTTTGCTTATTATAGTGTTTGATGATGGTGATGAGCGAACATTGAGACGTACCTCACTTTGTCTGAAAGGAGAGAGACATTTTGCAGAGAGTGAGGTAGGGTGACACGGATGGACGATTTGGATTGAACTACAGGTACTGATCTAGAGGTAAAACGTAATTTAATTAATCTATTTCTTATACAGACACTTGACCAGCTTCCATTAACAAATCCAGAGCATTTTGGAACTCCAGTAATTGCAAAGAAGACGAACAGAGGAAGGAGATCTTCTCTTCCTGTGTGAGTTTTTTCATATATGGTATCATTTTAATTACAATTATTATAACCTTAAACAAGGGATTTTGTTAGGATGGCTAAATTCATTTGGGTAAGCTTTCCATAGCATATTGTATCCTTATGTTAGACATTTTACCCTGAGTGGACCTTGTTCTTAATTATTCCCAATATTTGCCCAGGAATGATAACAACTCTTACTTCTAATAGATTATTTTTGTTTTAAGTTACTTTGCCGAAGTTTTTTTTGTTTTGTTTTGTTTTTGATTTTGTTTTTTGAGACGGAGTCTCGCTCTGTTGCCCAGGCTGGAGTGCAGTGGTGCAATCTCGGCTCACTGCAACCTCCGCCTCCTGGGTTCAAGCAATTCTCCTGCTTCAGCCTCCTGAGAAGCTGGGACTACAGGCATGTGCCACCACACCCAGCTAATTTTTTTTTTTTTTGTATTTTTAGTAGAGATGGGGTTTCACCATATTGGCCAGGCTGGTCTCGAACTCCTGACCTCGTGATCCACCTGCTTCAGTCTCCCAAAGTGCTAGGATTACAGGCGTGAGCCACCACACCCAGCCTGAGCCACTGCGCCAGGCCCAAAGTTTTTAATTGATATGATGATTTTTCTATTTTAAGTGAGTATATGTTTTTTATCTTTTACTTCAAAAACATTTCAAACTTAAAGATTGCAAGAATAATACACGAATATCTGTGTATGAATGTCTATATACTCTTTTTTTTTTTTTTTTTTTTTTTTTTTTTTTTTTTTTTTGGTGAGATGGAGTTTGTCTGTGCCACCAAGGCTGGAGTGCAGTGGCATGATCTTGGCTCACTGCAACTTTTGCCTCCCAGGTTCGGTGATTCTCCTGCCTCAGCCTCCTGAGTAGTTGGGATTACAGACACACCATCACGCCTGGCTAGTTTTTGTATTCTTAATAGAGATGAGGTTTCGCTTTGTTGGCCAAATGGGTTTCGAACTCCTGACGTCAAGTGATTTGCCCGCCTTGGCCTCTCAAAGTGCTGACTGGGATTATAGATATGAGCCACTGCACCTGGCCTAATGTCTATATACTCTTTATCTAGATTTACCAGTTCTTAACATTTTTCACACATTTGCTTTACGATTCCCTCTCTATATATATACTAATTTTTTTCTTTTCTTTTTTTTTTTTTTTTTTGAGACGGAGTATCACTCTGTCGCCAGGCTGGAGTGCAGTGGTGCAATCTCAGCTTATTGCAGCCTCTGCCTCCCAGGTTCAAACGATTCTCCTGCCTCAGCCTCCCGAGTAGTCAGAACTACAGGCGCGTGCCACCACGCCCAGCTAATTTTTCTATTTTTAGTAGAGACAGGGTTTCACCATGTTGGCCAGGATGATCTCGATCTCTTGACCTCATGATCCACCTGCCTCAGCCTCCCAAAGTGTTGGGATTACAGGCGTGAGCCACCACACCCGGCCTATACTAATTATTTTTATATTTTGTAATAATTTTATTTTTCTGAACTATTTGAGAGGAAGTGGCAAGCATCATGATCCTTTATCATTAAATATTTAGGAACAAGGAGATGTTCTTACATAACCAAAGTATGAATACCAAATTTAGAAAATTTAACGCTGATAGACTACTATCATAATATATGGTTAATATTTCAAACTTTGTCAGTTGTTCCAATAATAGCCTTTATAGCGTCCCCCAGTTCCCCTGATTACAGGATCCAATTCAGGATCATGCATTGCATATAGTTTATATGGTTCTTGAGTCTCCTTTAATCTAAAAAAATTCTGTAGCCTTTTTTCTTCCATGACATTGACTTTTTTTTTTTTTTTTTTTTTCCCCTGAGACGGAGTCTCGCTCTGTCACCCAGGCTGGAGTGCAGTGGCTGGATCTCGGCTCACTGCAAGCTCCACCTCCTGGGTTCTTGCCATTCTCCTGCCTCAGCCTCCCGAGTAGCTGGGACTACAGTCGTCCACCACGACGCCTGGCTAATTTTTTGTATTTTTAGTAGAGACGGGATTTCACTGTGTTAGCCAGGATGGTCTCGATCTCCTGACCTCGTGATCTGCCCGCCTCGGCCTCCCAAAGTGTTGGGATTACAGGCATGAGCCACCACGCCCAGCCGATGACATTGACGTTTTTGAAGAATACAAGACAATAGTCTTGTAACCTGTTCCCTAATATGTTGGATTGTTTTCTCATTGTTAGATTCAGGTTATATATTATACTCCATAAGTGATGTTGTGTCCTGAAGGAAAGCACAGCAAGAAGTATTATCAGTTTGTCCCATATCTGGTGATACTAACTTTGATTAAGGTGGTGCCTGCCAAATTTCTAAACTTCAGAATTACTATAGTTACCGTTTTTCCCCTTTGTAAAATCTGTGTGGAGATACTTTGAGACTATTTAAATATTCTAGTCTCTGTCAAACTTTGATTCACAAATTTTATCATGTACTAATAATTCTTGCCTGAATCAGTTAGTACTATTATGATAGCAAAATGCTGATTTTTCTAATTTTTCATTCTTGCTACATTTTTTGGTTATCGCTTAGCTATAATGAAATTCTTTTCCTAACGCTATGGATTCTAATTTTACTTAATGGGTTACAATTCAGGTTGTTCCAGATTTAGCCAAGGGAGCCTGGGAGCCTTTCCAGGATGGCTTCTGTGTTCTTTTGATATGGCCTCACCATTTCTTGAGCACTTTTTCACCTTCTGGCATGACAAGGTATCCTAGGCTCATGTTAATTTTTTCCTGCGCCAACCCTGGAATTGGCCATTTCTACAAGGGTCCCTCATTTATTTTAGTGGGAATTAATATTTAGAAACCAAGATCCTGGTATTAGATATGTACTCACTGCTGCTGGGGAGTATATAATGAGTATTTTTAAAGGCAAAGTCAGATAACACCTAAGCTGCAAACCAGAAAATAATAAAAGACCTCCGAGGACCCTAAATGGAAATCCCAACTCAGCCATATACTAGATATATCACTTTGGGAAAATTACTTAACCTCTTTAAAGTTAACTACATTTATGTACATTAAATCTTCACAAAAACCTGCAAGATATTATTATTCTCAATTTATAGCTGAGGAAAATGGGAACAGTAATGTCTTGCTGGTTTTTGTATTAGATAATGTATAGAATTTTCTTTTTTGTTGTTGTTGTTGTTTTTTTTGGTTTTTTGTTTGTTTGTTTTTTTGAGATGGAGTCTCACTCTGTCACCCAGACTGTAGTGTAGTGGTGCGATCTTGGCTCACTGCAACCTCTGCCTCCCAGGTTCAAGTGATTCTCGTGCCTCAGCCTCTCGAGTAGCCAGGACTACAGGTGTGTGATACCACACCTGGCTAATTTTTGTGTTTTAGTAGAGATGGGGTTTTGTCATACTTGCCAGGCTGGTCTCCAACTCCTGACCTCAAGGGATCCACCCGCCTCGGCCTCCCAAAGTGCTCAGATTACAGGTGTGAACCACTGCACCCAGCCGATAATGTATATAAATTTATTAGTGTGTAATAAGTACTCAGGACATGATATATATTTAATAATTCAATACCCAGTATTTTATTTCTAAGCTAACTCCATAGACTTCTACTGAAAACTCCTTCATACTTATTTTATAATTTTAACAAGTTGAGTTATCTGGTTTCTCAGAGTGCAGCAGATTGGAAGATGTGTCAAAAGGAAATACAGGAAAGATCAGTAGATGCAGTCAATAAAGAAAACTGTGGAGTCTCACAGCTGAGAAGTCTATGACAAGAAAAAAAGGACTAAAACCATAAAAATATAATGAACCAAGTGGTTTTGAGCCATTTAATAAGAGTTAATAGCTCTGCATACTTTAATAAACTCCAACATTATCAATATATTGCAGGATGTCTTAAAAATGTAGGCTTGGCTGGGCACGTTGCCTCACACCTGTAATCCCAGCACTTTGGTAGGCTGAGGCGGGCAGATCACTTAAGGTCAGGAGTTCAAGACCAGCCTGGCCAACATGGTGAAAACCTGTCTCTACTAAAAATACAAAAATTAGCTAGGTGTGGTGGCATGCGCCTGTAATCCCAGCTACTCAGGAGGCTGAGGCAGGAGAATCTCTTGAACCCCAGGAGGCAGAGGTTGCAGTTAGCTGAGATAGCACCACTGAACTCCAGCCTGGGTGACAAAGCGAGACTCCATTTCCAAAAAAAAAAAAAAAAAATATATATATATATATATATATATGCTTAAAATTTGTTGAAACTTAAGGGTAAACTTTAGTTACCCAGATAAGTTACCTTAAGTAAACCTTATGGGTGTTTTAATGAGATATTTTCATAGCCAGTTAGAAAATTAAAGTTATATGTTATATTATCTGGCATAAAAATAGAAGGGCAATCTTAAAAAAAAAAAGTATTTGGCACAATAAGTATTTAATGGTGGTGTAATTAGGTTTTTCTGTCCCAGCTGGTGGTGGCATGAGAGCCTAAGTCTAAGCACTCATTGATCTGGCGAAGTGGACTCAGAGTTACCATAGACAACTCAGGACTACATACCTCTGTGAGGCTAAGGAAGGACCCATGTCTTCAGTTACAATAAGAATGGAGAGGCTACTACTTTAGGGTGTAGTCCATTAGAAATTGAATTGACTATATTAAATTCACAATACTCTGTATCAAATAATTGTTTGTGTTAGGATAATGATCAAGTTATTCTAACTTTTAGTACTGAAGATGAAAAGGAAGAAGAAAGCAGTGAAGAGGAAGATGAAGACAAGCGCCGTCTCAATGATGAATTACTAGGAAAAGTTGTAAGTGTGGTGTCTGCAACGGAGAGGACTGAATGGTATCCTGCTTTGGTAAGTAAAGTTTCTTTGCAGAGTTAATCAGCCGTCTAAATATTTGTTTTAAATGGATTTTTTTAAAAGCATTTAAAATATTTTGAAAGTATTAAACAAATTTGGACTTTATTGGAGATTTTTTAATTGAATAATCATAGTCAGGTCCATAATACTTCACTGTCTTCTTTGGTTATTCTTTCTTTAATTCTCTGTAGGCTTTTATTGAGCTCTTTTATATTTCTTCCCTCATAATATGTCCAATGGCTTTTTACTCTATTCCCATTACCTTAGGTTCCCTTTTTTTTTTTTTTTTTTTTTTTTTTGAGATGGAGTCTCGCTCTGTCGCCCAGGTTGGAGTGCAGTGGCGCGATCTCGGCTCACTGCAAGCTCTGCCTTCCGGGTTCACGCCATTCTCCTGCCTCAGCCTCCGGAGTAGCTGGGACAACAGGCGCCTGCCACCACGCCTGGCTAATTTTTTGTATTTTTAGTAGAGACAGGGTTTCACCATGTTAGCCAGGATGGTCTCGATCTCCTGACCTCATGGTCCGCCCACCTCGGCCTCCAAAGTTCTGAGATTATAGGCGTGAGCCACCGCGCCTGGCCTTAACTTGATTCTTGAATTCTTTCTTTACTGTTAATTCAGATTAATTTTCCAGTACTAACTTTTATAGAGAAATCGTTTTTTCTTGCTGTTGTGACAGGGTCTCACTCTGTTTCCCAGGCTGGAGTGCAGTGACGTGAGCACAGCTCACTGCAGCTTCAGCCTTTTGGGCTCAGGCGTTCCTCCTGTTTCAGCCTCCCAAGCAGCTACAAGTACAGGAGTGTGCCTCCACACCTGGCTATTTTTTTATTTTTTATTTTTTGTAGACATGTAGCCTCATGATGTTTCCAGGCCAGTCTCAAACTCCTGGGCTCAAGCAATCTTCTCACTTTGGCCTCCCAAGGGGCCGGGATTACAGGTATGAGCTGGTATGCCTGGCTGAGAAGTCTTTTTAAAATATCATTTAGTCATGATAGTCCCATTCTCAGAAATAGACAACCTTCAGCGAGTCTGCCTAATTGATCAGTTTTGCATTTTTTAAATGGATATTTGAGGCCATCCCTGGCTCTCAATTTATTTCCTATTTTTAATGTAAACTCTACTCAAGTTCTTTAACTGCCCTGTATTTAAGATACATCACTCCTCTAAGCATTTATCCCTGCCTTAAATTAATTAGTATTTACTGAGGATCTGCAGTGAGTTCAGCTTTGTTCTAAGCTCCTTAGAAGATAAACAAATACGAGGCTTTAATGTATTGCCCTCAAGAAGCTTACTGTAGACATGTAAGAGATTACATAGTTATTAAAGATTGTATAGTAAATTAAAAAAAACAATTTGGTACTGAATGGAGTAAGAAAGGAGGGGTTCACCTAAAATTTAAGGAAGATTTTAGAAATGACAAGTTTTGGATGGGTTGGTAGAGAAAGCTAATTTTTGCTTACACAGAGAAGGAATAAGAAGAAGCGATACACAAGAGAATTATTTCAGAGAGGAATAAAAAATGATTGGAAATTAATGCCTTTTTTCTTCTCTTCCTACTCCTTTACTTCCTCCTCCACTTCTTCATCCCCTCTTAAATATCTCTTAAAGTTCAGCTCAAGTCCTACATTCTTTGCAAGGTTTCTCTTAAATACTCTTGTTTTGTTTTGTTTTGTTTTGTTTTTGAGAGAGGATCTTTGTTGCCCAGACTGGAGTGCAGTGGTGTGATCACGGCTCACTGCAGCCTTAACCTCCCTGGGCTTAGGTGATCCTCCCACCTCAGCCTCCTGAGTAGCTTGGGACCACAGGTGTACATCACCACACCTGGCTAATTTTTGTATTTTTGTGTGGAGATGTGGTTTTGCCATGTTCTCCAGGCTGGTCTCAAACTCCTGGGCTCAGACAATGGCCTTGGCCTTCCGAGGTGCTGGAATCACAGGTGTGAGCCACTGCGCCTGGCCCTAAATATTCTTAACATAAGTATGCCCCTTTGATTTTTGGTATCACTTATCTCTAATAATAATTGTGGCACAAAATGTATCCCAAATTAGACTATAATCCTGTAAAGAGCTGAAAGTATATTTTTAGGTTTCTATGTGCATGTAAATATATTACTCAGTTCCTAGATAATAGATTTAATTTGTATGGGGAAATTCTGAAAGTCCCTTGAACCTTTCAGTTGTATAGAAAAATAAGTAATTTGGATTCAGAATATTCAGATTGTAGGTTTGCCAAGAGTTTTTTTTTTTAATAACAAATTCTTTTATTTACTCAGATTTATCATTTACCAGGGGATATTGAAAATAAAAAATAAGTAAGACACTATTCTTACATTTGACGATTTTATGTATAATGTACAGAATAATTCAAGTAACAGTAATATAAAATAGTATATGTTCAATATTAGGACTCCCTGGCCTGAGAGATTACATTTATTTGAGGAAAATACAGAAAGCCTTCACAAAGCAGGTGCTTTTGAGGTGAGCTTTGAAGGATTTAAAGATAGTAGGCAAAGCTTCACTAGAGGAAACAAAAAAATAGGTTAAAAAAATAGCATGCCTGTAATCCCAGCACTTTGGGAGGCTGAGGTGGGCAGATCACGAGGTCAGGAGATCGAGACCATCCTGGCTAACATGGTGAAACCCTGTCGCTACTAAAAACACAAAAAATTAGCCAGGCGTGGTGGTAGGCACCTGTAGTCCCAGCTACTTGGGAGGCTGAGGCAGGAGAATGGCATGAACCCGGAAGGCGGAACTTGCGGTGAGCTGAGATCGCGCCACTGCACTCCAGCCTGGGCAACAAAGCAAGACTCTGTCTCAGAAAAAAAAGTAGGAATGGGTTTGTTCATGGAACTGTTTGCTCTGGGAATCCATTTTGGCTAAATATTAGATGCGAGTGGGGGAATAATAGGAAATATAGCTGTGAACATAATTTGAATCTAGGGCAGAAGGGTCTTTAAAAGTTCATCTAAAGAATTTGGACATAATTCTGCAGAGAATTTTCCAAAAGAGTGTTGTTATTTGAGCTACATGTTTAGGAACGTGAATGAAGAATGGCGTGTTACTAGAAAGACTGGAGGTGGCAGGAATCTATTTGAAGGCCATTAAATAGTTCATAGGTAAGGTAATTAGACCTTGGGTTATGCCTACTCATCCTTTAAAATTTACCTTAAGCTTTTCCTGCCACACCTTTTCCTTGCCCAGGTTAGGTGAAATCTTCCTCCTTGATGTTTTCATACTATTATGTGCCTAGTGGTATCACTGTACTTATCCTCCATTGTGTTCTTTTTGTGTATCTTTTTATGTTTGCCCCTCCAGTATACTGTTAGCTCCTTGAGGGTTGGCACAGCTATATTATTAGTCTAATAATTACTGGCACCAAGCAAACAAACAAATACTTCCATCTGGTGTTAAGACAGCTGATGTGACTGCCAAGAATATTCAATTATCTGGATATACACTATTCAGTATGATAACCATGAACCATATGTGGCCATTTAAGTTTAAATGTAACTTAATTAAAATAAAATAGAATTAAAAATTCAGTCTCTCAGTTGCACCAGCCACATTTCAAGTGTTTAGCACCATGTGACTCACTGCTACTGTATAGGGCAGTGCAGATATAGAACGTTTCCATCAGTGCACAAAGGTCTGTGAATGGTGCTGGAATGTAGCAGAGAGAGGCTAGTGTTAGGGAGAGCATGAACAGATATATTTAATCAGCTTTTAAAAAATATAAAGTTCTATAAAGGATACAGAGAGTATTTACCAATTATATTGTTAAGATACTATTTTCAGAAGTTAAGAAATTAAAAAGTTCTTTGTTCATGTTTTAACTTGTTTTAATTACTAAGGATTGTACATATCTTGGTTAAAAAAGGTAACATAGATTTTTTTTTTTTAATGACCAGATTTCAAAAAAGATCCTTATTCAAGTATATTTTTAAAAATTATATGCCAAATTTTCATCACAGATTATACATTTTATTTTTTGGACAATAATTTAGCTTAGAATAAATCCTCATATTTTTAAAGTGCTGGTCACATTTGAATTTATATTTCTTTTCTTTTTGAAATGGGGTCTCATTCTGTCACCCAGGCTGGAGTGCAGTGTTGTGAATTTGGCTCACCGCAGCCTCCACCTCCTGGGCTCAAGTGATCTTACCATCCCAACCTTTTGTGTAGCTGGGACTATAGGCACACACCACCACACCAGGCTAATTTTTGGTATTTTTGGTAGAGACAGGGTCCCACTATGCCACCCAGGCTGGTCTTGAACTCCTGAGCTCAAGCCATTTGTCCACCTTGACCTCCCAAAATGCTGGGATTACATGCATGAGTCACTAGGCCTGGCCCTGTTATTTCATTAATTATTCACTTTATAATCTAATGACTATGGATAAATTAAATTTCTAGGCAACCAATGTGCAGACAAAACATATAAGGGTATATTTTTTTGTATGCAATTCATTAATAATAGGAGCTATTTATAATGAAGCTGTTTTTTGTAAAATATAATCTATTTGAGAAGTTAGGGGATCCAGAATTGTTCTTTTGAAAAATACTGTTTTTCTGAGCACAGGAAATAGGAATCAATCTGTTCTTATTTTATATTTCAGGTAATATCTCCCAGCTGTAATGATGACATCACAGTGAAAAAGGATCAGTGTTTAGTTCGATCATTTATTGATTCTAAATTGTGAGTAATGAATCCTTTAATGATGTTACGTGGGAGGAAAAAAAAAATAGAATTACAATGATAGACACCTCCCCCACCAAAACTTTATTTTTAAAAGTCTAATCATTCATGAACTGAGAAGTTGTTACCTAATAGGTTTTGACTTTTTGTAATGTAGGGTATTTTTCACTAATAAATTTTATATAAAAAATGTGAACATTATGTGAGAACAATATTAAGAACAGTTTTTTTTTTAGCAAAAGATGGTATTGATTTTTTCCTTAATTGTAAAATTCTATATTTTTATCATGTACTAGTAGTATGTGACATTTATTATTAACTCCGAAGCTTATTTTTTAATCTCTATTACAAGAGCAATTATTTTGACTTTTTTCATGATTACAATCCAGACTTTTGGGCCGGGCGCAGTTGCTGACGCCTGTAATCCCAGCACTTTGGGAGGCTGAGGTGGGCAGATCATGAGCTCAGGAGATCGAGACCATTCTGGCCAACATGGTGAAACCCTCTCTCTACTAAAATATAAAAAATTAGCCGGGTGTGGTGGTGCATGCCTGTAGTCCTAGCTTCTCGGGAGGCTGAGGCAAAGGAATTGCTTGAACCCGGGAGGCAGAGGCTGCAGTGAGCCGAGATCGCGCCACTGCACTCCAGCCTGACGACAGAGTGAGACTCTGTCTCAAAAAAAAAAAAAATCCAGACTTACAGAAACTTTTTCCTAACCTCATCTCTGCTTTGTGATCAAAACAGTGAAATTAAAAAAGTTTTTTGAGTTATAGTTCTCTGTGAAAAATTTAATGCCATAATATATTTTATAGTGATAAAAATATTTCAATATTACTGTCTAGTAAATGTGCTTTTTTACTAAAATGAAAAATAAATTTCACAAATAATAAAATAGACATTGTTGTCTACAAGTGTTGAAAACATCATGCTGATATGAATTACCCCGTACTATCTGTAGGAGGATTGTATAGATTGAAATATTGTGAATGTGAGGCTCTCAATGTACTTTGAGTATATACAACTTCAGAATTAAGATAACTAACTTTGCCCGTATTTCCTCTTCTTACCTTTTGTTAAGGACTAAGATAAAAACATTTTATAGACAATATTTTGATTTTGAGGTTTTTATTTTTCTATGTGTTAACATGAACTATTTAAGTGATAATTTTTATTGAATAAATTGTTTTCCTCCCCTTCTTCTTGATAATTAGTTACTCTATAGCAAGAAAGGACATTAAGGAAGTAGACATTCTCAATCTACCGGAATCTGAGCTCTCCACTAAACCAGGTAAAATAAAGATGAATTACCCTATTATTTTATGTTGTGGCTCTATTTGGAAAATAGCAAATAAAGCAAGACTGATACTCTCTGGTACCACCATTTTAACTGTTTAGAGTTGATATCCACTCTTACTTGATTTTTTTTTAATGTCTAGATACAATATTTGATTTGTGATTAGATAAGTTTAACTTTTCGTATTTTACCATTGTCTCACAGTATTCCGTAAAGTAATAACAAATGTTTATATAACATTATAACTTATGAAATATGTTAAAGCTTACTGTATCATTTTATAAATGACAGCCGAATTTGAATTCAGATCTTTGATTCTGAATGCCATGCCTTTTCTATTGTTCTATGCTGCCAATTCCATAGCAACTGCTGAAGTACATTTTCACTCTTAGGGCTTCAGAAAGCAAGCATCTTCTTAAAAACTAGAGTTGTTCCTGATAATTGGAAAATGGATATAAGTGAAATCCTTGAGTCATCCAGTAGTGATGATGAAGATGGCCCAGCTGAAGAAAATGATGAAGAGAAGGAAAAGGAGGCCAAAAAGACAGAAGAAGAGGTGGTAGGTGTAATTTCATGTTTGTAACAAAAACATCTTAATACTCTCTAGTGAAAATAATACCTTCATATATTTTTCCCTCTGTTTAGATTCTCTATTATTTGTTTCTGTCCGTTTCTAGCATTGCTTAATTTGGGTGTTGAGGAAGCATTTTGGCTCATAGCATAGTGTGTAAATCAGAACTAATTCTTAGTAAGAGATTACAAGAAAATACTTTTCAGGTTAGTTAATCAACAAGTGCAAACTGGTTTTTTTGGGGTCTTTTCCAAAACAACCCAGGAGGGAAAAAAATGTAATTTTTAGGTATTTTATATGTGTAACTCATTTAAACTACTACCATATGAAGTAACTGTTGTTATCCTACTTTAAAGGTAAGGAAAGGGAGATTCAGAAAAGTTAAGTAACTTTCCCAAGCTGGCACAACTAAAATGGGTAGAAGAGGGATTTGTACTCAGGTCTGGCCTGTCTCAACTTTAAAACCTCTTTCAGACATTTCACAATATTTCAAGGATAATTAAGGTTAAAAAAAATCCTATCCAAACCCCAAAGAAAATTTCATTTGGCAATTTGATAAATCATAGAAAATATTTAGATTATATGTTCTAAGTGCTAATGGTTTTCTTTATAATATTGCCATGTCATTTATAATATGCATATAATTGTAGGAAATCATCCATGGAGTACTTCATGATTGCTTATATGAATACTGTTGTTTATTCTGCAGTGTTGTATCAAATGGGATAAACTGTCTAGTACATTTTTGGTTGTTACGGGGTAAAAGGGTTTAGGGGCAAGACAAAGACAATGAATTTACTGAAAAGGGGGACCTATTTGAGCATGAAAAATATTGGCCTGGAAAAATGTGGGATTCTTGTTTCTGTTTTAAATACACAAATATGAATTTATGAAATGAAACGAGTATAGTCATATGTAATGAAGGGCATACGCTATTTCTTTCCTTTTACTTCCCCTGCAGTATTTGGTTTTTTTACACTCTGAAATCAGAATGGCGGTTCATACTTACAGGCTGCCTACAGAGTTGCCATAGTAACGTGCTGTTGGTTTTAAGTGAGCATGCTCGGAAAGACAGGAAGGTTTAGCAGAGGCTTGGCAGTTTGCCAATGGAGGTTTGCCAGATGCTTTGAAATGGGCTGTCTTTCTTTTCCTTTCATGTAATGTCTGATTTTTATGTGGAAGAGAATGTAAGTAGTGCTGTATAACCCTGCGGATGCTATGCCCTAAGAGGGAAAGCAAATATTTGCAAGTCAGACTGAAAAATGTCCAGACCCTGTACTGATTAAGTAGAAGGGGAATCTAACCACTTTGCATTTGAAAGAAAATGCAGCATATAGGTAAGATTTTTTTGTGTGTTTAGTTACCATTTTGATTGCCAAAAACGGGATTAAATAAGAATTTTAGGTATTGATGATGTAGCTGATAGGGAAGGACTCAGAACCAAGCGATATTCTTTCTTGTAAAAAAGACAGTAGGAGTCTATTTTTAGAATATCAATGGATGAAGGCTATTTTTCTGAAACAAGATAGATTCTGAAATGAAAATGATAATGAGACAGTTTGGCAAAATTCAGGATTTAAAGTCAGAATATTAAATGTGATTTTTGTATTTTATCTGTATTTATTTATAGATTATATGTTTTCAGGCTAATTAGGCCACATTTTCAGGGTGTGAACTGTTGCAAATCTGTGATTTAGCTTTTGTTTTTTAAATTAACCTTAGGATCTTATATTGTCCAATATTGAAGAAAGATTAGTCCCTTTATTTTTGCTAATACTTTTAATTGCTGTCCGTTCCAGAATGCATTTTCCCTACCCCCCCCCCCCCAAAAAACCCTGAAATTTTAAACAAAGAGGGTAAAAAGAGCTTTGTAGGAAGTGGCAGAGGGAGATTATAAAATAGTAAATTGTAAGTAGTGCTCTTATTACAATGATTAATTTCATAAATATTGTAATGTTTTATTCAAGCTGTGAGTATACGTTAGTATAAAAGAATGAAGAGCAGAGGCAAAGCTCTGTTACCTATTGTTTGCAGGTAATAGTAAATAAATTTTTAAAGATAAGGAAGCTTACAAGGATAGTATCTTAAAATGTGTCACCTAAATTATGAGCCTGTTAAAATTAAGTGAATCAGGATGCTTTTCATCTACTGGAAAATAACAGCAAAATTACAGAATTTAGGCACTGATTCATATGATTATTTATTTTTCGGATGGTCAATTTCATAGCATATGTTTTATTGAATTATTAAACTAATTCTTTTTCTCTGGCCATACAGGAAGATTTTCTTGAGTGAAATTTTGTTGCTTTAGAAAAAAATCAGCTGCATTTCTTGCTCTTGGGTTTAAGATTTAGTTGCTGAATCATTGTAACTTCTCTTGAACAGTTATTTTTTAAAAGTGTAATATACTGATAAACTGAAAAGCACTTTATATACAACAAAGAGGAGGGGAATGACTATGATGTAAAATGAATAAAAATCTGATAAGCCATGGCCTACCTGGCTTAGTCATTATGGGCCTTTATCACCATGTAGGTGAGGCTACGCTGTTTTATTACATTACAGATCAGAGTCTTCCCAAAATGTAACGATGCTATGCTTTTCGTGAAGATTCAATGTTGCATTACAATAATCAAAAAGATCTTTTGTAAGGTTCTCTAAACCACTATAACAATACTCTAGTCTGTTATTTGTTGTTTTTAGTATAGCAAGCAAATTTTATGCAGTAGAATCATACAAGTGTTAGATACTTCTGCAGTGTTAATGGGCAGTGAACATTGTTTTTATATTTGATGCTTTGGGTATCTTAACTAGCCTTAATAAGGAGATTTGAGATTCTGTGACTTTACATGAAAGAGCACCTTTTCCACTTAATATTAATTTGAATTCCTAAGTATTGGTAGTTCAGGATTTGAGTACAAGATATAGATCTCATGCTGTTACTGTGTGGGAAAAGATTGAGGATCTGACAGAAAGTAGGTTTTATCTATATTGATTACTTTAAACTTGAACTCAATAATTATATTGAAAAAATCCCTGGGGGATATTTTTATGGGTATTACTTAAATGTTTTTGTTAAGAAAATTTTGTATTAGAAAAGATATTACTGGATTTTTCACCTTTGAAATTGATCAAAAAGTCCATGTAAACATAAGTAATCATATCAATTATTCATTTATTCCTGATTTATATTTACTTTGGATAAATATAGGAGAGTTTTCTAAGGGTAAAATAAATGGATGGTTGTTTAGAAAACTTGAGTATTAAGGGGAATGTGACCAGTGTTAGCTTTTAAAATCATTTTGGCTTATAATAAGTAGGCTTATAGGTTGGGCCCTTTTAAAAATTTCCTATTTAGTAATGAAAATTTGAATTCAGTGAATTTTTAAATAACTACTGCCATTTCTGTAATACTGGGAATTGTTTAGGGACCACTGATACATTAATGCCTAAGATTATATTCCAGTATTGTAAAAAATCATAAGTACTTGAGTTTGTTTACTCATGGAAACATGAATATTATTTTTGATGTTTAAATCATATTATTTGTGCATATTTATGCCTTGTAGATTGTAAAGGCATTTGTTGGTGGTCATTCAAGATTACTTTAGGTATAAACTTACAGTAAATGCTGGATAACTTAGGAAATCCATGCTAAATTGGTGGAATTTAAAGAATATTTTAAATGTAATGTTAATATTTTAAGTATATCTAATAACTTAAGTTGCCAATGAAGCATTTCTAAGCAGATCCTAAAAAGCCAACCTTCCATGAATAATTGGGACTTTAGCTTGCAATCATATATGACAACTGACTTGCTAAAATCTTAAAGTTTAGCCCATTAAGCAAACAAAAATGCCCTTATGTATTTAGCAGAGTCTTTCTTCACAGTGTTAGTGTAAGAGTCTAACCCAGTTAGGGTCATCTAATCAGATTAATGAGGATTCCACATTTGTACACAAAAATATAGCTACATACAGCTATATTTTTATGTATTAAGAAAACACTTTTATATCAATGCATTTTATAGTTGTGGTCATATGATATAGTTGACTTGTACTAAAAATCTTGGATTTGATAGCATTTAAATGACATCTTGATGATTAAAATGTGTACCTTTTCAAATGGGGAAAAATTACTAGGCTCAGTTAACTGATAAAATACAAGAATCATGTAATCATTTATTTTAGGCAGGCTGTTGTTAAAACTGTTCTCTGAAATTATAAGTGCCTTACTATGAATATATCATCTCTTATGTGAGCCCTGAAATTTTCTGTAGGTGTAAAACAGGAAAGAATAGTACCACTCTAAATTTTATGATTACCAAATTCCACTGGGCCTTCAGCACTATTGGTCAGTTCCCAATTTCTGTAAGCAAATCATTATTTCCTCCATTAAACCAATAATCCTATACCCACTCCACACAACTTCATAAAGAAATTGGGAGCTTCAGATGCGAGCATGCTGTAAACCTGTTTGCCTGCTCTCTTTCGCTCAAGGCACAATTGATAGTGTTTTGTCCTCCCTATAAGATGAGTCTCTCAGGTTATGCTGTGGATCTCATTCCCTTCCTCTTTTCAGGAAAAGAGAGACTATCGACTCTCTCTTTTCTTGCATCTTTAACTTACTCCTTTCAGTTATATCCTTCTCATCAGCTTTTTAAAACATGCTTACATCTCTCCCAGCCTTCTGACAACCCCTCCATATTTCCTCCACCAGTCTTCAGACAACCTCTGTGCTTTCCTCTCCAGATAACTACATTCCTTCTTCATCGTCATGGCCAGAATGCTTAGAGTTACATACACTGTTCATGACCTCCCCTTTACTCTTAACTCACTGTAGTGTGTCTTGATTTCCCACAACTAAAACAACTTTACTAAGGTCACCAGTGACTCCAACAAACTTTTGTACTAAACCAAACACATTTTTGTCTTGATCCTATTTGACTGTTGAGTAGTATTCAGTACCTCTGACATACCTAACTTCTTAGAATGCTTGATATCCATGACGACATCACATTTTTGGCCTACTTCCTATCTAAAATGATATAATGACTTGATATCTATATGTACATCAAAGATGTCTCTTCTTAGCTCAAGACATTTATATCAAACCAATGAGGATTTTATCTTTTTTTTTTTTTTTTTAAGAGACAGAGTTTTGCTCTTGTTTGCCAGGCTGGAGTGCAATGGCGTGATCTCGGCTCACCACAACCTCCGCCTCCTGGGTTCAAGCAATTCTCCTGCCTCAGCCTCCCAAGTAACTGAGATTACAGGCATGCACCTCCATGCCTGGCTAATTTTGTATTTTTAGTAGAGACGGGGTTTCTCCATGTTGGTCAGGCTGGTCTCAAACTCCCAACCTCAGGTGATCCGCGCATCTCAGCCTCCCAAAGTGCTGGGATTACAGGCATGAGCCACCGTGCCCGGCCAAGGATTTCATCTTAACTTGTACGTACTCAGACTCAGTATGTGCAAGACTGCGTTCATCTTCTTTTTCCCTAAACCTATCCTTTCCCTGGCTGTCCTTAATTCATTTTGATAAAAGCAACATCCACCCAGCTGTCCAAGCCAGATACATAGAAGTCACCTTGATTCTTCTTCTCTTAACCCCCTGTCCAATCAGATACCCAGTCCATTCTCTTCTACCTGCTCGAATAGCTCTCAAATTTGCCCACTTCGTTTGGTTTCTTTTCTTCTTTCTGCCAATCTTACTCCAAGCCACTGTTCTCTTTACCTAGCCTAATGCAATAACAATAACAACTTAATTGTTCTTTCAACATCCATGCTTGCCCTCCTCCAATCTGTTCTCTGTACTGGATCTACAGTAGTTGTTTGTTTTTTTTTTTCTAACTGAAAATATATATGTGATTCCTTTAGGAATAAAATAATTTTAGGGAACAAAAGAGGTTGTGGTTTTTATTCTTTTGGATTAAAATATTTCTAAAGCATATCGCGTAATACTACCTTTTTCTAAAAGCAGTATAATGTACATTATTTAATGTAATATTTACTCAAGATTTAATTATTGCATTCTTATAATACACATACTGTCTTGGCTCTTAGTCCTTACACTAAATGACATATGTCTGTAAAGATTGTGAATTTTTCTCCAAGTTTTCTTTCTTCTAAGCTATATATTGTCAATTGTCAGTTTTTACATATGATAACTTTCTGGACAGTTCTTCAGAATTCCACTTGGGATGGGGCTTATTGATAACCTATGTAGTCATTTTGACCTATGGCTCACCTGAGTTGCCAGACTTACTATTTGTTTTGTTTGCTTTTCACTTTAAGTTAAACGTGAAGTTTAACTGAAGTTTAAAATTTTAAGCTTTCTTTTTAAATTTGTCTTTATTTGCTGTTTCCCTAAGGTGTTGTGACAAAATATATCTGTTGTACGAGAACATACATCAAGATGTACCTTTCATTATACCACTATTAAAACGTTTACCTTTTGTAGGAGATACAAACAAGTAAAGATAACCACGCCAAATAATGTTCTTAGTTTATTCATGGAGACTTGGTGGTTTTTAAAGTAAGACTGTTTGTTTAGTCCTTACAACAGTCTATGAAAATATGTATATAAATAAATATATACATATGAAATCGCCTCAGAGTGCATTGCCTGAGAAAAGAGAGATTATGAAGGGAGGTTAGATACCTTATCCCATAGTTTCTCCCAAAGTGGACTTTCTTTTTCTTTTTTCTTTTCTTTTTTTTTTGTTTTTGAGACAGTCTCACTCCGTCACTCAGACTGGAGTGCTGTGGCGCGATTTCCACTCACTGCAACCTCCGCCTCCCGAGTTCAAGTGATTTTCATGCTTCAGCCTTCCCAGTAGCTGGAATTACAGGCATGTGCCACCATGCCCAGCTAATTTTTGTGCTTTTAGTAGGGACGAGGTTTCACCATGTTGGCCAGGCTGGTCTCGAACTCCTGGCCTCAAGTGATCTGCCCACCTTTGCCTCCCAAAGTGCTGGGATTATAGGCATGAGCCACTGCGCCCAGCCCCAAAGTGAACTTTCTAGAACCTTACAACAAATCTCCTAGAACCTTCTCTTTATTTATATATATATATATATATATAATTAAAACCGAGGTTTAGAGAGGTTTCAGAATTTTTTACAAGCTTTTAAGAAAATGTTCTCTCCTCCTCTAGACTGTAAGATCTGTGAAAGCAGGGGATCTCAGGATTTTTGTTTTTTCCTTTTCCTACCAGTATATATACCTAACAGCTATCAACACAGAGCTTGCTTGGCTCATATTAAACCTTCATTAAATGAATGAATGTGGATTATGCAATTGTTGTAGTAAATTACTCTTTGAAACAAGGTGGTGGGAGATTTGTTATAAGGTTCTAGAAAGTTCACCTTGGCAGGGGGAACTAAGGGATAAGATATCTAACTTCCCTTTATAATATCTCTTTTCTCAGGCTGTGTACTCTGTAGGCAATCTCAATTTCTTACATAATTTTGTGAGTTTATAAAATAAATTATTTTTTGCTTAAGCCATCTTGGGATAGTTTTCTGTCACTTGTAGTAAAAGTTATTGAGTAACAATGCTCCTTGCTTGTATTTTGTTCCACTTACTCCAGGTATCTTCCTTGTGGTGTTTTCCCTTCGAATTCATTATCCATAAACATCTTTATAAAACATAGGCGGTTCCTGATGGTAACCCTTTATTGGCTTTCAGCACCTTCAGGACGAAGTCTGGGTTTTTTATCACAGGCCTTTAGAAGTCTGCCTGATCATGATGTGACCCATGCCCACCTCTTTATTCTCCCTTCCATTATTCTTCCATGATATGGGACTTCTTATAGCTCCCCTGCTGCCACTTAGATATTGTTCAGAAGGTGCTGTTGAGCTGTAAGATACATTACATTGAATATTGCCTTTGTGTTGCCCATTCCCTTTGTTAGTATTAAATATAATAGGAAAGATAAAACGCAAGTTTTAAAAACTCAGAAAATGAGTAAATGATAAACAACAGCTGAGATTTTAAAAATTCAACAGATGTCTGTAGGAACAAAGAGGGCTCTACTTGAATTAAAGTGGGTGAGTACAGCTTACAAATGTTCTATGCATTTACCTTAGTTTTAGTATTTCACATTTTTAAAAAATCACACTATTTAATATATTATAAATTTAAAATTTTATACAAAAAATGTAAGCAGCTATTGGATTCGCTGCTTCCTTCCCGTGAGTCCTCCAGTCCAGACATGTCCTCAGAGCTGCCACTTCTGATGTACTCCTTGCAGTGCTTAGCTCCCCACAGTGGAGCTTGGAGGGTGCTGTCTTAACATCTCTCCTTCCATGATAGGGATCTGCCCATTTCAGGGGATTCTTCCTGCTGCCTTCAAACTGAGCCTCATTTTTGGAGGTGGTAGGGATGAAGGAGAGGGGATGGAGGGGTTGTAAGAGCTGAGGAGTGTGAGGACTTGTGATGGAGTTTCAGAGTTGGGGTGAGAAGGGTAGCCCATGAAGAGGGCCAGAAGAGGGACTATAGACAGCATCATAAAGAAATTTAAATTTCTTTATATTTGGTAAAAGTATTTAGTGTTATAAATCATTATGAATGAATGTACTAAAAGAAAGAATATAATAAAAGATCTTACTTTTATTTATCATGAAGGGGAAACAAAGTTGCTTGTGTCCAAAGTAACATTATTGCACAAAAAAAAGTCCTTTGGTATTGAAAAAAATGAGTGGTATACTGGAGTACACCGCCCCACCCCCCACCCCCAATACACACAAAAGGTAGGGGTGTTATATAATTATTAAAACTTTTTTTTTTTTTTTTTTTGGAGACACAGTCTTACTCTGCCTCTCAGGCTGGAGTGCAGTGGTGATTATAGCTCACTGCAGCCTCAACTTTCCAGGCTCAAGCCATCCTCCCACCTTAGCCTCCTGAGTAGCTGGGACTAGGATTATAGGCATGCACCACCATGCCCGGCTAATTTATTATTATTTTTTTTTTATAGAGACAAAGTTTCGCTATGTTGCCCAGTCTGGTCTAAAACCCCTGGGCTCAAGTGATCCTCCTGCCTGGCCCTCCCAAAGTGCTAGGATTACAGGCAGGAGCCACTGAGCCTGACCAAAAATTTTAAGGGATTCCCATAGAGGTTCTTGAAACCTGAGAATACCCATCAACAATATGTTCTGTTACATACAATACACAGTATAGGGAAACCACAAAGATCAAGTTTAGTTATACCTTTCCTCACTTTAAAAATGTCAATTTTTGTGGCTCCGATATGTTATACGCTAGGAAACTATCCCAAGCCACCAATTAGAACTGTGTACAAGTTACATGGGTCTGAGGAGCTTTGGGTAAAGTTCATCATCTTTTACTGACATATTTTGACAATTTGGACACTATCTGTCCACCTTCCTAATGTGTATTGGAAACTAGAGTTGCTAGCTAAGAAAGTTAATAGCTCCTACAAAAATAAGATATCTTATTTTTCAAATTGTATTTGTCTCTGTATTACTCTGTTCTCACGTTGTCATAAAGAACTTTGTTAGATTGGGTATTTTATAAAGAGGTTTAATTGACTCACAGTTCCACAGGCTGTACAGGAGGCATGGCTGGGGAGGCCTCAGGAAACTTATAATCAGGACAAAAGGTGAAGGGGAAGCAAGCATATCTTCACGTGGCAACAGGAGAGAGAGAGAGAGAGAGAGAGAGAGAGAGCATGAGCACGCAAAGGGGGAAGTGCTATACACTTTCAAGCAACCAGATCTCATGAGACCTCACTACCATGAGAACAGCAAGGGTGAAATCTGCCCCATGATCCAATCACCTCCCACCAGGTCCCTCCCCGAGTATTGGGGATTACAATTCAACATGAGATTTGGATGGGGACACAGAGCCAAACCATATCAGTTTCCCATCCCACTAAAATGGTAGGAAGTCTGTTTACTAGAATTTTTGCCATTTCCAAATGAATAATCGTTCATTTTCAGATTTATATATTTGGACAAGGGATAAGGTGAATGCCAGCAAGTCATGGGCCATAACCACCTGTGTCTTTTTTTTTCTACTTCTTCTTCTTCTTTTTTGGGACAGAGTCTCACTCGTTTTGCCCAGGCTGGAGTGCAGTGGCGCAGTCTCAGCTGGGATTACAGGTGCACGCCAGCATGCCCAGCTAATTTTGTTTTTGGTTTTTTGGTTTTTTGGTTTTTTTGAGACAGAGTCTTGCTCTGTTGCCCAGGCTGGAGTGCAGTGGCACAATCTTGGCTCACTACAACCTCCGCCTCCTGGGTTCAGGTGATTCTCCTGTCTCAGCCTCCTGAGTAGCTGGGATTACAGGCGCACAACGCCACGCCCAGCTAATTTTTTGCATTTTAGTAGAGATGGGGTTTTACCGTGTTGCCCAGGCTGGTCTTGAACTTCTGAGCTCAGGCAATCCGCCCATCTCGGCCTCCCAAAGTGCTGGGATTACAGGCATGAGCCACTGTGCCCGGCCTAATTTTGTATTTTTAGTAGAGACGGGACTTCACCATGTTGGCCAGGCTGGTCTCGAACTCCTGACCTCAGGTAATCCACCTGTCTTGGCCCCCCAAAGTGCTGGGATTACAGGCGTGAGCCACCGTGCCCGGCCCCACCTGTGTCTTAAGAACATCCTCAACTATTCTTATTTCCTCTCTTTCTCTGACTCTTGCATTTATATTATCATAAATCTTAGCTCTCATACTCAATGAATGTGAAGCAAGAAAACTCTACACAATTCATTTGCACAGATATCATTTTCATTCACATGAGTAATGTCTAAACTAAATGGCAGTCATTAGTCGTAAAATTGTGAGTAAGTCAGGCACAGTGGTTCTCTTTTCTTCCCTCTCCCCTTCTCTCTCCCTCTCCCCATCCCTCCATCAGTCTCTCTGTCTTTCTCTCTGTCTCTCTCTCTTCCTCTTCCTTTCATGGGAAGAGGTGATCTTTCCATCCCAGCTGGCAGGACTAATTCAGGCATGCGTTCTCTTCCTTGTGGACTGTTATAATGGCTTCCTTTTCCCTTCCAATCCATCAAACTCATTCTTGGCTGAGAAATTTTAAATATACAAATCTGATCTAATTCTCTTTAGCTGTCTCAAGCTTCACATCTAGCCACAGTATCAAGTTTTGTTTCTTTAGCATACTATTACAAAGTCCTTTCCTAATCCCAGCCTGCCTTTGTCAGTTTCATGCTTACGCTGTTTGCCCATTTGCTGTAGCTCCAGGGCTGTCTACTATTTACATTTTGAAGCTGCCTAATACTACCACTGCCAGTTCATCTCGAGGAAAACCATTCATTCCCTCACTTGCTCCTCCTGTATTCTTTGATGTATTTTACAACACTTACCACATCGTGTTATATTGGCTTCTTTTACCTTTCTACACCTCCTGCCAAACTCAGAGCAGCAAAAATAGAAGGTACCATGTGTTCTCATTTTAATCCACAGTGCTTTTGAACAATCTCTGATTCATGGTAACCATTAGTAGATGTTTGAGCTTAATCTGAAGACATGTGCCTAAAGTCAAAAAATTCACAATCTAGTAGTGTAGATAGATATCCAACTACTTATAATACTAAGCAGTATATACTAATACTAACTAAAATTGGAAATTTCTTGAAATTATCATCATGAATGTGACTCTTGGATCTCTGGCATTTTACTGGGTGCATAGTTATTCTTTACATGTATAAATGTAAATGACTAAATGAAGGGAAGAAGTCTCAGATGGTCTAGTGGACCTCTACCTCCCATTCTTATAACCCTCTCGCACTCCAAAACCCTTGAAAGATGCAACAGTGCCAGGCCTTCACCAGCAGAGAAATTGCTATGAAAATGCCATGGACAGAGAAAGCAAACCGTGATAGCAATTAAGAGCCCCATACAAAAGTCACGAAGGCACATTCTTCTAATTGGAGGCGTTCTCTAGCATATGCAGTTTTACTGCAAGGTGACTAGCAGCAAGGCTAGTTTTCAAAAATAATTTTGAGGAGTGGCTTATTGTAAGAGATAAGCAATTTTAATTTTCACAGAAACATCAGATAAGTTTAAAACTTTGTTTATAGCATCATGTTTTATTTATTTTTGGTGGAAAAGAAATTTCCCCTCAAGGCATTTGTTTGTAAGTAGAATTCTTTATTCATTTATATCTTGTTTAACTGTACCAAAACTACAATTTTACAGCCATAGTTTCTCGTGAAACCTAAAGCACTCTTGGTTACCCACTAACTTTTAAAAAAAATACACATAAATCAAATTTTATCTATAAAAATATATTCTTAACATTAAAAATTTATCAAATGTTGGGTACAACCTAATTTGCAATTGATGAGTTGATTTTGTTTACTTGTATTGGGGAGCAACTTTGATTTTAGTGCCTTTTTAAAGAATTGCTTTTACATATATTGAATATAGAAGTGTTACCTGAATTCTGTAGGATCATAAATACTGGAATGAGGCCTGGTATAGTGGCTCACACCTGTAATCCCAACACTTTGGGAGGCCAAGGTGGGTGGATCACCTGAGGTCAGGAGTTCGAGACCAGCCTAGCCAATGTGGCGAAACCCAGTCTCTACTAAAAATACAAAAATTAGCCAGGTGTGGTGGTGCATGCCTGTAATCCCAGCTACTCAGGAGCCTGAGGAAGGAGAATCGCTTGAACTCGGGAGGCAGAGGGTTGCACTGAGCTGAGATTGTGCCATTGCACTCCATCCTGGGTGACAGGAAGACTCTGTCTTTAAAAAAAAAAAAATACTGGAATGAAGTTTTCGTCTGAAGAGAGAATATTACGATTACAGGGCACAGGCAAAGCATAGAGCCAGTCTGGCATAAGTGGTTTTTGGTTTTGATTTTTTTTCCTCACGCTAGAAGTTCTTAAAATTAATGTGTGAAGTGGTTCTTGGGCTACTGAATTACCTATTTTCTTGAGTTAACTCATTGGCAGTTAACTTTATAAAAGCAAGATTTTTAAATTCACATGGGGAAAAAACTGCCATCTCTTAATCTGAGCATTAAGTAATGACCTTCACTAACTACTTTATAGTGATTATTAACTTTGTAAATTGCTGATTTTGGTTAGAACTTATATTTAAATTTCTTTATATTTGGTAAAAGTATTTTAGTGTTATAAATCATTATGAATGAATGTACTAAAATAATGTAATAAAAGATCTTACTCCCTTTCTCTTGATTGCCTCATGGTTTTTTATTATATATTTTGATCAACTACATGCTTATTGATCCTGGCTGTATTATCAGCTATTAGATAACACAATTTTAAAGTGCCTGTTGCCCTCTGGACACCGAAGACTCAACATTTATTGCTTGAGCATTGCCTTTGTTTTGAATATGGCTTTGTAAAGACAAAAATCCAGGCTGGGTGCTGTGGCTTATGCCTGTAATCCCAGCACTTTGGGAGGCTGGAGTGGGCGGATCACTTGAGGTCAGGAGTTTGAGACTAGCCTGGCCAAATGGTGAGACCCCCTTCTCTATTAAAAATACAAAAAATTAGCCAGGTGTAGTGGCACACTCCTGTAGTCCCAGCTACTCAGGAGGCTGAGTCAGCAGAATTGCTTGAACCCAGGAGGCAGAGGCTGCAGTGAGCCGAGGTCGTGCCATTACACTCCAGCCTAGGCAGCAAGAGCAAAACTCCATCTCAAAAAAAAAAAAGACAAAAATCTGAGCTCTTCTTTTAGAACAGAGGAGAGTAATACTCTAAGTTATGATCATTTATATGGAGGAAACATATCAGTGTTTTGTTTTTCTCTAGTAGTGCTAAACTTTAAGAATTTTAAAAGAAGCTAAATCAGTAATTATGTATCTAGTTTCCTTCCCTAAGAATTACTTCTGGAATTATTTTGTTATCTTATTTTTAGGTGTTGCAAAGTCAAGTACAGGGGCCATACTAGAAAGGCAAAAGAGAAAACCAGGTTATTGTGAGATGAGGGGGTGATGAGGTCTGGGGTAAAATAGAATGTATATGACTCACTTAAATGTATTTAAATATCTTTAAAACATTGTGCCATCTAAACAGAAATCCTTTGCCACTGTGACTTTGCAATCCCTGGTTTATATTCATCTGGCAATAACAAAAACTATGTTTATATGAAAATTATTTTTATATATAAATATATGATATAATGAACATGTGTCATTATTGTGCTCATCTGCCAGTATATTTGTGTGGGCCACATAGTATTTAAATGGGCTTTAAAAAAAATATATCAGGTGAGGTGAAAACGTAACACTCCCATTTTATTCCTGAATGTTTTCCTCTTGGCTAATCTTAGTCCTTACAGTGATACTGAAAAGTAGAGTTAGAGTGGTAAATGGAGTGAAGGGTAGACATTGTATATCTTCATAAATATGACTTAAAATCTGTCATTGTAGGATATTGAGAAAATTCAGATTTTTCAGCTTTATTAAAATTTGATGACTTTACATTGGGTTCACAAAAATAAAAGAAGACATGTATCTTTTCCAGTTCACTGTGCCATACATTTATATATTTTATCTTTACAGCCTGAGGAAGAACTTGATCCTGAAGAGAGGGACAACTTCCTCCAGCAGCTTTATAAGTTTATGGAAGACAGAGGTATTTTCATGCTCATTATTTTAAAGTAGTCATTTCTTTTTCATGTTTACATTCTAGGTATATGCATTGTTTTTGTTAGTATTGCAGATAAACAGTTTTGGATTTTATTTATTTATTTATTTTGAGGCAGGTTCTTGCTTTGATGCCCAGGCTGGAGTGCAGTGATTTGCTCCTGGCTTACTGCAGCCTTGACCTCCTGGGCTCAAGTGATCCTCCTGCCTCAGCCTCTCGAGTAGCTGGGACTACAGGCACGTGCCACCATACCCAGCTAATTTTTTATTTTTCTATTTTTTGTAGAGACGGGTTTTGCCATATTGCCGAGGCTGGTCTCAAACTCCTGGCCTCAAGTGATCCTCTTACCTCTGCCTCCCAAAGTGCTGAGATTACAGCTGTGAACCATCATGACTGTCTAGTTTTGGATTTTAAATAAATCCTAGAATCAGTTACACCTGACAGTAGTAAAATATTTGGAATTAAACTGTTCATACCTATTTTACATAGAAACAAGTGAGAAAATATTTTGATACAATTTAGTTTTCCCTGTCACTTACAAAGCTAAAGAATATTCTGATATTTCAGAAATAGAAAGTGACCAGTTATGTTAATCTGCATACCCACTAATTACTAATGCTATATTTGTGGCAAATAAACTAGATAAACTAGCCTGATCCTTGTTCTCAGCAAATTAAACATAATAGGAGACCAATCGTTATCTGAAAAAGATGAGATTTCTAATATAGGTAGAATAATAGAACAATTATAAACCATCATACTCCTTGCCATTTGTTAGTCCTAGAAAATCTTAAGATAAATTGGTCCTAAACATTCTGTGTGGCCTTCAGAAATCATCCTTCAGATTACTGCTAACAGTCTTAACATTTGTGTCAAAGTAGTGAAAGTGGAACCAGGGTATAAATCTTATCTTTTCTGTTGTGTTTGTTTATGCCTAAACTTTTTTTTTTTTTTTTTTTTTTTTTTTTTGTGACAGAGTCTTACTCTGTCACTCAAGCTGGAGTGCGGTGGCGTGAACATGGCTCCCTCCAGCCTCCACTTCCTGGGCTTAAGCAGTCCTCCCACCTCAGGCTCCCAAGTACCTGGGACCACAGGTGCACACCACCACACTCAGCTAATGTTTTCCTTTTAATTTTTGTAGAGACAGGATATCACCATGTTGCCCAGGCTGGTCTCAAACTCCTGAGCCCAAGTGATCTTCCTGCCTTAGCCTCCCAAAGTGCTGGGGTTACAGGTGTGAGCCACTGCACCCAGCCCTATGCCCAAGCGTCTTGAACCAGCAACATTGTTGGCCACACCATGCAGTGTTTACTTTAGTTTTACTCAATTCATTGGCAGTTAAAGAGGTAGCTTTATTAGTATAACACCTAAAATCTGAAGATCCCCACAAAGCTATATAAATAAGAGAGAATTATTATATATATTATTATATATAAAACATATAAAAAAGAATTATTATATATAAAACAACACAAGAGAATTATCTTGTGTTGTTTTACATTGTTTAAGGCTCTTTAAATATGTGCCTCTAATTAATGAAATTGGGGAAATTAGAAATTGACCGCTTTGTTTTCAAATTAGTATTTCTCATTTGAATAAACATTTTATTTCTACCTACTTACATTGAAAAGGTACTCCAATCAACAAACCACCTGTTTTGGGCTATAAAGATCTCAATCTCTTCAAACTCTTCAGACTGGTTTATCATCAGGGTGGATGTGACAATGTAAGTATAACATTGCTTTTTGAAACATGTATTGATGTGGTAAAAAGTTAAGTTATCTTATATTGCATTATTATATGCACATTGGATAATAAATACATTTTCTTAATGAACATAGAATATTAGGATAAAGATCTTTTCCTGGCCAGGCACGGTGGCTCACGCCTGTAATCCCAGCATTTTGGGAGATTGAGGCGGGTGGATTGCTTAAGCTCAGGAATTCAAGACTAGCCTGGGCAACATGGCGAAACCCCATCTCTACAGAAAATACAAAAATTAGCCAGGCATGGTGTCGCATGCCTGTGGTCCCAACTACTCGGGAAGCTGAGGTGGGAGGATCACTTGAGCCCAGGAGGTCGAGGCTGCAGTGAGCCCTGATTGCACCACTGCTCTCCAGCCTGGGCGACAGAGTGAGACCCTGTCTCAAAAAAAAAAAAAAAAAAAAAAAAAAAAAAAAAAAAAAAAAAAAAAGATTAATTCCCTTTGCAAATGTTAACATAAAAACTTAATTTTCCAGATTGATAGTGGTGCTGTATGGAAGCAAATTTATATGGACCTTGGCATTCCTATTTTGAATTCAGCTGCTTCCTACAATGTAAAAACTGCTTATAGAAAGTAAGTAGTATAGTTTATTCATCAAAGAATATATATTTATAGGAAATATTTTCCATTTACTTTGTTAACAAGAATACATCAATCTAGAAACATTAAAGTTAGAGAAAGTATATAAAAAGGTTTAGGTTGACAGATACTTGTGATTGAAAGTTATTTCAGCGCATCTAATCTGCTTTACTCCATTTCTTATGTTGTCCTGATTTCCTTTCCAAAATCAGGATGCAGGTAGTGTCTGCGATTATGATACATATTACAGAGCTACATCTTTTGGGGTGAACAGCCTTCATATCAAAACTTATGATAGTTATGTTTAGCTATCACAAGCTCAGACGTCTCAGGACGGCATTTTATGATCAGTTTTTCTGTTTATGATTCTATCTAAAACACCAAGAAAATAGTAACACAGAAAAGAGTAACAAAAATTTTTTTAAATTACTGGGCTTTACTTTTTAAAAATGTGTTTAATAACATGAATTCAAGTTAGATGCAAAGACTGTAAGATTTCTTAAATGAAATATTGTTTGTTTAGGTATCTCTATGGTTTTGAGGAGTACTGCCGTTCGGCAAATATTCAGTTCAGAACTGTTCATCACCATGAACCAAAAGTAAAAGAGGAAAAAAAAGACTTAGAAGAATCAATGGAAGAGGCTCTCAAATTAGATCAAGAAATGCCTTTAACAGAAGTGAAGAGTGAACCTGAGGAAAATATCGATTCAAACAGTGAAAGTGAAAGAGAAGAGATAGAATTAAAATCTCCGAGGGTGAGTTCTTAATACTAGTTTTATCTGGTTTAAGTATTATTTAAAATTTTTTATTATAGCCATTTTCATATATACACAAAAGTACTACAGTGAACCTAGTTTATTTTCCAGTATTTAATGCTGCTTAGCTAGCTACTTTTTTCGAAATATATTGTATATTATTTCCTCTACCTGAAAACCCTTCCTTCTGTTTTCTGTTTATATTCGATCAAGTCATTCTTGTCTGGGATGAATCCCAGATATTCCTTTTCCAGTCTTCTGCTAAAGTATCACCTCATTGAAGGCTGTCTTGGTCACCTTATCTGAAATTGTAACCTGCCTCCTCTCTTTGGAACTCTCAGTCCCTCTGATGTTGTTCTTTCTGTAATTTACTTATTTATTCTGTTTATTGTGATTATCTATTTTGCCCCACTCTACACTAGAATCACACTCCACGAGGTCAGGGATTAGTGTTTATTTCGTTTATTGACAGATGCCACGCATTTAGAATAGTGCCTGGCACATAATAAAGGCTTATTAAATAGATGTTGAATAAATGAATCACCTCTTTATAGTGCCTGTGCCCTAAACTAGATGATATCTTGTCTTTGTAACTTTATAGCACACTGTGTAGCTCTAGTGATGCGTACATGTATGCTGGTTGTATCTTCCAACTTTGCTCCTTCTTTCCTTTAATATATAAGGTCTATTTAGGAATTGTCATCTAGCATTTGGATCAGTGTCCAGTGATGTTACATAGTAGGATTTATCAAATTTTAGAAAGAGAAAGGAATTTACCACACTATCAAAGAAGTTTAATTACTATGTCTTATTTTTTGGTGGAATCATATTTAATGAAAGAGAATGTGAAATTGCTTTGTCTTATAGTTCAGAAACCAGTTTTCAAAACTTCCTTCATGTAGTAAATGGAATCTTCTAGTGAATGTCATGAAATTTCCAAATTGTTTTTTTTTAATTTTTTTTAAAATTGTGGTAAGTACATATAACATAAAATTTGCCACCTTAACTCTTTTTAAGTGTACACTTCATTGGCATTAAGTACATTCTCACCGTTGCATAAGTGTCACCACCGTCCAGTTCCAGAATATTTTTACCTTGCAAACCTGAAATTCTGTACCCATTAAACAGTAACTCCTCATTCCTCCCCAACCCTTAGCAATCAAAGTTTTACTTTCTGTACCTATGAATTTGATATTCTAGGTACTTTTATATAAGTGAAATCATACAGTGTTTGTCCTTTTTTACTGGCTTATTCACTCACCATAATGTCTGTAAGACATTATGTTGTAGCACATATCAGAATTTCCTTCCTTTTTAAAGGTGAATAATATTTTATTGTATGTATTGTGGACATACTTTCTTTTCATTACCTAAAAACCTTCCTCATCCTACATAAAATATCTGCAGTGTGCTGTCTAGTATGGATGAACCATAAATCTACCTTCTCCAAGATTTTCTCCCAGTTTTTTACTATTTTAAAAAGTGCTGCCGGGCGCGGTGGCTCATGCCTGTAATCCCAGCACTTTGGGAGGCCAAGGCAGGTGGATCTCGAGATCAGGAGATCGAGACCAGCCTCGCCAATATGGTGAAACCCCATCTCTACTAAAAATACAAAAAAAAAAAAAAGTGCTATAATACATTTGCTTGTAAAAATATCCTCATCACTTATCCACATATATAAGCCAGGCTTCTAAAAATGGCATTTCTCACCTGTAGTCCCAGCTACTCAGGACGCTGAGGCAGGAGAAGTGCTTGAACCCAGGAGGCAGAGGTTGCAGCAAGCTGAGATCGCACCACTGCACTCTAGCCTGGTCGATAGAGCGAGACTCCATCTCAAAAAAATGAATAAATAAATAAAAACAGTATTTCTGGGACAAAGGTATACAGACCCAAATTTTATAGCAGTTGTTTTCATTCATTTACCTATAGATATTTTAAAAGCACCTGCTAGGCCGGGCACGGTGGCTCACGCCTGTAATCTCAGCACTTTGGTAGGCCGAGGCGGGCGGATCACGAGGTCAAGAGATCAAGACCATCCTGGCCAACGTGGTGAAACCCTGTCTCTACTAAAAATACAAAAATTAGCTGGGCATGGTGGTGCGCGCCTGTAGTCCCAGCTACTCAGGAGGCTGAGAATCGCTTGAACCTGGGAGGTAGAGGTTGCAGTGAGCTGAGATCACACCACTGCTCTCCAGCCTGGCAACAGAGCGAGACTCTGTCTTAAAAAAAAAAAAAAAAAAAAAAAAAGCACCTGCCACCTGCTATGTGCCAGCCACTGTGTAGATCTGAGGAGATGGAAGTGCCATCTTGGAACTTGTGTGTTAGTGCTTTAAGATAGAAAGAAATTAATTTCTTCTTTTTCTGCCTTTGAAGTGTAAATAGCACATAGCCAGCAACTAGGGAAAACATTTGTTTACTGAGATATTAATTGTATCCTAATGCTTCCTAAGTTGCTGGCTCTTTATCTGCTTTATTCCAAGAAGAGGAGACTTCTGCCAGTGTATAGAAGTTGACTTGAAGGAGAACCTAGGAGATAGTGAAATTGCTCACCAGTCATGGTCATTTCAGCATTCAGTGGGCTAGATAGAAGCTAGTGGTGGTAAAACATATTGCTGTTGGCCCAGCGAGCTCTCCAGATACTCATTCAAAGAAGTCTGCTCACTTTTTTGCCATTGATGCAATTCAGTCCTTTAAAAATGTAATCATCCACAAATACAGTGACAATGTAAATTTTGTCTTACTAACGGTAGAATTAGAGACCACAGAGCCTTTAAAGAAGCAAAATTCAGGGGATTGGTTTTATTATTGTTACGTTTTATCATTAACATTAGATAATTTATTTTAAATTTTTATTATAGTCGAGAAATAATAAAAGTGAGATAAAATGATGTAGTAAACAAAGGAGAAAATTTTTATTTCTTTTTTGTTGTTGTTGTTTACTTTTTTCATTCAAACAGATTCTGACAGATATTTCTTAGGTAGTATATAGCCAAAGTAGACCTGGACATAATTAAGTAATTCTATCAGTTATTCTTTTACTTTCAAAAGGAAGAGAAAGGTACCTTTGAGTTGGTTTTCAGGGCCACGTTTCAAGCCAGAGACATTGCTATGAAGGTTAAAGGAAAAGATATTTTTTCCTGCTTTTTTCCCCTTTATAGTGATAGCTATTTTAAAGCTTTTATCCCCTCTACTAGGGACGAAGGAGAATTGCTCGAGATGTAAATTCTATTAAAAAGGAAATTGAAGAAGAGAAAACAGAAGACAAATTAAAAGATAATGATACAGAAAATAAGGATGTAGATGATGACTATGAAACTGCAGAGAAAAAAGAAAATGAGCTACTACTGGGGAGAAAAAATACACCAAAGCAAAAAGAGAAGAAAATTAAAAAACAGGAGGATTCTGACAAAGACTCAGATGAAGAGGAAGAGAAAAGCCAAGAGAGGTACATTATCTTATGTTTGTTCTCCAGAAGCACCTGTCTGGGGTACAACAGCGCTTTGTTCCTGCTTAGAGATTCAGGTTTGAGGGAATGTTTTCTTATTGGGACTTCCGTTCCTCTTGTCTAATGAAGGTGAGACACATTGTGAAGATGATGTGTATTGCCTTTCGGAATTGGAGAATATACTGGTCGCACCATTTTAATAGCACTTGTGCCCTAAACAGTGGCCTCAAAGAAGGCTGCGCCACCCAGTCAAAAGAAAGGTCCTGCAGTTGACAGCAGGGAAGGGAGCTGGAGAAAAATGGAGGAAGTGGACAAGAGGAAACAGCGACAGCAAAAATTCCATTTTAAAAAAGGTACAATGTGGGAAAGCTAACAAACACATGGGTGCACAGTACTAGAGATGTTTCTGTGTGTTAGCTTTAAGACATTTTTCTTTTTCAAGTTATTGTATTAGATTATGTGGCATGCACCCCTGATTCTAGTTTGGAAAATACATTCTTGCCCCACATCACACCAATAAATTTCAGATTTTTTAATGTCCATCCTGTTTGCTGTTGAGTAAAACTGTATTTTTTTTCTGTGTATTAGACAAGTATGGACTGAACTGACTTAAAAATAGTCAAATATTAGGCAGTCCAGCAAGATCAAGGTAGTCTCTGACCAAGTTATTAGCTGCTTCTGTAAGTGTTGTCAAATGGATTTACTAATTTTAGGACACGACTAAAAATGAATTTTAAATGAGCAACAACATAACATACTTACTTGTAATACCAGCTCTCTTCCATAGTTATTTTTCTATTATTATGTGATATTAAATTTTCTAGAAATTTGAGTTGTTAAGCCAAATTTGGGAAAACTGACCTGCCATTGAGAGAATAAATATTTGGAAAAATAGGATGATTGGTGAATGGGAGAGGTAATTTGATTAAATACAAATAGGCACAGGAGCTATCACAATTACATATGACCTAGGTTAGTGAGTAAAAAAAAGTTCTGTAATGAAATATAATTAGGATTAGGAAAAGTAGGAGGAACTAATTGGAGTTGAGTATAGTGAGTATAGAATTTTAAATATTTGGACAAAAAATTTAAGCAAAGGTGAAAAACATCAAAATATGTATATTGTAATATGTATATAAAACATATAATACATCTATGTAAAATGTGATTTAAAAAGACTGTAACTCTTTTGTAAATGGACAAAGATTTATTTTAGAGAAAATTTCACAGACTTGAATGTAAGAACAATATTATCTTTAAGTAGTTTTTCTCATAGAGTTTTGAATTTACCTTATCACTCTATTATTGGAAGGTGCCTTCCAAGAGAAAACATTCTCACTACAAATGGGCTGTCAAAGCTTCATGTCAGGACCCCCAGGGATCACCAAAATAATGCCCTATATTTATTACAGAGCCCAGTAGTACTTGTTGAGCTTTTAATGCTTGTGACACTAGAATGATCTTTGATGCAGTTCTCCTATAAGTCTTTACAGGATTGATACACAATATTTTATTATAAAAATATTAAAAGTATTTTTAGCTCTCCCTGTGTTAATCTTCCTTATACCTGATTATCAATACAAAGAAAAGCCGATGGAAGATGAGTAAACAAATAGAATTCAACACAAATGTAAAGCTTTGTTCTTGTGGTGGTATCCTACAGTGTCAACAAATGACCTAATACTCAAATTTCTTTTCTTTGTTAGGGCTGGGAAACCTTTAAAATATAAATTAGTTTAAAAGACATGGTTACTAAGGTAGATAGCCCTTGTTCATTATTTTGCCCACCAAAAAAACTAGTCTTGCCAAGAACTATTCTAATTCTGGTAGTAAAGCAGATTTAAGATAATTCAGTTACAGGAAGTTACAAAATATCCTTAAATCTTTTTTTACATACAAGGTGGCACTTAAATATGAATTCTGAAGAATTTTTTCAGAGCATATTTTTCTTATTTTGTTTTGTCAAAAGTGATTGATTACAGATCATCGTTAGCTGGCACTTAAATATGAATTCTAAAGAATTTTTTCAGAGCATATTTTTCTTATTTTGTTTTGTCAGAAGTGACTTATTTTATTACAGATCATCGTTAACTGTGACTTGATTGGCTTTTAAAAAGTATGGATTTACTTTGGGTACAGTGCACCTTTACATAATAAATTCCTTAGTAAGTAGGCCACAGAAATCTTCTCCTTCTCCTCCTTCTTCTCCTCCTCCACTGATATGTTATTAAGGTAATACTTAGGTTGTGAATAATCTACCTGTTGGATTCTTTTAGCATATTTTATTCTCCATTAAGTTATTAGTAGCATTATCAGTATTATAACTTACTGCAGGGAAGAAACTGAAAGCAAATGTGACTCTGAAGGAGAGGAAGATGAGGAAGACATGGAACCCTGCCTAACAGGAACCAAAGTGAAAGTAAAATATGGACGAGGGAAGACTCAGAAAATTTATGAAGCCAGTATTAAAAGCACTGAAATTGATGACGGAGAAGTTTTATATTTGGTACATTACTATGGATGGAATGTCAGGTAAGCAAGAAACTATTTTCTTACTATTGAAATTTTTTCGATGATTAAATAGAACATCAACTTAATGTTATGAAGAGTGAAAGCAAATAATGGTACATATTTACAAAGCACACCTTGGTTCTGAATTTTCCAAGACTTTGACATTCCTGCTGTTATACTAGCAGTGTCAATGCTTCTAGCCAGAGACTACCAGGATCACACCTGTAGTTAGAACAAGTTACATTTATTACTCATTTATAGTGAGGGAGAACACACAGCAAGGGGAACCATAGGGCATCTTAGTAATATGGTGTTAAATGAATCAACAGAGGCTCAAGGCACCATCTTTGGGAAAACAATAATTCATAATTCTGTGGAGACATATTACTGACTATGAGCAGGGAGCCAGGCCTGCAACTTCCAACCGTGCAAGTGTTTGTTTCATTAATCAGAAATCAAGCCTATGTCAAGCACTGTAATAATTCTAAGTCGACTAATTAATAAAAAAGAACGTTAGAACTTACATTTGATCTTCCGTTAGATGATTTTGGGGAGGGTTTAAGAAAGGCAGGGCATGGGGGCTCTTGCATGTAATCCCAGCACTTTGGGAGGTGGAGGCGGAAGGACTGCTTGAGGCCAGGAGTTCAAGACCAGACCTGGCAACATAGTTAGACCCCCATCTCTACAAAAAATTAAAAATTAGCCTGGCATGGTGGCACGCACCTGTAGTCCCAGTTACCCAGAAGGCTGAGGTGGGAGGATCACTGGAGCCCAGGAGTTGGAGGCTGAGATGAGCTATGATCATACCACTGTACTCCAGCCTGGATGATAGAGCGAAACCCTGTCTCATAAATAAAAAAAAAAAAAAAGAAAAAAGAGATTTTGCTCCATATTGGATCCTGTCAGGAAGTTGGGGTAATTATAGTTGGTTTTCGTAATAAATCTTATCTAGAAGGAGAGACAGTTAGACCAAGGTAACATTATAATTGGTAGAGAAACAGCAATCACCCACATTAGTCAAGAAAAAGAAGATGTTTGTCGTTTTTGTGGATTAGACAATGTTCCTGTTTTTTCTGTGTTCAGACACGATTAGGACATGGTCTTGTTTCTGTTTTGATACATCATGGTCACAGAATGGACTTGTCTGATGTTGATGCTCTTTGAAATTGTTCATGTTTCAACAGCAGGACAGTGTGGCCTAGCTATGAGTGCCAGACTAGCTCTAAGCAACACCAAGGCCCAGCTGATAGTGCCAGGCAAGTTCCTAAATGTCAGGGGCTGCCTTTCTTGTTCTCTTTTACAAAATCTGGCATATTTAATATCTCTGGTTGCCCTGTATTTATTTGGAGCCAGACTGCTCCTGGGTTTCTCTATACACTAGATGTGTGCTCTGTTATAACTCAAGTCCCTCATCTCTACACTGGGAAAAATACAGTTCCTATTTTGTAGAGGTGTTGTATAATGCAGTAGTTCCCTCTCATCTGCTGGAAATGTGTTCCAGGACCCCCAGTGGATGCCTGAAACCTCACATAGTACTGAATCTTATATATCCTATGATTTTTCCTATACATACATACCTACAATAAAGTTTAATGTATAAATTAAGCACAGTAAGAGATTAACAACAATAATAAAATAGAGCAATTATAACTGTATTGTAATAAAAGTTATATGAATGTGGTCTTTCTCTCAAAATATCTTAATATTTTTGGACCATGGGTAATTGAACTATGCTGTGGCTAAGCAGGGACTACTGTAGTGATAATATTTGTATTCAGATGTAAATGCTTAGAACCATGCCTGGCACTTAGTGCTCCATGAATGTTAACTGTTTTCTTTTCTTTACAATGTGTTATTGAATTCAGGGGAAAAGGAATATATCATACCAACTTTCAGTCATTACATTTCCAGTTGCATCACATGATAGCCTTCTTTCTTCCTCAGATTCTTTAGTTCACAACTATCCACTCCTATTTCACATCTGTATATGTCTGTGTTCTGCTTTCTAGAATTTCCCCTATCTTTCTTTCTCATTTTTTTAATGTTTTACTTTATGACTCTTCTCAGCAGTCATTTTATTATACGCTCAGGTTTTGGATTAGTCATCTCTCTAATTAATTACCTAACTAGTACTCTCCTGGTTCATGGTTTTTCGTTGTTCTTCTCTACTCCTAAAAGCTGGTATAATTCTGGCCTGTTCAGTTGAGATGAAGCCACCATGGTTCCTAACGAATTTAGCCAGACTCCTGAAAGGGAGTATCTGCAAGTGTAAGAAGTGTGAGAAGAGTCCTGGTCTCTCATTGAGAAATCCTGGGACTATCCTTTGTTAGCAATATTAGTGCTAGAAGTACCTACATGATATATTGCTTTGTCCAGTGTCGCCAGGACCAAGTACACTAAAAATCAGGCCTGTGCTTCTTGGTTGTCTGATACCTCCTATGGAATTGGATAGAGTTATCCCTTTGTTAGCCCTGGATCAGGTACATATTGCACTTACCAGACTATACTTGATTTTACTATATGTCTATCTTTTATAACAGATTATGGGTTGCATGAGAGCATTGGCCATGTTTATTCTCTACATACTTCCTGATACAGTGCATACTAGTAGGCCCTCAGTAAATGTTCAAATGAATAAACATTTCCATATAAGTTAATAAAGTACAGATGTTTAAAAGCCTAATATGATGCTCATAGCCAGTCTCGTTTTAGAAACTAGATACTGGGTTAATGAGTGAGAGATAGTTTTCAAATCATAGTACAGGCAGTTCCTAACTTATAGTGGTTCAACTTCAATTTTTTTTTTAAATTTAAAATGGTTCAAAAGCTATATGCATTCAGAAGCCATGGAATTTTGAATTTTGATTTTTTTTTTTTTTTTTTTTTAAGACGGAGTCTTGCTCTGTCGCCAGGCTGGAGTGCAGTGGTGCGATCTGGGCTCACTGCAACCTCCGCCTCCTGGGTTCAAGCGATTCTCCTGCCTCAGCCTCCCAAGTAGCTGGGACTACAGACGCACGCCACCATGCCCAGCTAATTTTTGTATTTTTAGTAGAGACAGGGTTTCACCATGTTGGCCAGGATGGTCTCGATTTCTTGACCTTGTGATCGCCCGCCTCGGCCTCCCAAAGTGTTGGGATTACAGGCGTGAGCCACTGCGCCCGGCCTAAATTTGGATTTTTTTTCCTGGTCTAGCGATATGCAGTATGATACTCTCTCATCAGACTGTGCAGCCACAACAAACAGCTAAGAAATCATGAGACTAATCAACCAGTACTGTACAGTGTATTCAATAAATTACATGAGATATTTAAGACTTTATTATAGAATAGACTTTGTGTTAGTTGATTTTGCTCAACTCTAGGCTAATATGAGTGTTCTGAGCATGTTTAAGGTAGGCTAAGCTAAGCTGTGATGTTCAGTAGGCTAGATGTATTAAATGCATTTTTCGACAGGATATTTTCAATTTGTGATGAGTTTATCAGGACATAATGGCATCATAAGTAAAGGAGCATCTGTATAGGTAGTCATGGTACCATGTCAACTGAAATACATGCATAAAGGAACCATGTCCTTACTTTGTACATCTCCATGGTAACTGGCTTATAAAGCAAGAATATGGTTTCCAGATACATGAGTTTCTATTAATACGCTACAGTCTAAAACAAGTTTGTCCAACCTGTGGCCCACAAGCCATATGCAGCCCAGCATGGCCTGGAATGTGGCCCAACACAAATTCATAAACTTTCTTAAAACATGAGTTTTTTTTATTTTTTTGCATGGTTTTTTTTTTTTTTTTTAGCTCATCAGCTATCGTTAGTGTTATTTTATGTGTGGCCCAAGACAATTCTTCTTCCATTGTGGCCCAGAGAAGCCAAAAGATTGGACATTCCTGGTCTAAAGCAAGGACTGCCTGTTGTTTCTTTACTTAACTGTACATTTTTTAGATTTTGACTTAATTCTGTAAATACTTGTATATTTAGATAATGTAAAAACTGTTATTTAGTTCTAGAAACCTTAATTTCTTATTTGCCCCTGATTAGTCACTTGGACTATAGACAATCAAAAGTGATAGTAATCATTTGAGAAGGCCAGGTGCAATGGCTCATGCCTGTAATCCTAGCACTTTGGGAGGCTGAGGTGGGCAGATCACTTGAGCTCCGGAATTCAAGACCAGCCTGGGCAACATGGCAAAACCCGTCTCTATAAAAAATACAAAAATTAGCTTGGTGCAATGGTGTACATCCGTGGTCTCAGCTACTCAGGAGGCTGAGGTGGGAGGATCATCTGAGCCCAGGAGATCATGCCTCTGCACTCCATCCTGGGCAACAGAGTGAGACCCTCTCTAAAAAAATTGCCGGGTCCAGTGGCTCACCCCTATAATCCCAGCACTTTGGGAGACTGAGGTGAGCAGGTCACCTGAGGTCAGGAGTTCGAGACCAGCATGGCCAACATGGCGAAACCCCGTCTCTACGAAAAATAAAAAATTAGCGGGGTGTGGTGGCAGGCACCTGTAATCCCAGATATTGGGAGGCTGAGGCATGAGAATCACTTGAACCCAGGAGGCAGAGGTTCCATTGAGCCGAGATGGCACCACTGCATGTCAGCCTGGGTGACAACATTGAAACTAGCCCCCCAAAAATAAAAATAAAATTTAAAATAAATTTTAAAATAAATTTTTAAGTAAATGTTTAGGGGAAATGAGTTTTCAACTTAAGCTAAACAGAATAAACTTAGATAAAGTAGGTGAAATACAGATATCTCTAAAAAATTTCAGAATCCTAAAGGCAATGTAGTTCAGAAGATTTTATTGGAAATACTAGAGAGAGTGTTGAGGAGGAAAAGGAAGTTGAAATGGACTTGATAAAATAACTTGATAAAATAACCTGAAACTGATCACCTTGCAAATTTGAATTTATCTGACTTAGCTTTCTATTATTCATTCAATAGCACGAATTCTATTGCAGATCTGATTATAAGCTCAGGTCTGTAAAAGCTGTGGAAAACAAAACAGTTCAGATTGTCTTGAATCTAGAGTTTGCTTTCCAAGACTCTCCCTCTAAACCTGTTAACTCTTAAGAAATCCTCTTGCCTTTCCCTAGTGAGTATACAAAATACCTACTACAGTTACTGGCACATGTTACCAGCAAACCAGCCCCTGTGCCCTTCATATTCTTGCCAACACTAAGAACAAACTATTTAATCTGTCTCACTGTTGTTTTCGTTTGGTGAATACATTTCAAAAAGGTTATAATGTATAAAGTTTGTACAAACTCTTTTTTTTTTTTTTTTTTTTTAAGGTATGATGAGTGGGTGAAGGCTGACAGGATAATCTGGCCTTTGGACAAAGGTGGACCAAAGAAAAAACAGAAGAAAAAAGCTAAAGTATGTTTGTAGATTTATGTCCTTTATAATATGTATAGGAATTATCCAAATTGTATTGTGTGTTTTTTAAGACTTTAAGAACAGTTTTAGGTTTATACCAAGATTGAGAGCAAGGTATATAGACCTCCCATATACTCTCTGCCCCATGCATGCATAGCCTTCCCAGATTGTCAACATCCCCCACCAGAGTGGGATGTTTGTTACAACTGATGTGCCTACATTGACACATTATTGTCACTCAGAGTCCATCGTTTACATTAGGGTTCACTGTTGGTGTTGTATATTCTGTAGGTTTTGACAAATATATAATGACATGGATCCATCACTATAGTATCATACAGAGTAGCTTTACTGCCCTAAAAATCCTTTATGTTCTGCTTATTCTTACCCCCACCCCAGCCCCTGACAACTACAGACTTTTTCTCTCTCCATAGTTTTTGCCTTTTTGAGAATATCATATAATTGGAATCATACACCATATAGCCTTTTTAGATTGGCTTCTTTTGCTTAGTAATATGCATATACGATATTGTGTTTGTTTAATAAATCTTATTGTAATAATCATCTTGGCCGGGCATGGTGGCTCATGCCTGTAATGCCAGCACTTTGGGAGGCTGAGGCGGGCGGATCACGAGGTCAGGAGATCAAGACCATCCTGGCTAACACGGTGAAACCCCATCTCTACTAAATATAGAAAAAATTAGCCGGTCGTGGTGGCCGGCGCCTGTAGTCCCAGCTACTCGGGAGGCTGAGGCAGGAGAATGGCGTGAACCCAGGAGGCGGAGCTTGCAGTGAGCCAAGATCGCGCCACTGCGCTCCAGCCTGGGCGACAGAGCAAGACTCCGTCTCAAAAAAAAAAAAAAAAATCTTGATTCTTGACAGATAATTGTGATTTTCTCTTTATAACCCAGGAGCTTAAAACTAACACATTACCACATTGTTTCAGCAAAGGTGAAAACCAGCAACCCCTAGGGCATGACTTTCAAACTCAAATTCCTGTAGAGGCTTTATAGGAGAAGGATAAAGTAGGACGAACCGTGACAAACGAGAGGTCACATTCCTCATTTAGACGGAATGGAACTAACCACTCTGCTGTGGGAATGCAGACCCAGGGTTGCCAGATTTTAGGATTTTTCAAGACCACTATCTTTCTTAAAATGTGAAATTTGACTTTTAAATGCTAGAAGCCAATACTAAAATTTTAAAACACATATATACTGGCCAATTGTACCCTCACCCACATCCTCAGTTGTCAAGCTTTGCTGTAGAGATTTGCCCATTGTTTTGTCTACTGGATGATAGATATCTTTCCTTTCTGCAGGGGATAGTAGGGAACAGCGGGGAGTGCGGAATAGTTGTATAGTCTTCTAAAGCTCTAACTGACCATCACAATATAATTGCAGTATTACAAATTGTACAATATTGTATTTACATAAATACAAAATATGTTAGAAATTCAGCAGTGGAGGATTATATACCAATTTCCGTGACACTAATGTTAATAAGTTCTGATAACCTCTCAGACCAGCCAGAAAACTCTTCTTGATTCTTCTGTAAGCACAGACTAGGAAGTGACATATAAAATATCAAACCTTTTTTGAGATGTAGTTTTCTTTGGATAAGTAGAATGTTCATTTTTCGTAAAGCATTGGCCCTTCTCATACATTTTGTTGTTGTTGCCCAGAATAAAGAAGATAGTGAAAAGGACGAAAAGAGAGATGAGGAGAGGCAGAAGTCAAAACGGGGACGACCTCCTTTAAAATCAACCCTCTCATCAAACATGCCGTATGGCTTATCTAAGACAGCAAACAGTGAAGGAAAATCAGGTACCAGAAGTGCTCGCAGCAATATACCAGACAGCTCACCTCTGTCAAATGGAATGGAAGGTGCTCAATTTTGAGGATGGCTGACTTTAAAAAAAATCAATAACATAAATAATAAAACTTCCATTGTGTGAAATATTCACAGTACAGGTTGAGTATCCCTTGCCCAAAATGCTTGGGACTAGAAGTGTTTTTGGTTTTTGATTTTTTTTTTTTAATATTGCATATACATAATGAGATATCCTAGGGATAGGACCCAAGTCTAAACATGAAAATTAGTGTTTCTTATACACATAGCCTGAAAGTAATTTTATACCATATTTTTAATAGTTTTGTTCATGAAATAAAGATTGTGTTATTTGAACCATCAGAAATCACAGGTATAATTGTCTCAGCCACCCATGTGAACAGTCTGTGATTGTTTGGCATCACTGTTATTCTTGACTCTGAATTTATATGCCAGCTACTGATAAGCAATTTTCTTACACTTATTCACACATAATTACATAACAGTAAAACATATGACTTACAATTAATACAGTGGAAAAATTGTGTGGGGAAACTAAGCAGCAAGGTAGCATCACTAGAATACCTGTATCAGCTGCTAAACAACAGCAAAAACAAACAGCAGGCTTTCAGTCTCCACCTACGATGCTGTGTTTTCATTAAAAGGTTACCCGTACACTAGCTTGGGGTTGCTGAAGAAACTGTTGTGCACCTGTGTTTGGATGCAATGTGTCCCATGAGGTCAGGTCTGGAATTTTTTACTTGTGGTGTCATGTTGGTGCCCAAAAAGTTGTGGAATTTGCAGCATTTTGGATTTCAGGTTTTTGGACTAGGGGTGTTCAACCTGTAAATCACCTAGGATTTTAATCTCATATGATTTAAACTATAAAATTTGATTTGAAGAAAATATTTTGCTGTATCATTTTTATCTAAAATTTAGTGATGTTTTCATTTAGGAATACTTTTTCTCATAAGTATCTTGAAAATAATATATTTTAATAGAAGGTGAATTGACAATCCATGCATCCTAATGTGTGCTACACTTTCCCTCAAAGCCTGTACCAGTGTATCCTATAAATTCAATGCTGTTCATCTGGGATCTTTCAGCAAAGCTGAGACCATGTGGTTCTAAGAGAACACAGACTACTGTGGTGCAGGCATGTTTTATAATGAGTATAGGTGAACATATTTTATTCTGCTTGTACTCGTTTCCCCCACTTTTCTACCTCTGTATACTTTTAAATGTAATTAAGAAATTTTAGGCTGAGTGCAGTGGTTCATGCCTGTAATCCCAGCACCTTGGGAGGCTGAGGCAAAAGGATCACTTGAGCCCAGGAGTTCCAGACCAGCCAGGGCAACATAGTGAGACCCCATCTTTACAAAAAAATTTAAAAATTAGCCAGGCATGGTGGTGTGCACCTGTGGTCCCAGCTACTCAGGAGGCTGAGGTGGGAGGATTGCTTGAGTCTGGGAGGTCAAGGCTGCAGCAAGTGTAATCACATCACTGCACTCCAGCCTGGGTAGCAGAGCAAGACCCCACCTCACTCTGTTGCCCAGGCTGGAGTATAGTGGCGCAATCTCAGCTCCCTGCAACCTCCACCTCCTGGGTTCAAGCAGTTTTCCCACCTCAGTCTCCCAAGTAGCTGGGACCACAGGTGTGCACCACCATACCTGGCTAATTTTTGTATTTTTAGCAGCAATAGGGTTTTACTATGTTAGCCACGCTGGTCTCGCACTCTTGACCTCAAGTGATGTACCCGCCTCAGCGTCCTGAAGTGCTGGAATTACAGGTGTGAGCCACTGTGCCCGGCCACCAAAAAAGAAATTTTAAATGGTTGTCTTATATAAAAATTTCTCTTCTTTCAAGAAAAAAGCTATACTGAACTACATGTTTGCTATTAGTCCATATGGTGCTTGTGTGCAAATTATAAAAGGACATCCTTCCTCTTTACTGCCATCTGCTGACAAATGTTTAAGATGTCCACAAAGTGAAAGGTACCCTCTTAGAAGGCATACCTGTGTGCAGTGTCCAGTCTATACAACTACATACCAGCCTTATTAAACTACCACTGAAAGGGATTTTTTAAAACATGAAAATGAATTCTACATTCTGTTTATGATAAAACCACAAAATAAAACTGTATACACCTTTTCACTAAAAAATTCATGTTTGCAGTTTTGAACTTCTTGAGGATTTGAGCACCATGTGGACAATATTTTTATATTTTTTAGATCCTATACAGTCTTAGAACCCTACTTTACTATTTTACAAGTTCCCTTACAGGGAACAATTTTTGTTTCCTGTACTTTCTTGTCTGTTAAGAATATTTAAAGTTTTGAGGATTCCAATTGCCCATTTTAAAAACTTTTCTTGCTGGGCACGGTGGCTCATGCCTATAATCCCAGCACTTTGGGAGGCTGAGGTGGGCGGATCACTTGAGGTCAGGAGTTTGAGACCAGCCTGGCCAACATAGCAAAACCCCATCTCTACTAAAATACAAAAATTAGCCGGGCGTGGTGGCCTGCGCCTATCCCAGCTCCTCAGGAGGCTGAGGCAGGAGAAATGCTTGAATCCAGGAGGCGGAGCTTGCAGTGAGCTGAGATCACGCCACTGCACTCTAGCCTGGGCAACCAAGTGAGACTATGTCTCAAAAAAAAAAGAAAAGAAAAGAAAAAACCTTTTCTTTCCACAGTTATTTTAAGTAGAATGTCATATTCCTTTCTTAGGGTACAAAATGCCCATCATCTGTCCTTCCTAGATACTATCTCAAACCACTTAACAAATTAACTTCATGTCTAGGATGTCTAGGTACTAATCTTTTGATCTTTTTTAAGGACTATTGTACCTAAATATGATACTGGGGAATGTTGCAAAATAGCTTTTCATATAGATTTGAGTTAGTAATATGCAACGTAATATATTTTTGCTTGGAGCTTAGTTTCCCCTCCCCCTCAAATTCTTGGCACAAATGTTATGATTTGTTTTATTTCAGAAATTTCTACAGGGAGGTATTCAGAGGTACATGATTAAAGATTTTTATTGTTATTTTTGGTAAGATTTTTATTGTAAAATTACATTGGTAATATAAAAACCTGTATAATATAATAATATTTCCTCTTACAGACTCTTGTTCATCTGATAGTGAAACAGAAGATGCTTTAGAAAAGAATTTAATAAATGAAGAACTTTCTCTTAAAGATGAACTAGAAAAAAATGAAAATTTGAATGATGATAAGCTAGATGAAGAAAATCCAAAGATTTCTGCACATATATTAAAAGAAAATGATAGGACTCAAATGCAGCCTTTAGAAACCCTGAAGTTAGAAGTTGGAGAGAATGAACAAATAGTACAGATTTTTGGGAACAAAATGGAAAAAACAGAAGAAGTTAAGAAAGAAGCCGAAAAATCTCCAAAAGGAAAGGGAAGACGAAGCAAGACAAAAGATCTTTCTTTAGAAATTATAAAGATTTCATCATTTGGCCAGAATGAAGCAGGAAGTGAACCTCATATAGAAGCTCATAGTCTTGAATTGTCTTCATTAGACAATAAAAACTTTTCTTCTGCTACAGAAGATGAAATTGACCAATGTGTGAAAGAAAAGAAGTTGAAACGGAAAATACTAGGACAATCATCGCCAGAGAAAAAAATAAGAATTGAGAATGGAATGGAAATGACAAATACTGTATCTCAAGAAAGGACCAGTGATTGTATTGGATCTGAGGGAATGAAAAACTTAAATTTTGAACAGCACTTTGAAAGAGAAAATGAAGGAATGCCATCATTGATAGCAGAGTCAAACCAATGCATCCAACAACTGACTAGTGAAAGATTTGATAGTCCAGCTGAAGAAACTGTAAATATTCCACTAAAAGAAGATGAGGATGCAATGCCTCTGATCGGGCCTGAAACCTTGGTTTGCCATGAAGTAGATTTGGATGATTTGGATGAAAAGGATAAGACCAGCATTGAGGATGTAGCAGTTGAAAGCTCTGAGTCTAACTCTCTTGTTTCTATTCCACCTGCCCTACCTCCTGTAGTCCAACATAACTTTTCAGTAGCTTCACCACTTACTCTTAGTCAAGATGAGTCTCGAAGCGTAAAAAGTGAGAGTGATATAACGATTGAAGTTGATAGTATTGCTGAAGAATCTCAAGAAGGTCTCTGTGAGAGGGAATCGGCAAATGGATTTGAAACTAATGTTGCCTCTGGTACCTGTAGTATAATTGTACAAGAGAGAGAGAGCAGAGAGAAGGGTAAGGACTTTCTAGGGAAAAGTAAGTGTTTATATGAAACCAAAAATCAAAACTGTTGAGTTTCAGGTACTGTTGATCTGTAAAGTACTTTCTTTTTCTTTTCTCTCTTCTTTTCTTATTAAAAAGAAAGAAATGTCAGTGTAGTCTGTTGAATAATATACTTGCTCTTTTTTTTTTTTTTTTTTTTTTCAACATTCTCTCTTTCCCCTTATTTCAGGTCAGAAGAGGCCAAGTGATGGAAATAGTGGATTAATGGCAAAAAAGCAAAAGCGTACCCCAAAGCGAACAAGTGCTGCAGCCAAAAATGAAAAGAATGGAACAGGTTGGTGTCTTTCAATGCTAGCTTTTGTATAGTGTTAGTATTTTTAGCAGTTTGTTGGCTTGTTTTAAACATAAATGGAGCAATACTATATTGTTTTATAACTGCATTTTCATTTAACAGTATTATACTAGATATTTTGCCATTTTTATTCTTAGGAACTCTAGCTCATTCTTTTTAACAACTTTAGGAAAGTATTCAATAGTTTATCATTTTTAACCATTTCCCCGTTGGTGAGCATTTAGGTTTTTTTGTTTTTTTGTTGTTTTTATATTGTTATAAACTTTGTGCATTTGTGCACTTATTTCTGTAGGATACCAAGAAATGTAATTGTTAGGTCTGTTGCATTTTGATATTTAAGAATTTTATTTATAATCTGAGTCAATCTTTTTTATTATTTATAGGACAAAGCAGTGATAGTGAAGATCTTCCTGTCCTAGACAATTCAAGTAAATGTACCCCAGTAAAGCATCTTAATGTATCTAAGCCACAGAAACTTGCACGATCTCCTGCAAGAATATCCCCGCACATCAAAGATGGAGAGAAAGATAAACACAGAGAAAAACATCCGAATTCATCCCCTAGGACATATAAATGGAGCTTTCAGCTCAGTAAGAAGCTTATAGAAAACTTGATAGATGAATACTGTAAAGTGGAATAGATCTTAAAATATCAACTTGGATTAATGTTAATAAAATAAGGAATAATGATTAACTATTTAGATATTCCAAATATTGCCTTAGCAAGAATCACCACATGTTGTCTTAAGTATAAATCTGTGTCTTTTCATAAAACTGACTTGATAAATATTGACTTACAGGAAGGTCTCCATTAAGAAGCCATGTATGATTTATATAAATCAGTGAAATTGAAGTGCCCTTTGTAGCACTAACAATTAGAAATAGCCAGTAGTTATTTCTATTATGTAACTAGTAGTAGTGAAGAAAATGTCAATACAGGGAAACTATTCTGATAACTATAATTATAGATAGGTCAGGGTTAGTTTGTGTTGATGTTTTCTTATGTTTTTCTGATCATTTAAGTAATAAATGTTTAGTATAGAAAATTTGGGATCTAAAAATAATTCTTAATCATGAATTTAATTCACGACTTCCTTGTTTTCAGTCTTATTCAGCTTACTGTAGGAGATTTTAATAAACTAAAGCTTTTGTTGATTTATGAGTTAGACGTTTGATAGAATTGTCATCATTTTTCTCACAGAATTATTTTAAAATCCAAATTAACTTCTTTCCCCCCTTTTAGATGAATTAGATAATATGAACAGTACAGAGAGAATCTCATTTCTCCAAGAAAAACTACAGGAAATCAGAAAATATTATATGTCTTTGAAGTCTGAAGTTGCAACCATAGACAGGAGGAGAAAAAGATTAAAAAAGAAAGACAGGGAAGGTAATTTTATTATGATTTTTCTCCCCTTATATTTCAAAACTATATCCTATCATTTTAGAAGATTTAAATTTGATACTCTTTGAATATAGTACACATTCATTAATTGCTGTTTTTAAATTCCTAGTGTTTTCTATTGTTGAAATGAGTAGGTCAGCAACTGAGTTAATCAGAATGACACCCTTAAAAGGGAGTATGAACTGTTTTCCAAAATGGGTGATTGTACTAAATGTGATGGATTCTCAGGTAGAGCATAGTCCTTCTGAAATTCACTCTTTGCTCAAACATTTATTGGCATCTATTAACAGGCACTGTATTTGTTATGGGGTTCACCAAAATGAATGAGACATAAGGCTTATTCTCAAGGAGATTATCTTGTTGGGATTATAAATCATTTCCTAAGCAACTAAAATATAAGATAGTGCAGCTCAGCAACTTTAAAGAGCACATGCCATGTGCCAGGCACTCTGCCAGGTGGCGGAAGTACAGAAATGAGTTAGATACAGACTTTCTTCTCAAAGATCTTAACATCTAGTGGAACAGTGTGTACCCTGAGAATGATATTAACGAGTACAAGAGTTAGTGGAAGGAGAGGTTACTTTGGAGTAGTCAGAGAGAGGGAGTAGTGTCTGAGCTAGCCCTTCGGGGGTTGTAGGATTGACTTCCAGTTAAACATGAACATGTCCATCTACAGTCCATCCCTAAGCCCTGCTAAAATAACAGTAAAGGAAATTAAAAGCCCTAAACTCAAAAGGACAAGAGAATGACCACAACAGACAAGAAATGTCAACAGTATATCTTTTGGAAGCTGCATAACAGATGGACTACTGTAACTGTCCCAGCAGATGAGATAATGCTGAAACTAAGCTTGCTTGTCCTTGTAGTGGGACAAAACAACAAGAAGCAAGCCAATTAATACCATGTAACCCCAGAAAAGCTTTCAGAAGGGATATGGGACGATGCTGAAAAATGGGATTGGTTGAAAATGGAAAGAGAAATTGGATCTCTTCTTCCCATCTGTGAAGCAAGTCTACCTCACCCCCAACTCAAGCAGAAAATAGATTAACTTAAAAGAGAATGAGGAAATCAGTAGGCCTGTAGACTTGGGGGCACCAGCCACAGCTGAGGGTAATGATTAAGTGCTAAACCAAAATAATGGATGGAGTGAAAGTTTGCATACTGAATAGTTAGATTGCTGTCCCTCTTCTAACTCAAGGCCTAATCCTCTTGGCTTCCTGAAAGCTGGCAGCCAAGCTTATGCTTATTCCTGGGAGGAGATTGGAAGATTCTTCTAAAGAAAATGACCAGCCCAAGAAAAATTACCTACTATTTGGATGTTCCTGAAACAAAAATCAAGATCCTTGCCAATCACTACATGTGCATTTTCTGTATTTAAAAGCCCTGATGCTCATATACAGCTTTCAGTCAGCTTTTTAATGTTAAATATGGAAGCCACATGACCAGACATTTGAGGAAAGCCCCTACATAAAGGCAGAAGCCAAAGTAGAAAAAGGAGAATAAAAAGGAACTGGAAGAAAAAAAACAGATAATGTACCATATTAAAAAAAAAATAGGACAAAACTATTCTTAATAGTTAATCCAAGTTGAGTATCCTTTATTTGAAATGCTTGGGTCTAGAAGTGTTTGGGTTTTTTATTTTTTTCAGATTTTGGAATATTTGTACATAATGAAATATCTTGGTGATGGGACCCAAGTCTAAACACAAAATTCATTTATGTTTCATAGACACTTTATACACATAGCCTGAAGGTAATTTTATATAAATAATTTTGTGCATGAAACAAAGTTTGTGGTAAGTGCTTATGTGTGGAATTTTCCACTTGTGGCACCACGTTGGTGCTCAAAAGTTTCAGATTTTGGATTTTTGGATTAGGGATGTTCAATTTGTATCCAGAGATAAAGGGAAAGAGATTGCCACCTTGAAACAAAAGCATAATAACTATTTTAAAAATTCAGAGAACAAGAAGGATATCTTTAAAATATGATAGCAGGAATTTAAAAAAAATAATAAGGCAGTGAAGCTGAAGAAATTCCACTAGAGGGTCAAAAAGACAATAGGAGAGAAGAAATAAGAGAAATATGGAATCTGGCGAGGAGATCCAACTTCTGAATCATAGGATTTCTAGAAGGAGAGTTGAATAAACAAGAGGAAGTTGTCATCAAAGATATTTTTAAAATTCTAGAACTGAAGGATATGAGTTAGAAAAGGACTCACTGTGCCCTCTATAAATAATGGGGGTGAAAATCACCAAAGCATATGAAATTTCAGAATCCTGTGGATAAAGAGTAGATTCTAGGCCTGGCACAGCGGCTCACGCCTGTAATCCCAGCATTTTGGGAGGCAGAGGCAGGCAGATCACTGGAGGCCAGGAGTTTAAGACCAACCTGGCCAACATGACAAAACCCTGTCTCTACTAAAACTACAAAAGTCAGCTGCGCATGGTGGCAGATGCCTGTAATCCCAGCCACTCAGGAGGCTGAGGCTTGAGGATCACTTGAACCCGGAAGTGAGCACCGAGATCGCGCCAGTGCACTCCAGCCTGGGTGACAGAGTGAGAGTCTGTCTCAAAAAAAAAAAAAAAAAAGTAGATTCTAAAAATTTACCATATAAAGATACATATATAAAAAGAAATGGATCTCAGAACAGCATCAAGAGTCTTACATCCGATTTCTCAATGGTAGTACTAGAAACTAGAAGCCAAGCTAAGAAGACATGGGACTGGCAAACAAGGAATCCTACATAGGAAAATAGTGAAGGAATATCTGAAGGTGATGGTGAATGGAAGCTCTAGGATGACCACTGCATAGCAGACCTAGAAAGCAACTATTCCAGGAGTAGGATGGAACAGGAGGGGAAAGCTCCAGAAGGGATGTCTCTTAAAAACCAAATAAAAGGTAAATTACCTGATAGGGTTGATCATGTTGAGAGAAGTTTTCTGCCTCTAGTAGAGATTTAGTGGATGACTTTGTGGTAGAGTGACGTGTCATGTGTGGCCTTGACCATTGTGCTCCAAGTCCAGCAGTTTTTAATTCCTAGAAATAGGAACAGGATGGAGCAAATGGAAAGAGATCAGACTTCTCATGTTCATCCTTTTCTTTTAAAAACTGTAAATAGCAAGAAGTCTTTACAGAACTTTTGAATATCAAAAGAAGAAAAGAACAAATTAGCAAATTAAAATTTCTTCAAAGAACCCACCACTTGCTCTGGGGTCAGTTTCCTAAAGGTGACATACATTTCAGACAATTAAAAAGATTTTCTTTTTGTTGAGACAGAGTTTCACTCTTGTTGCCCAGGCTGGAGTGCAATGGCACAGTCTTGGCTCACTGCAGCCTCCGCCTCCCGGGTTCAAGCCATTTTCCTGCCTCAGCCTCCCGGGTAGCTGGGATTACAGGTGCCCGCCACCATGCCTGGCTAATTTTTGTATTTTTAGTAGAGATAGGGTTTCACCATGTTGACCAGGCTGGTCTCCAACTCCTGATCCCAAGTAATCTGCCCACCTCGTCCTCCCAAAGTGCTGGAATTACAGGCATGAGCCACAGCGCCCAGCCAAAAAGATTTTTTTATTACCGTCTTTTTTGTTGTTGGGGGGTACAGGCTCTGGCACCCAGACTGGAGTGCAGTGGCATGATCACGGCTTACTGCAGCCTCAGACTCTTGGGCTCAAGCGACTCCCACCTCAGCCTCCCGAGTAGCTGGTACCACAGTGCCTGCCACCACACCCAGCTAATTTTTTAGTTTTTTTTGTAGAGGCATATTCTCACTATGTGGCTCAGGCTGGTCTGGAACCCCTGTTCTAAAGCAATCCTTTTGCTTTGGCCTCCCAAAGTGCTGAGATTATAGGCATGAGCCAACATGCCCAGCTTATTATAGTCTTTTCCCCATTTTTATTTGCTTATGTTTTTATAATGAGTTATTAAATTGAGATTTGAGTGATTTGTAGCATACATGTAAGAATTTGTTGCCTGGGCATGGGGCTCACGCTTATAATTCCAGCACTTTGGGAGGCTGGAGCAGGAAGATCACTTGAGTCCAGGTGTTTGAGACCAGCCTGGGCAACGTAGTGAAATCCCATCTCTACAAAAAATTTAAAAATTAGCTGGGTACAGTGGCATGTCTTAGCTACTTGGAAGGCTGAGGCAGGAGGGTCGCTTGAGCCCCAGAGGTTGTCATGATACTTGAATAAACAAAAATTAAAATTTTAAATAAAATAGGAACAATCAGGCAAAGAAAGGCAGAAGACAAGAGTATTGCAAGGAAAGAGAAGATAAAAGCAAAGAACTTAAAAAGTGGCAAAACACCTAATGCTCAGAGTACCGATCCCTAATCTGTGTTATGTCCTCCTGGAGAAAATTATGTTAAAACCATTTGAGGACTTTTTGCTTATCACACATCATTACTTTGATCCTGATCTCCATGATTCTGATACCTGTCAGAGGAAATCCTCTGAGTTAAATTAATTCTCTTACGGTCCTATGACCCATAGATAAAGCAGAAATTCCATATGGTTCCATGTTTATCTCAGGTTGACCTTGTTTCTGATTGAGCCAAGTTCCTTCATGGGATCTCCCAACTAGAGGTTTAAGAGTTTTTGTCTCTTTAATCTTTACATTTTATGATGTATTTTTAAGTGTTGAGTAGTGCTTAACTGACCAAAGACTAACTCCACTTAATTGAGCCAAACAAAATTTTTGCTGACAATTTGTTACTCCTTCATGTGACATATAAGAGGCCTGTGATTAAGGTGAATAATGTTAAGAATTTTATTTCTAATTTGCTGTTAGCTGGGTATCTTTGTGTAACAGTTTTTGGATCTAACATAGTTGTTTTGATTCCACAGTGTCTCATGCGGGAGCCTCCATGTCATCTGCTTCATCAGACACTGGAATGAGTCCCTCATCATCATCTCCCCCACAAAATGTACTTGCTGTAGAATGCAGGTGATAAACATTTTCTCTACCTTCCCAGCAGTTTGCTGCCATGGACATAAATCCCCAAACCCTGAATTACAACCACAGAAAGCACTCAACTGGTTTGACATTGCTAAGTATATCCTGTATACTTTTCCAGGCTGGATTGTATCTATTCCCCTCTCTCTTCTTTTTTCTTGTTGCAAAAAATAAGCTGATTAATAAGTGAAGGTTAAGCAGCCTGCCATATTTGTCATAATTTTTCCTCTTTACTTTTGTTTTTCGTTTGTTGTGATATAGAACAAAGGGCACTTAGCAAATTTGAATTTGTATAATAAAGCTTTCAGGTGTTACAGAAATCGTAGACAAGCAAGTGCACATGATAAACATCAAAATATTACCCAGCTGAATAGTTACTGCTGCACTTTCACTAAGATGTATTTGAACACTTGGTGAGTAGGGGGTTTATGTTGTGTTTTTTTTCATTATCGTTTTTTTTATTTTTGTGGAAGCACTTGCTATTTAGAACTGCCAAAGTATATGTTCAGCAGTGTGCCCAGGATTGAAGGTGTAAATGGGACAAAATAAATTGTGAAAGGAAGTGTAGTTGACTGAAAACTACAGTTGTAATAAGTCTTCCACTTTTTATAGGATTTTTGAGCACAAAATTATGCAAATATTTTAATGTTTATTAATGTTTACAGTGGAATTGTGAATAAGTTTTCAGTGGACTATCTTATCCCTTGACAAAAATATTTTGTCTTTTTTCTATGTAATTTCAGAGTTTTTATTTTGTTACAAAAAGACAAAAATGAAATATATAACAACAATGAAGTTATTTAACAAGATTTCTAAAGCTGAAATTTTTGTGTAAAATAAGGTATTATCTTGCAACTTGTTAAATATATTTATTCAGACATTGGATGTTGTATTTTTATGTATTTTTTAAAATATTAATAAAATTTAAAAAAAGAAAATTCTAGGTTAATTCACTCTTTGGATGACAATAGCTCTCAGCTGTCCTTTTTACAGGAGGTTGCATCCTGCAGCCTTGCCTGTGTTAAAGGGAGTCTGTCTCAGTCCATCAAACAGTATAGAACTATAAATGGGCATCTGGATCATTAAAGTATGTCCTTGTTTAGAAACTTTGGCAGTCCTAGTATTTAAACTGTTTTGAGGATCAAATTTTTGGTTGCCCTTAAGATACTTTGTCACAGTTTTTATGTTTGCTATACTGCCGAATGAATTTATATCTCCCAAAGTTGAGATGCAACAACTAAGTAAAGCAACTATGTATGCTTTGTCTGTGAATTGTTCCACAGACTGATAGATTTTGTAAATAATTCTTCCAAAATCATGTATTTAAAGCAGTTTTGCATATACATTATGTAAAAAGGTGATTTTATAAAAGCAGTTTTTAAATTCATGTTTGTACATTGAAAGGGGTTTTTTTTTTAAACCTCCTTTTCTGTGTTTAATATGCTGTAGAATAATAACCTAGATGCTCTAGACTGTATATCAGGATCTGATTTACAAGAAAAAGTCAGAGCTAAACACTAGTGATGGCATAGCATTACTGAAATCATTGTTTCTTAATTTCATTTTACTACATTGTGAACTTGTGATTCAGATTCCATTTTCTCAGAGAATTAAAAACAAAAAAAGTACTCTTGTAAAATGCACTTTTCTGTCTTTTCTTTGCAAAGCAGAAGTATCTCAATGTAAAATAAAAATGGAGCTCAGTGGGCAGTATTAATAAAGGCCATGTTTTAAACATAGGCTTTATACTTTTAGTTTTCATTTAAGTGATTGCTTTTTTCCTAAGTGCTTGTAACTTACAGTTGGAAAATCAGATTTCACAAAACCAAGCATTTTAGTATATTCAGCCTTTACAATAAAATATTTCTACTAATTATAAAAATGAAAAAAAAAGTGTCATTTAAATCCATTTGGACCTAGGAGGCAACCTTAGATTTATACATTAAATATTTTAATGATTTCCTTCTGTAGCAATTCAATAAATGTGAGATAAATAAGTTATCAGCTTGAGTACTGTCCCTTCTAATTGATACAAATTTGGTCATGAAGTATTGGGATGTTGCTACAAAGAGCAAAACTGTGTATTCATTGAATAGATACACACTGTTAAAATCCTTTCATTTGGAGGCTGGAAAGGATTATGAAATTAAGTGAATATTGACTAAGTATGACATTTCAAATATTGAGCATATTTTGAGTTTAGGTAAACTTTGAATAGATACCTCTTAAATGTAACTAAGAAAGTAAAAATATAGGCTGGGTGCGGTGGCTCATACCTGTAATCCCAGCATCTTGGGAGGCAGAGGCAGGCGGATCACAAGGTTAAGAGATTGAGACCATCCTGACCAATATGGTGAAACCCCATCTCTGCTAAAAATACAAAAATTAGCTGGGCGTGGTGGCACGTGCTTATAGTCCCAGCTACTCAGGAGGCTGAGGCAGGAGAATCACTTGAACCCGGGAGACAGAGGTTGCAGTGAGCCCAGATCACACCACTGCACTTCAACCTGATGACAGAGCAAGACTCTGTCTAAAAAAAAAAAAAAAAAAAAAAAAAGTAAAAATATAAAGACACTCTAATATAATGCAAGTTGCCATCTGTAAAATCAAGTTATTTAAAAGATTATGGTGCTTTCTGTTTTAGTATTGCATTGTGTGCTTTTATGTATTTCAATTTTTGAAACAGGGTCTTGCTCTGTCACCTAGGCTGGAGTGTAGTGGTGTGAACACAGCTCACTTCAGCCTTGACCTCGTGGGCTCAAGCCATCCTCCCACCTCAGCCTCTTGAGTAGCTGGGACTACAGGCATGTGCCACCACACCTGGCTAATTTTTAAATTTTTTGTAGAGACAGGGTCTTGCTGTGTTGCCCAGGCTGGTCTTGAACTCCTGGGCTCAAGCGATCCTTCTGCCTCGGCCTCCCAAAGTGCAAGGATTATAGGTGTGAGTCATTGTGCCCAGCTGGACATTGTGTGCTTTTATTGTTTGTTATTTTGTGTTAAATTTCTAGTTTTCCTCTCTTTCACTAAGAAAGATGGTTGCACTTAGCATATTAAAAGACTACTACATACTATGCCTTCTATGAAATTGCTTTAAGTTATGAAAATCTATGTGGATTGCCCAGTTAATTTGCTTACATACCTTTCTTATAAGCCCTGTAATTTTTTTTTTTTTTTTTTTTTTTTTTTTTTTTTTTTTTTTTTTGACGGAGTCTTGCTCTGTTGCCCAGGCTGGAATGTAGTGGCGCGATCTCCACTCATTGCAAGCTCCGCCTCCCGGGTTCATGCCATTTTCCTGCTTCAGCCTCCTGAGTAGCTGGGACTACAGGCACCCACCACCACGCCCGGCTAATTTTTTGTATTTTTAGTAGAGACGGGGTTTCACCGTGTTAGCCAGGATGTTCTCAATCTCCTGACCTTGTGATCCGCCCGCCTCAGCCTCCCAAAGTGCTGGGATTACAGGCGTGAGCCACCGCGCCCAGCCTTAAGCCCTGTAATTTAACATAGCTATCAAGAGTGTGAAAGCATTCAAAGCTATATTCAACCATATATAAAACCAATTAACAGAATTCATTCATTGATGATTTATTTAGTATCTTCTATGTGCCAGGCATAAGCTTAAGGCCCAGGAGCCACAACGGTGAACAAGACAGAATAAAGTCCTTCTCTTCATGGAATGTATAATCACGGTGTAATAATATGGTAGATGTAAACAGTTAACTCATGTAATTATTATTTTTTTATTACAGTCTCTGCTTATCCAAACTCATGTAATTCTTAAGTGCAGGTATAATAAGCATATGAAGTTATGGTGTGCAATGAGATAATGATAGAGAGCCCACTAGTTTGAAGGCAGGGGTGGTATGGGAAGGCTTTGCAGAGAAAGCAACAAGAAAACTGAACTCCAGTGAAGATTATGAATTGGCTGGGGAAGTAGAAGGAGAGATATGGAGAGTATAGTGTTCCAGGGACATGGGGGAGGGGAGATTGATAGAAATGGTCCAGGTAATGAGCCAGGGCAAGAGTAGACCTGATGCAGGATAGGAGTCAAGTAGGACTGAGAGTGGTAGGGGAACAGGAGCAAAAAGGACAGGTGGTCAAGGTTTGAGCAGTTCCCTACCACTCTCAACCCTGCTTGTCCAGAGGTGTCTCAAGAGCCACTTTTCCATGAAGCTTTTGCTGACTTCTCACTACAACCAGAATAGTGCCCTCTTTTATGCTCTGATAGCTTTTCAGTCTGTATTATTTTACTTGACAATTTACCTGATGTTTACTTGTGCATGTGTGTTTCTATCCTACTAGATGATTGAGTTCTTAAAGCCAGACATTTGTTTGTTTGTTTTGTTTTTTAGTAGAGACAGGGTTTCACCACATTGGCCAGGCTGGTTTCAAACTCTTGACCTCAAGTGATCCACCCGCCTTGGCCACCCAAGTGCTGGGATTACAGGTGTGAGCCACGGCGCCTGGCCTAAAGCCAGACATTTAAAAGAGGTCTTTAGGGTTATTATTATTATTATTTTGAGACAGGGTCTTACGTTTGACTACTGTCACCCAGGCTTGAGTGCAGGGGTGCAATCATGGCTCATTGCAGCCTCTATTTCCCTGGCTCAGGTGATTCTCCCACCTCAGCCTTCCAAGTAGCTGGAACTACAGGTGTTCATCACTTTGCCTGGTTAATTTTTTTATATTTTTAGTAGAGACAGGGTTTCACCATGTTCCCCAGGCTAGTCTTCAAATTCCTGGGCTCAAGCGATCCACCTGCCTCGGCCTTCTAGAGTGCTGGGATTACAGGCGTGAGCCATTGTGCCAGCCAAGGTTCTTTTCACAAAGTAATTAAAAAAAAATCATTTGAAAAGTGTTAAAGCAGATTTGTTTAACAGTCTGATCTGAAAATATTCCTAAATTGATGAGCTATTTTTCCTTCTCTCCTTGTTTGTTCTTCCTTTTCCCATTACTTTCATGTGGTTACACACAGATTTTTATCACATTAAAGGAAGAGTACAATAAGTGATGACATCCATCATTAGTGAAGGTTGGTTGACTCTTAGAATGGAGTTTGCTCTAATGAGGAATTTGTAACAAATACATGCTTAATGTTTTCACAGAGTAGAAATTTTTTTAGTTCTTTAAATTTTATTACAAAATCAAATGTTTTCCATGTTGACAAGCACAAAAAAAACTTCTTTTATTCATATAGATCCATTATGTATCTCTTTAAACAGAATAAGGGCAGTGCTTATAATTTTGGTATTTGTACTTCACATAATTATGAAGCTATCTTCACTTTGTAATCTGTGTCATGCAGAATTCATGTTGAAAAGTTCTATTGTGAAAAGCTTAAGGAACTTCCACATAGATACAATAAATGATTACTCTGTACAAGTAATTGGATTTCTTCTCGAGGCTAAATTACATTAAACAAGACAATCTGATTCAAGAATCCCATCATTTTAGGGTTGCCAGAGTGAGCAAATAAAAATACAGGATACCCAGTTAAATGTGAATTTCAGACAACAGATAATTTCCTCATATAAGGATGTCCCATGTAAAATGGTTATTTATTAAAACACACTTAGGCTGTGCACGGTGGCTCATGCCTGTAATCCCAGCACTTTGGGAGGCTGAGGTGGGTGGATCACCTGAGGTCAGCAGTTCAAGACCAGCCTGGCCAACGTGGTGAAACCTCATCTCTACAGAAAATACGAAAATTAGTGGGATGTGGTGGTGCATGCCTGTATTCCCAGTTACTTAAGAGGCTGAGGCAGGAGAATTGCTTGAACCTGGGATGCGGAGGTTGCAGTGAGCTAAGATTGTGCCACTGCACTCCAGCCTGGACAATACAGCAAGACTCCATCTCAAAAAAAACAAAAGGCCCAGCGTGGTAGCTCACGCCGCTAATCCCAGCACTTTGGGAGGCCAAGGTGGGCAGACCACAAGGTCAGGAGATTTGAGACCATCCTGGCCAACATGGTGAAACCCCGTCTCTACTAAAAATACAAAAATTAGTTGGGCATGGCGGCACATGCCTGTAATCCCAGCTACTTGGGAGGCTGAGGCAGGAGAATCACTTGAACTAGGAGGTTGCAGTGAGCGGAGATCGTGCCACTGCACTCCAGCCTGGCAACAGAGCAAGACTCCGTTTCAAAAACAAACACACACAAAAACCTCAGATTTAACTGCGTATCCTGTATTTTATCTGTAAACCCTATACTAGTTGCCCTTCTGCTATAACACAAAACATATATTTATTATCCTTAAAGAACTTTTTTGGTCCCAGTTGGAGGGTAACAAATTGCTCAGGTTTTCTCTTGGTTTCCAGGGATGAATGTGCATGGGCAGCCCATCAGTGATTTTTTTTTTCCAATAAGTTTTTGGGGGACAGGTGGTTTTTGGTTATATGAATAAGTTCTTTAGTGGTGATTTCTGAGATGTTGGTGTACCCATCACCTGAGCAGTGTACACCGTACCCATTGTGTAGTCTTTTTTCCTTCATCCCCCTCCCACCCGTTCCCCCAAGTCCCCAAAGTCCAATGTATCATATTATGCCTTTGCATCCTCATAGTTTAGTTCCCACTTACGAGTGAGAACATAGAATGTTTGGTTTTCCATTCTTGAGTTACTTCACTTAGAATAAGTCTCCAGGCCTGGTGTGGTGGTGCACGCCTGTAATCCCAGCACTTGGGGAGGGTGAGGCAGGTGGATCACCTAAGGTCAGGAGTTTGAGACCAGCCTGGCCAACATGGTGAAACCCTGTCTCTACTAAAATAAAAATTAGCTGGGTGTGGTGATGCACACCTGTAATCCTAGCTACCTGGGAGGCCCAGGGGAGAGAATCACTTGAACCCAGGAGGCGGAGGTTCCAGTGAGCCGAGATCACACCACCACACTCAAGCCTGGGCAATAGAGCAAGACTGTGTCTCCAAGAAGGAAAATAATAATGATAATAATAATAATAATAATAATAATAGTCTCCAATTCCATCTAGGTTGCTGCAAATGCCATTATTTCATTCATTTTTATGGCTGAGTAGTATTCCATGGTGTATATATATATACCACAGTTTATCCACTAATTGACTGACAGACATTTGGGCTGGTTCCATATTTTTGCAATTGTGCATTGTGCAAGTATGCACATAAACATGCGTGTGCAAGTATCTTTCATATAATGACTTCTTTTCCTCTGAGTAGATACCCAGTACTGGGATTGCTGGATCAAATGATAGTTCTACTTTTAGTTCTTTAAGGAATCTCCACACTGTTTTTCATAGTGGTTGTACTAGTTTACATTCCCATCAGCCGTTTAAGTATTCCCTGTTCACCACATCCTTGCCAACATCTTTTTTTTTTTTATTTTTTGATTATGACCATTCTTGCAGGAGTGAGGTGGTATCACATTGTGGTTTTGATTTGCATTTCCCTGAAAATCAGTGATGTTGAGTTTTTTTTTCATGTTTGTGGGATACTTGTATATCTTCTTTTGAGAACTGTCTATTCATGTCCTTAGCCCACTTTTTAATGGACTTGTTTTTTTCTAGCTGATTTTGTCTGACTTCCTTGTAGATTCCGGATATTAGTCCTTTGTTGAATGCATAGATTGAGAAGGTTTTCTCCCACTCTGTGGATTGTCTGTTTACTCTGCTGATTGTTTCTTTTCCTGTGCCGAAGCTTTTGAGTTTAATTATTAGTAAGTACCATCTGTTTGTTTTTGTTGCATTTGCTTTTGAGCTCTTGGTCTTGAAGTCTTTGCGTAAGGCACTGTCTAGAAGGGTTTTTCCGATGTTATCTTCCAGAATTTTTATGGTCTCAGGTCTTAGGTTTAAGTCTTTGATCCACCTTGAGTTGATTTTTGCATAAGGTGAACAATGAGGATCCAGTTTCATTCTTCTACATGCGGCTTGCGAATTATCCTAGCACCATTTGTTGAATGGGATGTCCTATCCCCACTTCATGTTTTTGTTTGCTTTGTCGAAGATTAGTTGGCTGTGTTTGGCCTGATTTCTAGGCTCTCTATTCTGTTCCATTGGTCTGTGTGCCTATTTTTAAACCAGTACCATGCTGTTTTGTTGATCATGGCCTTATAGTACATTTTGAAGTCAGGCAATGTGATGCCTCCAGATTTGTTCTTTTTGCTTAGTCTTGCTTTGACTATGCCAGCTCTTTTTTGGTTCCACATGAATTTTAGGATTGTTTCTTCTAGTTCTGTAAAGAATGATGGTATTTTTATGGGAATTGCATTGAATATGTAGATTGCTTTGGCAGGATGGTCAATTTCACAATATTGATTCTACCCATCTAAGAGCATGGGATGTGTTTCCATTTGTGTTGTCTATGATTTCTTTCAGCAGTGTTTTGTAGTTTTCCTTATAGAGGTCTTTCACCTCCTTGGTTAGGTTTATTCCTAAGTATTTTATTTTATTTTATTTGCAGCTATTGTAAAATGGGTTGAGTTCTTGATTTGATTCTCAGCTTGGTCGCTGTTTGTGTATAGCAGAGCTACTGATGTGTGTACATTAATTTTATATCCTGAAATTTTGCTGAATTCATTTATTCTAGGAGCTTCTGGAGAGTTTTTAGGGTTTCTAGTATACGATCATTTTATCAGCAAACAGCGACAGTCTGACTTCCTCTTTAACAATTTGGATTCCCCCATCAGTGTTTTCTTTCAATTAACCATTTCCTTGATGTAGTCATTTTCTCCAGGATTGGCCCTATATGTACTATGATAGCTAACTTTTGACAAGATAGTTCTGAATACACTCAGATTTTTCTGGGAGTGTTCTTTTGATGGGGCACCTTTCCCACCAAGTGGTAACTGCTTTCAGGAGTTCTCCTCTTTCTTCCCTATCCAGACTTGCTCTCAAATAGAAACATAAATTAAATCTCATTAAACTTATCTATGACCAGACATTTAATAATTGTGGATAAAGCCAGCATAAATATTCATATATAGCTTTTTGTGTGAACATAATGTTTTCAGTTCTCTGGACTAAATACCTAGTAGTAAGATTGCTGGATTGTTTGACTGTACCATCTTGAATTCCCCCTAGCAATATACACCATTTTAAGTGGCCATTAACAGGAGAATGGATAAATAAATTGTGGCATGTTAACAAAATGCAATACTATAAAGCAGTTAAAATGAATGGACTGCAGCTAAATGTATCAACATGGCTCAAATCTCAAAAACAAGTAGAAAAAGCAAGTTGCCAAATCATACTTATAACATTTATACAAAATTGGAATATTCAAAACAATATATTAGTTTTGTATATGTCATCATAAATGTAAGAACTTGAAGCTGGGCGCAGTGGCTTACACCTGTAATCCCAGAACTTTGAGAGGCCGAGGCGGGTGGATCACAAGGTCAGGAATTCAAGACCAGCCTGGTCAACATGGTGAAACCCTGTCTCTACTAAAAATACAAAAATTAGCCAGGTGTGGTGTTGCATGTCTGTAATCCCAGCTACTCGGGAGGCTGAGGCAGGAGAATTGCTTGAACCCGGGAGGGGGAGGTTGCAGTGAGCCGAGATCTCACCATTGCACCCCAGCCTGGCAAGAGCAAGACTCCATCTCAAAAAAACAAAAAGAAAAAATATGAGTGGGAATGAAGAACACCAAATTCAGGATAGTGGTTTTCTCTGGAAAAAGGGGAAAGGCATGGAGAGGGTATACAGGGGCATTTATTCCCCCCTCCAAAAAGAGCTAAAGCAAATATGACCAAATGCTATGATTTAATAAGTTGAGTATTTATCATATTTTCTCTATTCCTTGCTATGTTAAAATGTGTTTAATAATTTTTAAAAATACCCAATGAACTGTTTCAAAATAAGATGAAAATAATTGGTAGAACTGAGTGCTCTGTTAGTGAATTAAGCTCCATTCATACTATTTCAACCATATGAAAGAAGCACTGTTATTTTGACACATGAGAAAACAGGTTCCAAATGGTCAAGAGAGTGGTCAAGGAAGTGTCAAAATTAGGACTCAAACCCATTTCTTCTGATTTCCAAGTCCAGCTTTTGTTCCATTATGTCAGTACTGTCTTTAGCCTCTGCTCTCTGGAAGCACTGGTTGCATTCTTACCAAATACTCAGTTCTTGAGCCAGGAACCTTTATGAATCAGAACACTGGCAAGTCGCAATTTTGAGGGGCAGGAGAAAATGCCAACTTATCTTTTACTGTCTTGTCACTTTCCATTTCTTATTTCTCCTTTCAAAATCTGTCACAAGGTAAAATTTGGTGACTCCAAAACTGTTGGCCAACAAGGATCAAATTTAGACAAGGTTTTTATTCCTCTGGCCCCCATAATATTCCAGATAACCCCTTTACTTACTGAACTACTTTTTGTCTGAACAAAATCCTTTATTTTAAATTGTAGAGCATCTGACATTTTTTATAACTTCTGAAACTTTTAAGTAATACATTTTAGTTATAGAAAAGTTAGAATATCAAAATGAGTTAAAACTAAAAATTATTAAGTAACAAGAAATTACTGTTAACATTTTGGTATATATACTTGCATGCCTTTTGCTATGTGTATAAAAATATTAAACGTTATATATAAACATCCTAACTTTTTTTTTTGGTGGGGGGGAAGATGGAGTTTCTCTCTTGTTGCCCAGGCTGGAGTGCAATGGCGTGATCTTGTCTCACTGCAGCCTCTGCCTCCCAGGTTCAAGCGATTCTCCTGCCTCAGCCTCCCAAGTAGCTGGGATTACAGACATGCGCCACCATGCCTAGCTAATTTTTTTTTTTTTTTTTTTTGAGACAGAGTCTCGCTCTGTCGCCCAGGCTGGAATGCAGTGCCCCCATCTTGGCTCACTGCAAGCTCCGCCTCCCAGGTTCATGCCATTCTCCTGCCTCAGCCTCCTGAGTAGCTGGGACTACAGACACCCGCCACTACACCCGGCTAATTTTTTGTATTTTTCATAGAGACGGGGTTTCACTGTATTAGCCAGGATGGTCTCGATCTCCTGACCTTGTGATCCGCCTGCATCGGCCTCCCAAAGTGCTGTCATTACAGGCGTGAGCCACTGCACCAGCCTAATTTTTGTATTTTTAGTAGAGACAGGGTTTCACCATGTTGGATAGGCTGGTCTCGAACTCCTGACCTCAGGTGATCCACCCGCCTCGGCCTCCCAAAATGCTGGGATTACAGGCATAAGCCACCGCGCCCGGCCAACGTCCTAACTTTTTAAAGCATGAATAGAGTTGTACACTGGTTTTAAAGTCAGCTTTTTTCCACTTGGCAATGGAGTATGGACACTTTTTCACATTAATGAGTAATTATTCCACATTAAGTGACTACTTCGTACTCCATGGTATTGTACATTCCTACTCTCCTATTTTTTGGAGGTCTAGGTTACCAACTTTTAGGTATTTCTTAGAACCATCCATTCTTCATCCATACTTTGCAAAAGTATGCAAACTTCTAATGGTATTTTCTGAAACTTTTTCAGTACTGATGGGATTATAAATTTAGAGTACCTTTGTGGGGGATATTTTGGCAATATTGACTGAGATTAAGAATGGACATATATCTTGATCCAGTAATTCCACCTCCAGGAATTTATCCTATAGGTATTCTCACCCATGTGTATAATAATATATGCTCAAGGCTATTAGTGGCAGCACTGATTGTCATAAAAATTAGAATTAACCAAAATGGCATCTCTACAGGGATTGCTAAATAAATTGTGGCACACTGATAAAAATAGATTACTATGTATCTGAAAAAAGAATGAGAATGCATACCATATCTGTAGAAAGATAACTGATAACACTGGTTGCCTTTGGGAAGGGGAAACTGTAACTGGGGAACAGAGGTGGGAGAATTTTCATTGCAGTCATTTGTGTCCTTTATGTTTTGAACCAAAAGAAGGTATTACCCACTCAAAAATAGATTTGACACTTCTTAAATGTCACTGAAATGAAAACAATAATTAAAAACAATTTTAGAATCTAAACCTTTCACTTCACATAAAAAAAATGACAGCAGTAAAGTGATTTGTCCATGTACAAATAGTTAAGTTATAAATGAATGTATTTATAAATCCCAATAAGAAGAATCCCAGATCCCAAAGGTTCTCTTTGCCCATACCAAGGGTTGAGGATGATGTGGAGGAACAGGAACTCTCATAGCCTGCTGGTGAGAGTGCAAAATTGTACAGCCACTTTGGAAAATGTTATGTTTTGTTTTTCTTTTGATTCAATTCAGGAAAGAGTTAATGCTTTGGAAAATTTTTGACAATTTCTTAAAAAGTTAAAGAAGTTACCCAGCTATTCCACTTCTAGGTACTTACCCAAGAAATGAAAGCATATGTCTACATATAGCAGCTTTATAAATCATGGCAAAAATTTGAAACAACCCAAATTTCCATCAGCAAGTGAATGGATAAGTAAATTATTGCATAGCCATACAATGGAATACAACTCACCAACAAAAAGGAACAAATTGATAACATAAGCAACAAAATAGATGAATCTCAAAATACTTATGCTGAGTGAAAGAAGTCAGACAAAAGTATACACTCTGGTTCCATGTATATAAAAATAGAAGATACAAACTAATGTATAGTAACAAAATAAATCAGTGGTTCCCTGGAAACTTGGAGTGGGGTATGTGGAGGGGGTGGAATGGAAGGGTAAGATTACAAAGGGGCCCGAGGAAAGCTTGGGGGTGGTGGATGTGGTTTCATAGGTGAATACATTATAGGAAAATTAATAAAAGTATGTACTTCTATAAAGAAATACCTGAAGGTAGGGGGCAAAAAAGTATATACTTCTAAATGTGTGCAGTTTGAACATTAGAGGAAAAAAACCTTCCAAAATACAAACAGCATAGGAGGCATGCAAACCCAAGGCCACTGTGTTTGGCTGCTACTGAGACTAGAACTCAAGTTTAATCAAGTTGGTGATTTTTTAGCCTGGTGAATACAATGAGAGATTTCTGCTTTTCTCCACCTAGGTATGTCATGGCCCTTTTGTGCTTCCTTCTTTGACTAGAAATCTTAAAATCTTCCCTTTAAATAGGTCAGGAAGTAGATAGGCCCGGTATATTACTTTTCAGTGTTACATATAAATGGAAATCCTATTTTTCACAATTTTCCTAAGTCAATTTATGTACCCCTTCTCCTTTAATATCTGAGCATTTCTCACATACCTTTTTGAAACACCGATGCTATTAAGTTGAAATTTTTACTGTAATGACTGAGGTAGTCATCACTCTTGGGTATGACCTTCATTTGTTGTTACTAGAGTTTAAACTCTTTCATATACCTTTAATATCCCAAGATTACTGTGTTATAGTTTTATTACTCTTTCTCTGATCCACTGTGTCTCCAGCATCCCCATCTGTTTTCTTCTCAAGGTTCCCTCCCTCCCTCATTGCCAGTAGCAAGTTTCATCTCCTTTTAGCCTTCTTTTGGGGCACTTCCTCAAACCTTTCATTTCACTTGGCCTCTGAAGGTGCTACTGAGTTCTATCTTCTTAGTACTAAAGACATAAATAAGAGATAAGGAAATTGCTGATTTCAAAACAGATTGGTCTCATGTCTAAAGACTAACTGCTGTTGTCTAGAACAGTCCTAATAAAAGGACTTTACATGGAGAAATCGGTGGTTCCTTTTTTTTCATTCACTGATTCATTCAATGAATACTGATAGAGTGCTTTCTATTTACCATATACTGCTCTGGCATAGTAGCATTTTAGCACAATGGACTCAATGTGACAACAATAATAGACTTCAAAAATAAACTGTAGTTCTTTGAGGAGATCAATAAAATTGATAAACCTGTATCCAGGCTGATCAGGAAATAAAGAGGAAGACATAAACTACCAGTATCAGGAATGAGGGTCGTGATCACTACATACTGTATCTATAGCTATTATAAAGATAAGGAGGCCAGGCATGATGGCTCGTGCCTGTTAATCCCACCACTTTGGGAGGCTGAGGCAGGCGGATCACCTGAGGTCAGGAGTTCGAGACCAGCCTGGTCAACCTGGCGAAACCCCATCTCTACTAAAAATACAAAAATTAGCTGTGCATGGTGGCATGTGCCTGTAGTCCCAGCTACTTGGGAGGCTGAGGCACAAGAATCACTTGAACCCTAGAGGTGGAGGTTGCAATGAGCTGAGATCGCCCCACTGCACTCCAGCCTGGGCAAGAGTGAGACTCTCTCAAAAAAAAAAAAAAAAAAAAAAAAAAAGGAATATCATGGACATCTTTATGCCAATATATTTGCCAACTTAGCTGAAATAGAAAAATTCCTTGAAAGACATGAATTATTGAGGCTCACTCCAGAAGTTGATAACCTGAATAGCCCTATATCTATAAAGAAATGGAATTGATGTTAAAAAAAACTCCCCACAAAATAACTCCAGATCCAGCTGGTTTCAGTAGTGAAGTCTACCAAACATTTAATGAAGGCATAATAGTGATTCAACTCCAAGTCTCCCAAAAAACTGAAGAAGATTTCTTCTAAATCACTCTACAAGACCAGCATTAGTATGACACTAAAACCAGACAAAGGCATTTCAAGAGAAGAAAACTAAAGACCAATATCTTTCACGAAAATACATGCAAACATTCTAAACAATATTTCAGTAAATAAAAGTCAACAACATATTAAAAGGATAATACAACATGGGCCAAGTGGGATTTATTTCAGGAATACATGATTGGTTTAATATTTTTTAAAAATCAGTGAGGCATAGTGGTTCACGCCTGTCATTCCAGCATTCTGGGAGGCTGAGGCAGGAGGATCACTTGAGCCCAGGAGTTCAGGGCCAGCCTGGGCAGCATAATGAGAGTGAGTCTCTACAAAAAAAATTTTTTAATTAGCCAGGTGTGGTGGTGCATGTCTGTGGTCCCAGCTACCTGGGAGCCTGAGGCAGGAGGAGTGCTTGAGCCCAGGAGTTCAAGGCTGCAGTGAGCTATGGTCATGCCACTACATTCCAGCCTGGGCAACAGAGTGAGACCCTGTCTCAAAAACAAAATAAAAATCAATGTAATTTACCATATTAAGTTAAAAAAGAAAAACCTTATGAGGCAGAAAAAAGCATTTGACAAAATCCATCTGTTCTCAATAAAAATTCTCAACAAAGCAAGCATAGAAGGGAACTTCTTCAACTGATAAAGGACACCTATGAAAAACCTATAGTTAACATCATATTTAATGATGAATGACTGAATGTTTTTCCTCAAGTTATTGATTGATTGATTGAGATGGAGTCTCACTCTGTTGCCCAGGCTGGAGGGCAGTGGTATGATCTCGGCTTACTGCAACCTCTGCCTCCCTGGTTCAAGTGATTCTCCTGCCTCAGCCTCCCAAGTAGCTGGGATTACAGGCACCTGCCACTACGCCCGGCTAATTTTTGTATTTTTTTTTTTTAGAAGAGATGGGGTTTCACCATGTTGGTCAGACTGGTCTCGAACTCCTAACCTCAAGTGATCTGCCCACCTTGGCCTCCCAAAGAGTTGAGATTACAGGCATGAGCTACCATGCCTGGCCTTCCTCAAGATTAGGAATGAGACACATATATACTCTACCTGCTGCTGCTTTTTTTTTTTTGCTTTTTTTCTTTCCCTGAGACAGGGTCTGACTCTGTTACCCAGGCTGGAGTGTAGTTGTTGGATCACAGCTCACTGCAGCCTCCATCTCCTGGGCTGATGCCATCCACCCACCTCAGCCTCCCAAGTACCTGTGAGTACACGCTCGCGCCACCATGCCTGGCTAATTTTTGTAGTTTTTATAGTTATAGGGTCCCACTATGTTGCCCAGCTGGGCTTGAACTCCTGTGCTCAAGTAATCCTCCCATCTTGGCCTCCCAAAGTGCTGAGACTACAGGCATGAGCCACCACACCTGGCCTCTCACCACTTCTTTTTTGTTGTTGTTGTTTTTGTTTTTTTTTTGTTTGTTTGTCTTTTTTGAGATGGCGTCTCGCTCTGTCGCCCAGACTGGAGTGCAGTAGTGCGATCTCGGCTCACTGCAAGCTCCGCCTCCCGGGTTCACGCCATTCTCCTGCTTCAGCCTCCCGAGTAGCTGGGACTACAGGCCCCCGCCACTAGGCCCGGCTAATTTTTTGTATTTTTAGTAGAGACGGGGTTTCACCGTGTTAGCCAGGATGGTCTCGATCTCCTGACCTCGTGGTCCGCCCACCTCAGCCTCCCAAAATGCTGGGATTACAGGCGTGAGCCACCGCACCCGGCCGGCCTCTCACCACTTCTATTCAACATTGTACTAGGAGTTCTAGCCAGAGCATTTAGGTAAGAAAAAGAAATCATATAGGTATCTAGACTGGTGAGTTTAGCAAGATTATGAGATGCAAGTTTAATATACAGAAATCATTTGGATTTCTATGCACTAGCAATAAAGACTGAATAATTGGAAATTTTAAAATACCGTTTACAGTAGCATAAAAATATGAAATATATTGGGATAAATCTGACAGGATGGGAAAGACCTCTATATTGAAAACTGCAAGATATTGCTGAGACAAAGACAGTCTTTATGAGGGACTATACCTTGTTCATGGGTCATAAAACAGTATTGTTGAGATTCTTTGCTCCTCAAATTCAGTGCAATCCCAATAAAAATACCAGCAGGCATCTTGTAGAAATTGACAAGCTAATTATAAAATTCATCTGGAAATACAAAGGACCTAGAGAAGCCGAAAAGAACTTTGAATAAGAACTAAGTTGAAGGCCTAGCATTACCTAATTTCAATAATTATTATCAAGCTATAGTAATCAAAAACAGGGTGGTACTGGAATAAGATGGACAAATAGATCAATAGAACTGAATAGCCAAAAATACGCTCTCATATGTATGGATAAGTGATTTTTGACAAAGGTGCCAAGGCAATATGGTGAAGATAAGACAGCCTTTTAAGGAAATGGTGCAGGGCGGACACAGTGGCTCACGCCTGTAATCCTAACACTTTGGGAGCCCAAGGCAGGCGGATTACTTGAGGTCAGGAGTCCAAAACCAGCCTGGCCGACATGGTGAAACCCCGTCTCTACTAAAAAAATTAAAAAATTAGCCGAGCGTGGTAGCGGGCACCTGTTATCACAGCTACTCAGGAGGCTGAGGCAGAAGAATCGCTTGAACCCAGGAGGCTGAGGTTGCAGCGAGCCGAGATCAGGCCATTGCACTCCAGCATGTGCAACAGAGCAAGACTCTGCCTCAAAAAGAAAAAGAGAGAGAAAGAGTGAGGGAAGGAAGAAAGGAAGGAGGGAGGGAGGGAGGAAGGGAAGGCAGGCAGGGAGGGAGGGAAACAGTTGGACATCCATATGCAAAAAATTAATTTGGATCCATACCTTGCAAGATATATGAAAACAAAGTGGATCACAACCTTAAATAGATCACAACATGGATCAGAAAACCTAAAACTATAAAACATCTAAAAGAAAATAGGAGAAAATATTTGTGACCTTTTGCCTAACTGGGTTAGGCAAAGATTACTGGATACAACATCAAAAGCATAAAGTAACAAATTGATAAATTGGACTTTACCAAAATTTAAAACTTTGGTACTTTAAAAGACACTGTTAAAAGAATAAAAACATAAGAAACAGACTGGGAGAAAGTATTTGCATAGTACACATCACATAAAGGACTTCAAAATATAGAAAGAACTATCAAAACAGTAAAAAATGCAATTTCTAAAAAATAGACTAAGGATGTGAACATATACTTCAACTAAGAAGATATATGGATGGCAATTATGCACATTAAAAAAAGATGCTCTTCAAGAGAATGAGAAGACAAACCACAGACTGGGAAAAAATATTTGCAAAAGACAGACCTGATGAAGGATTGTTATCCAAAATATACAAAGCTTAAAATGCAACACTAAGAAAACAACCTGATTTAAAAATTGGCAAAAGATTTCAACAGACATCTCACCAAAGAAGATATACAAATGGGAAATAAGCATAGGAAACAATGTTCAATATCATATGTATATGTCATTTGAGAACTGCAAATGAAAACACTGAGATACTACTACACACCTATTAGAATGTAAAAATCTAAAACACTGACGATACCAAATGCTGGGGAAGATGTGGAGCAACAGGAACTCTCATTGCTGCTAGGAATGCAAAAATGCTACAGCCACTTTGGAAGTCAGTTTGGCTGTCTTCAGTTTCTTTCTTTCTTTTTTTTTATTTTTTTTTAAGATGGAGTCTCACTGTGTCACCCAGTCTGGAGTGCAGTGGTGGGATCTCGGCTCACTGCAAGCTCTGCCTCCCGGGTTCACGCTATTGTCCCGCCTCAGCCTCCCGAGTAGCTGGGACTGCAGGCACGTGCCACCACGCCTGGCTAAATTTTTGTATTTTTAGTAGAGACGGGGTTTCACCACGTTAGCCACGATGGTCTCGATCTCCTGACCTCGTGATCCGCCTGCCTTGGCCTCCCAAAGTGCTGGGATTACAGGCGTGAGCCACCGTGCCCGGCCTTCAGTTTCTTATAAAACTAAACATGGGCTGGGCGTGGTGACTCACGCCTGTAATCCCAGCACTTTTGGAGGCCGAGGCGGGCGGATCACGAGATCACGAGTTGGAGACCAGCCCGGCCAAGGTGGTGAAACGCCATCTCTACTAAAAATAAAAAAATTAGCAGGGCGTGGTGGTGGGCGCCTGTAATCCCAGCTATTTCGGAGAATAGGAGGCAGGAGAATCGCTTGAACCCGGGAGGCGGAGGTTGCAGTGAGCCAAGATCGTGCCACTGCACTCCAGCCTGGGTGACAGAGTGAGACTCTGTCTGAAAAAACAAACAAACAAACAAAAACCTAAACATAATTATACCACACGATCTAGCAGTCACACTCCTTAGTATACACTGAAATGAGTTGCAAATTTACGGCCACACAAAAACCTGCACACATCCAGCATGGGCAACATAGGGAGACACTATCTCTACAAAAAAAAAATAAAAAAATTATCCAGGCATAGTGGTGCATGCCTGTGGTCCCAGCTACATGGGAGGCTGAGATTGGAGGATTGCTTGAGCCTGGGAGGCTGAGGCTGCAGTGAGCTTTGATCATCGTGCCACTGCAGTCCAGCCTGGGCAACAAAGGAAGACCTTGTCTAAAAAAACAAAACAAACAAAACCTGCACATGCTTGTTTATAGCAGCTTTATTTATAATTGTCAAAACCTGGAAGCAACTGAGACATCCTTCAAGTAGGTGAATGGAAAAACTGTGGGTGTATCCAGAATATGATATTATTCAGCACCAAAAAAAATGAGCTACCAAGCCATGAAAAGACATGGAGAAAATTTAAAAGCATACTGCTAAGTGCAGAAAGGCAATCTGAAAAGGCTATATACTGTATGATTCCAAATATATGACATTCTGGAAAAGGCAAAACTATGGAGATAGTAAAAAGATAAGTGGTTGCCAGCATTTAGAGGACAGGAAGGGATGTATAGGTGGAGCACAGGGGATTTTTAGCGCACTGTAACTATTTTCTATGATGCTAGAATTGTGGATACATGTCACTATATATTTTTCCAAACCATTATACATTTGTACAAAACCAAGAATGAACCCTAATGTAAACTCTATGGACTCTGGATGGTAATAATGTGTCAGTGCCGGTCCATTAATTGTAACAAATGTATCACTCAGGTGAGGGATGTTGATAGTAGTGGAGACTATGCATGTGTGGGGGTTGGGGGGATACAGGAACTCTGTACTTTATACTCAATTTTGTTGTGAACCTAAAACTGTTCTAAAAATTAACGTCTATTTAAAAAGTTGCTCAACATCATTAGGCATTAAGGAAATGCAAGATGAAACTCATGGTGAGAATCTACTATAGCCTTATTAGAATGGCTAAAATTTATAAATTTGACACAGACAAGTGTTAGTGACAATATTGAGGAACTAGAACTCTTTTTTTTTTTTTTTTAAGACAGTGTTTTGCTCTTGATGCCCAGGTTCAAGTGTAATGGCGCAATCTCGGCTCACCTCAACCTCCGCCTCCCAGGTTCAAGTGATTCTCCTGCCTCAGCCTCCCGAGTAGCTGGGATTACAGACATGCGCCACCATGCCCGACTAATTTTGTATTTTTAGTAGAGACGGGGTTTCTCCATGTTGGCCAGGCTGGTCTCGAACTCCCGACCTTGAACACCCACCTCAGCCTCCCAAAGTGCTGGGATTAGAGGCGTGAGCCACCGCGCTCAGTGGAACTAGAACTCTTCTACATTGATGTTGCAAAATGGTATAACCATTTTGGAAAAGTGTTTGGCAGTTTCTTTTTTTTTTTTTTTTTTTTTTTTTTTTTTGAGACAGAGTCTCACACTGTCGCCCAGGTTGCAGTGCAGTGGCGCGATCTCGGCTCACTGCAAGCTCTGCTTCCCGGGTTCACGCCACTCCCCTGCCTCAGCCTCCTGAGTACCTGGGACTACAGGCGCCCACCACCATGCCCGGCTGATTTTTTGTATTTTTAGTAGAGATGGGGTTTCACCGTGTTAGCCAGGATGGTCTCCATTTCCTGACCTCATGATCCCCCCACCTCGGACTCCCAAAGCGCTGGGATTACAGGCGTGAGCCACTGCGCCTGGCTGGCATTTTCTTAAAAAACAAAAACAAACAAACAAACAAAAAAACATATCCCTACCTTAGGATTCAGCTATTTTACCTTGGGTATTTACTCAAGAGAATAGGAAAGGCATATTCATATAAAGACCTCTATATAAATGTTTATGGCAACTTTATTTGTTGTAATAGTCAAAAATTGGAAACAATTCAAAGTTCAACAGATGAATGGTTAAACAAATTTTGATGTGATCATAAAATGGACTACTACTTACCAATAAAAATGAACTATTGATACAATAACATGGATTAATCTCAAAATAATTGTACTGAGTGAAAGAAGCCAGACAATAAAAGAGTACATACTATATGATTCCATTTATATAATACTCTAGAAAATGTAAACTAGTCTACCGTCACAGAAAGTAGGGCATGTTTGTGGCAAGGGAAAGGAAGGATGGAGAAGGTATTAAAGAAGTACCTTTAATGGTAGATAGATATATGGTTACTATCTTGATTTTGATGACAGTTTCCTGGATGCATACATATGTCAAAATTTATAAAACTGTACACCTTAAATATCTGCAATTTATTGTATATCAATTTTACCTCGATAAAGTGATTTAAAAGAAAGAGAGTGGCCGGGCATGGTGGTTCATGCCTGTAATCCCAGCACTTTGGGAGGCTGAGGCGGGCAGATCACCCAAGGTCAGGAGTTCAAGACTAGCCTGGCCAACATGGTGAAACCCCATCTCTATTAAAAATACAAAATTAGCTGGGCGTAGTGGTGCACGCCTGTAATCCCAGCTACTCAGGAGGCTGAGGCAGGAGAATTGGAAATCGTGCCATTGCACTCTAGCCTGGGCAACAAGTGAAACTCCATCTCAAAAAATAATAATAAATAAATAAAAGAAAGAGAGCTATCATCCAGCATAGAACCATGTTTTGAAGACAACTATTAGTGCTATCTCAATATGAAAATTATCAAAGCTTTATAGGAATTCTGATCACCAAATTAGCAAGAGTGGTGCCTATATCTGAGAAGAAAATATCTACCTGTCCCATAGAAACTTGCCTAATTTTTCAATTATGTTTCCTCATGGCCTCTCTCTCTGGCAATTTCAACTTTAGAAATCTGTTTATTCCTAATTGCTGTAATAATTCTCCTACTTTTATGTGTCACTGTTTACTTTGCTCCTGAATACCCAGCTAATCTCAACAGTTTCTCTCGCTCCATCCCTCTCCATTTACCACAGGCATTAACTATGTGAAAGGGAAGGTGAAAGATGGGAAGAAAGCCACAAGATTGGTGGTCTTAGAAGACAAGTTGCCGTCAACCTAAAGAAAGATCAATTGAAGCTGGGCTAAACCCTTGCCAAGATTCTGAACCAGTCCCTGATCACCAGTAATACTTACAAGATGCTGACACTATCCTCTCCTCTGTGTTTACAATCAGGTTTTCACAATAACCAAGTTCCCTTCTAGAAGACAATTATCATGAGAAAAAACATACAGTACTCAAGAAAGCATGATATGTAACTTACCCCTGCTAACTCTTAAATTTTGAGGGCTGAGGCTACTACTCAGACCCATTGGTTTTTTAATCTATCTACTAATTTATAATTTACCTATCTATCTCTATATATATATATATATATATATATATATATATTTTTTTTTTTTTTTTTTTGAGACAGAGTCGCACTCTGTTGCCCAGGCTGGAGTGCAGTGGTGTGATTGATCTCAGTTCACTGCAACCTCCCCGCCTCCTGGGTTGAAGCAATTCTCGTGACTCAGCCTCCCAAGTAGCTGGGATTACAGGCTTGTGCCACCATGCCCAGCTAATTTTTGTATTTTAAGTAGAGATGAGGTTTCACCATGTTGGCCAGGCTGGTCTCAAACTCCTGACCTCAGGTGATCCACCCACCTCGGTCTCCCAGTGCTGGAATTACAGGCGTGAGCCAACACGCCCAGCCACCTATGTATTTTTATAGAGACAGGGTCTCATTCTGTCACCCAGGCAGGAGTGCAGTGGCAGTGATCAGAGCTCACTGCAGCCTCCAACTCCTAGGCTCAAGTGATCCCTGCAGAGTAGCTAGGGCTACAGGTGCACACCACGACCAGTATTTTTTTGTTTTGTTTTATCGAGACGGAGTCTTGCTCTGTTGCCCATGCTGGAGTACAGTGACACAATCTCAGCTCACTGCAACCTCCGCCTCCCGGATTCAAGCAGTTCTCCTGTCTCAGCCTCCCAAGTAACGGATTACAGGCACATGCCACCACACCCAGCTAATTTTTGTATTCTTAGTAGAGACAGTGTTTCACCATGTTGGCCAGGCTGGTCTCGAACTCTTGACCTTGTGATCTGCCTGCCTCGGCCTCCCAAAGTGCTGGGATTACAGGCATGAGCCATTGTGCCCGGCCCTTGTTTTGTTTTTTTAGAGATGGGTTCTTGCAATGTTGCCCAGGCTGGTTGGTCTCCAAGTCCTGAGCTCAAGTGATCCTCCCACCTCAGCCTCCCAAAGTGTTGGGATTTCAGTTGTGAGCCACTGCACCTAGCTAGACCCACTGGTATTCAGAGCAGTGATGAGCACCTTGCTATGCACACACTAGTAATAACAGTAAATTGTAAATCAGTAAATAGCAATTGTATAACCTAAATAAAAATGAATTATCTAGTTCTTTAGGTCCCTAGCTTATGCCTTTTCTCCTCCTTAGTAGAAAAGTCAGAACTCTGGTATTTAGGACAAAGTCTTACCTTCTTTCTTTCTGCTGTGTCCGCTGAGTAAGGCAAATATTAGAAAAGCAGCTAGGCCAGTATCATGGGACTCTCAGTTGTTTTTGCTTTGGGACCTTTGACTGTCAGTCTCAGCCCAGCAATTTAACGTATTTTTCTAGATTAAACAGTGTTGCTTCTGAATTCCTCCCTTGGACCTTGGACTGCTGGGTCCTTTCAGGAGACAAAGGATACCAGATTGGGGAGTACGGGCTACTGTTAGACAATGTGAACTAGGAGGTGACCAAAGTTGACCTTAGAGTCAACTTAATTTTGCAGGTGAGGGAACAGAGACCTAAACGACCACTGGCTCCCAGTAAAGCAGATTCGCAGCATACTGTGCTTTGCCTGAATGGGTGTTGTAGACACAGGGGCAGAGGCGTGTTTGGAGAAAGGGTTCAGAATTTGGAGTGCGACAGACGTAGGTTCGAACAGAGCTCTGCTACTCTGTGGCTGTGAGGGCTCCCGCACACACCCTCTCGAACGCTCGGCTTCCTCATCGGTCCGCAAGCCTGGGTGCGAGGCGTCAACGCGCAGCTGGGTGCGCAGGAGGCCCCGAGGCCGGATGGGCCGCCGCGCCGACGCCCCCTGCCGGCCGGCCCGCGCCCAACGCTCGGCTTGTGGGACGCCCGCGGTCGGATGCCCTCCGTCCGCTCCCTCCTCCGCCTCTTGGCCGCCGCGGCGGCCTGTGGCGCCTTCGCCTTCCTGGGCTATTGTATTTACCTCAACCGGAAGCGGCGCGGGGACCCCGCGTTCAAGCGCCGCCTGCGGGACAGTGAGTGGGACCGAGGCGGAGGCGCGGCCGGGCCGGGCAGCGCGGGCGGGCTGCCGGCCGGGAGGGCCCCCCACTGAGAGGCCGGGCCGTGAGTGCCTCAGCCTCTGCCGAGGGGCCCGCGGCGCCCGGGCAGGCAGGACCACTGGGCCCACGCGTGCCTCTGGACGGGCCTCCCAGCCAGCATGTGCCGTGTTGTGTTCGCAGAAAGAAGAGCAGAGCCTCAAAAGGCTGAGGAGCAGGGCACGCAGGTGCAGTGCTTTCGATCCGCACAGGTAGCTCAGTAGACGCAGGTCCGGGCTCGCTGGGTTGCTTGGCTCCTGGCGGGCTCGGCAGCAGGTAGTTAGTTCCCTCAGCCGCCCGTGCCCGGGAAGAGGCCTGCCCTCGCGCGCCACGCACCGCCTCAGGCCCAGTCACTCTCCTCTCACAAAAGGGAGGGAAGGAAGGAGGAAGAAGTTGGAGTTATAAAAAGGCAGCTGCAAAGCAAAACACTGTACAACAGGCACTTCTTTTAACTGGAAGAAGGAAGAGGAGCCTTTTGCCCTGTCAGAGCCGCACAGGACACTTAAAAACCCAGGCTGGCCACGGTCACATGGCAGTAACTTCTAGATTGTTCTCCCGCAGGGCCTTTCTTGTAGCTCAGAAGCAGAAGGCATCTTCGTGTTTTGTAAATCTCTGCGGCAAAATTTGATTAGTCCCTTTTTTGTTGTTTTTAAGAGGCGGGCCGGGCTTGGTGGCTCACGCCTGTAATCCCAGCACTTTGGGAGGCAAGGCGGGCAGATCACGTGAGGTCAGGAGTTTGAGACCAGCCTGGCCAACATGGTGAAAGCCTGTCTCTACTAAAAATACAAAAATTAGCCGGGAGTGGTGGCGTGTGCCTGTAGTCTCAGCTACTTGGGAGACTGAGGCAGGAGAATTGCTTGAGTCCGGGAGGTGGCAGTTGCAGCCTGGGCGACAGAGCAAGACACTGTCTATAAAAAAAGAAAGAGACAAGGGTGTTCCTATGTTGCCCAGGCTGAACTAGAACTCCTGGCCACAAGCAATCCGCAGTTGATGCTGGATGTTTACTTAGCTGAGATTGTTAGCCAGAGCACCTACACGTCTGTGTGATCTGGGATTCTTCATTTGTGTGATGGGCTGTGTCCCAAGGGACAAGCAAACACATATATGTATGTGTGTATATATATGTGTGTGTGTGTGTGTCTGTGTATAGAGAGAGCACGCACATGCATGTGAACTAGAACATGTGCCCATGTGGAAGAGCAGATGGTACCACTTCTGGCAACATTGAAGCCTACTCAATTTAAAGGGAGAGGAAATAGATTCTACCTCTCAACAGGGATGGCAAGGTTTTGAAAGCACTTGTGTGACCGGGAATATTGCGGTAGCCATTTTTGAAACATGCAGTTTTTCCGGAGAAGACTTTGTAGCGGAAGTGGCATTGAACTGAGCCTGGAAGGATGATGAATTTGTGGCTTGGTTTCAGGGGAGAGGATACAGGATGGAGGGAACAGCATGTGCATAAAGATGCAAAGTGGGGCATCTGCCAAGCACATTCAGTAAACCAGTTTGGCAAAGGAGTCATACTGAGGAATAGTGGGTGGTAAGGTTGGAGAGCGAAAGTAGGATTGAATTAGGGAAGGCTTGCTTTGAAGGCCAGGTTAAGGAACTGAGATTCAATGGAGGAATTACTGAAGATTTCTAAGCAGGAATTTTTTAAAAAGAAGGAAAGAAAGGCAGAAGAGAAATATTCTTAGATTGATCAAGCAGGAGTGTACTTAATGGATTGGAAAAGAAAACAAGCTATTGCAGCAATTTAGTTGAGAGGTAATAAAAATCCTGAACTATGGTGGTGGTAGTGGTAACTGGGAAGAATACAGTTCATGCCGACTGAGTAAAGGGTAATGGAGAGGCGGAGTCAAAGACACTTCCGGGGTTTCAAAATGGAATCACAGTAGAGAATAAAAGCCCATTTGACATAGTTAGCTGGGTAGGGAGTGTCCAAAGAGCTGGACATGGGAGTGGAGATACCTTCCCTGACTTGACTGAGACAGAGCCTGATACAGCTCCATGTCCCTCGTCATTGTCCATGGTTTCACTTGCACATTTGTGTAATTATTTGATTAATGCTTTCCGTTTATTACACTAAGCTGTGTGAGGGCAGACTTTGTTTTTTACTCTCCATTGTTTCCAGTGCCTAGAACAGAGTCTAGTGCGGTAGGTGCCCAGCAAATGTTTGTTGAATATTGTTGTTCATTGTAGGCAGAGGGAAACACCTTGTGCAGAGGCACAGAACATGAAATTGTAATGTTCAAGGAGTATTATGGCCAGAGAGATAGCTGAGGGTCAGTTTAGTGTCTTACCGTGGAGGACTTTGAATGCCAAACTGAAAAGTCAGGACATTTTTCTGTTGTGGTGGATAACTAATGATGGTGACTTTATTTCAGAGAACAGACACAATTATTTTGGTTTTATTTTTTAAATAAGACAATTCTGGTTCCAGTGTGGAGAAAGGAAGTTGAAGACAAGAAAATCAGTCAATGGCAGTTCATATGGGAAATAATAAATGATTTATATTAATATAAATTAATCATATTTTAATTATAATATAATCTAATTATATTCATATTAAGCCATAACTAAGTCACACTATCATTTATTGATATAAATCAATAATTATTAATAATAAATTGTTAATATTATTTCCCATATATGAAATAATAAATTATTTCAAGTGAAGAAGCAGCACAAGCAGGATTTTCAAATGTCCTTTCATATAATTGTCACAACTCTATTCTAATTTTTTTTTTTTTGACACAGGGTCTCACTCTGTTGCCCAGGCTGGAGTACAGTGGCAATGATCACAGCTCACTGCAGCCTCAACCCTTTTGGGGTTAGGTGATTCTCCCACCTCAGTCTCCTAAATAGCTGGGACTACAGGTGCATACCACCATGCCTGGCTAGTTTTTGTACTTTTACAGAGATGGGTTTCGCAACATTGCCCAGGCTGGTCTTGAACTCCTGAGCTCAAGCAGTCTGCCGGCCTTGGCCTCCTGAAGTGTTGGGATTACACGAGGGAGCCACTGTGCCTGGCCTCTATTCTCATTTTACACATGAATAAACCAAAGCAGATAAAGAGTCTCTTCTCACTTTTTCTAGGGTCTTTCTTCCTCTTCTTCCCAGGACTTTCCCAAAGTATGGTCCATTGCTGCATTACATTTACCTGGAGCATCTGTTAAAATATGGATTATTTGACCCTGATCCCAGCAATTCTGATCCAGTAGCCTGGGGAATTCTTACTGGCACAGTGACTGTCAGACTTTAGGATCCATAAGAATCACCTGAAGAGTTTGTTTAAAAATGCAAATTCCTGGGCCCTACTCCCAGAGATTGATTCAGTAGGTCTGGGTGGAGTCCAAGAAACTGCAGTTTTAACAGCTCCTTCAGGTGATGCTTTGTGAAACATGGGCCTTGGGTTCTGTATTCTTCCCCCTCTCCCTA